>NC_000011.10:112323939-112626970 GCF_000001405.40 Homo sapiens
CAGCATCTGTTGTTTCCTGACTTTTTAATGATTGCTATTCTAACTGGCGTGAGATGGTACCTCATTGTGGTTTTGATTTGCATTTCTCTGATGATCAGTGATGATGAGCATTTTTTCGTATGTCTGTTGGCTGCATAGATGGCTTCTTTGAGAAGTGTCTGGTCATATCCTTTGCCCACTTTTTGATGGAGTTGTTTGCTTTTTTCTTGTAAATTTGTTTAAGTTCTTTGTAGATTCTGGATATTAGCCCTTTGTAAGACGGGTAGACTGCAAAAATTTTCTCCCATTCTGTAGGCTGCCTGTTCACTCTGATGATAGTTTCTTTTTTTTTTTTTTAATTTTTTTTATTATACTTTAAGTTTTAGGGTACATGTGCACATTGTGCAGGTTAGTTACATATGTATACATGTGCCATGCTGGTGCGCTGCACCCACTAACTCGTCATCTAGCATTAGGTATATCTCCCGATGCTATCCCTCCCCCCTCCCCCTACCCCACAGCAGTCCCCAGAGTGTGATATTCCCCTTCCTGTGTCCATGTGATCTCATTGTTCAGTTCCCACCTATGAGTGAGAATATGCGGTGTTTGGTTTTTTGTTCTTGCGATAGTTTACTGAGAATGATGATTTCCAATTTCATCCATGTCCCTACAAAGGACATGAACTCATCATTTTTTATGGCTGCATAGTATTCCATGGGTGTATATGTGCCACATTTTCTTAATCCAGTCTATCATTGTTGGACATTTGGGTTGGTTCCAAGTCTTTGCTATTGTGAATAATGCCGCAATAAACATATGTGTGCCTGTGTCTTTATAGCAGCATGATTTATAGTCCTTTGGGTATATACCCAGTAATGGGATGGCTGGGTCAAATGGTATTTCCAGTTCTAGATCCCTGAGGAATCGCCACACTGACTTCCACAATGGTTGAACTAGTTTACAGTCCCACCAACAGTGTAAAAGTGTTCCTATTTCTCCACATCCTCTCCAGCACCTGTTGTTTCCTGACTTTTTAATGATTGCCATTCTAACTGGTGTGAGATGGTATCTCATTGTGGTTTTGATTTGCATTTCTCTGATGGGCAGTGATGATGAGCATTTTTTCATGTGTTTTTTGGCTGCATAAATGTCTTCTTTTGAGAAGTGTCTGTTCATATCCTTCGCCCACTTTTTGATGGGGTTGTTTTTTTTTTCTTGTAAATTTGTTTGAGTTCATTGTAGATTCTGGATATTAGCCCTTTGTCAGATGAGTAGGTTGTGAAAATTTTCTCCCATTTTGTAGGTTGCCTGTTCACTCTGATGGTAGTTTCTTTTGCTGTGCAGAAGCTCTTTAGTTTAATTAGATCCCATTTGTCAATTTTGTCTTTTGATGCCATTGCTTTTGGTGTTTTAGACATGAAGTCCTTGCCCATGCCTATGTCCTGAATGGTAATGCCTAGGTTTTCTTCTAGGGTTTTTATGGTTTTAGGTCTAACGTTTAAGTCTTTAATCCATCTTGAATTGATTTTTGTATAAGGTGTAAGGAAGGGATCCAGTTTCAGTTTTCTACATATGGCTAGCCAGTTTTCCCAGCACCATTTATTAAATAGGGAATCCTTTCCCCATTGCTTGTTTTTGTCAGGTTTGTCAAAGATCAGATAGTTGTAGATATGCGGCATTATTTCTGAGGGCTCTGTTCTGTTCCATTGATCTATATCTCTGTTTTGGTACCAGTACCATGCTGTTTTGGTTACTGTAGCCTTGTAGTATAGTTTGAAGTCAGGTAGTGTGATGCCTCCAGCTTTGTTCTTTTGGCTTAGGATTGACTTGGCGATGCGGGCTCTTTTTTGGTTCCATATGAACTTTAAAGTAGTTTTTTCCAATTCTGTGAAGAAAGTCATTGGTAGCTTGATGGGGATGGCATTGAATCTGTAAATTACCTTGGGCAGTATGGCCATTTTCATGATATTGATTCTTCCTACCCATGAGCATGGAATGTTCTTCCATTTGTTTGTATCCTCTTTTATTTCCTTGAGCAGTGGTTTGTAGTTCTCCTTGAAGAGGTCCTTCACATCCCTTGTAAGTTGGATTCTTAGGTATTTTATTCTCTTTGAAGCAATTGTGAATGGGAGTTCACTCATGATTTGGCTCTCTGTTTGTCTGTTGTTGGTGTATAAGAATGCTTGTGATTTTTGTACATTGATTTTATATCCTGAAACTTTGCTGATGTTGCTTATCAGCTTAAGGAGATTTTGGGCTGAGACAATGGGGTTTTCTACATATACAGTCATGTCGTCTGCAAACAGGGACAGTTTGACTTCCTCTTTTCCTAATTGAATACCCTTTATTTCCTTCTCCTGCCTAATTGCCCTGGCCAGAACTTCCAACACTATGTTGAATAGGAGTGGTGAGAGAGGGCATCCCTGTCTTGTGCCAGTTTTCAAAGGGAATGCTTCCAGTTTTTGCCCATTCAGTATGATATTGGCTGTGGGTTTGTCATAGATAGCTCTTATTATTTTGAAATACGTCCCATCAATACCTAATTTATTGAGAGTTTTTAGCATGAAGCGTTGTTGAATTTTGTCAAAGGCTTTTTCTGCATCTATTGAGATAATCATGTGGTTTTTGTCTTTGTGATGACAGTTTCTTTTGCTGCGCAGAAGCTCTTTAGTTTAATTAGATCCCATTTGTCTATTTTGGCTTTTGTTGCCATTGTTTTTTGTGTTTCAGTCATGAAGTCTTTGTCCATGCCTATGTCCTGAATGGTATTGCCTAGGTTTTCTTCTAGGGTTTTTATGGTTTTAGGTTTTACATTTAAGTCTTTAATCCATCTTGAGTTAATGTTTTATACAGTGTAAGGAAGGGATCTAGTTTCAGCTTTCTACATAGGCCATACTTTCTACATAGCCATACTATGGCTAGCCAGTTTTCCCAACCCCATTTAGTAAATAGAGAATCCTTTCCCTGTTGCTTATTTTGTCAGGTTTGTCAAAGATAAGATGATTGTAGATGTGTGGTGTTATTTCTGAGGCCTCTATTCTGTTCCATTGGTCTATATATCTGTTTTGGTACCAGTATCATGCTGTTTTGTTTTCTGTAGTCTTGTAGTATAGTTTGAAGTCAGATAGTGTGATGCCTCTAGCTTTGTTCTTTTTGCTTATAATTGTTTTGGCTATGTGGGCTTTTTTGGTTCCATATGAACTTTAAAGTAGTTTTTTCTAATTCTATGAAGAAAGTCCATGGTAGCTTGATGGGGATAGCATTGAATCTATAAATTACCTTGGGCAGAATGGCCATTTTCATGATATTGATTCTTCCTATTCATGAGCATGGAATGTTCTTCCATTCGTTTGTGTCCTCTCTTATTTCCTTGAGCAGTGGTTTGTAGTTCTCCTTGAAGAGGTGCTTCACATCCCTTGTAAGCTGGATTTCTAGGTATTTTATTCTCTTTGTAGTAATTGTGAATGGGAGTTCACTCATGATTTGGCTCTCTGTTTGTCTATTATTGGTGTATAGAAATGCTTGTGATTTTTGCTCATTGATTTTGTATCCTGAGACTTTGCTGAAGTTGCTTATCAGCTTAAGAAGATTTTGGGCTGAGATGATAGGGTTTTCTAAATATAAAATCATGTCATCTGCAAACACAGACAATTTGACTTCCCCTTTCTCTAATTGAATACTATTTATTTCTTTCTCTTGCCTGATTGCCCTAGCTAGAACTTTCAACACTATGTTGAATAGGAGTGGTGAGAGAGGGCATCCTTGTCTTGTGCTGGTTTTCAAAGGGAATGCTTCTAGTTTTTGCCCATATAGTATGATATTGGGTGTGGGTTTGTCATAAATAGCTCTTATTTGTTTGAGATATGTTCCATCAATACCAGTTTATTGAGAGTTTTTAGCATGAAAGGTTGTTGAATTTTGTCGAAGGCCTTTTCTGCATCTATTGAGATAATCGTGTGGTTTTTGTTGTTGGTTCTGTTTATGTGATGGATTACATTTACTGATTTGTGTATGTTGAACCAGCCTTGCATCCCAGTGATGAAGCTGACTTGATCGTGGTGGATGAGATTTTTGATGTGCTGCTGAATTCGGTTTGCCAGTATTTTATTGGGGATTTTCGCATCAATGTTCATCAGGGATATTGGCCTAAAATTCTCTTTTTTTGTTGTGTCTCTGCCAGGCTTTGGTATCAGGATGATGCTGGCCTCATAAAATGAGTTAGGGAGGATTCCCTCTTGTTCTATTGATTGGAATAGTTTCAGAAGGAATGGTATCAGCTCCTCTTTGTATCTCTGGTAGAATTCAGCCATGAATCGGTCTGGTCCTGGACTTTTTTTGGTTGGTAGGCTATTAATTATTGCCTCACTTTCAGAACCTGTTATTGGTCTATTCAGAGATTCCACTTCTTCCTGTTTTATTCTTGGGGGGTGTATGTGTTCAGGAATTTATCCATTTCTCTAGATTTTCTAGTTTATTTGCATAGAAGTGTTTATAGGATTCTCTAATGGTAGTTTGTATTTCTGTGGGATCGGTGGTGATATCCCCTTTATCATTTTTTATTGCATTGATTTGATTCTTCTCTCTTTTCTTCTTTATTAGTCTTGCTAGTGGTCTATCTATTTTGTTGATGTTTTCAAAAAACCAGCTCCTGGATCCATTGATTTTTTTGAAGGTTTTTTTGTGTCTCTATCTCCTTCAGTTTTGCTCTGATCTTAGTTATTTTTTGCCTTCTGCTAGCTTTTGATTTTGCTTGCTCTTGCTTCTCTAGTTCTTTTAATTGTGATGTTAGGGTGTCAATTTTAGATCTTTCCTGCTTTCTCTTGGGGGCATTTAGTGCTATAAATTTCCCACTGCTTTAAATGTGTCCCAGAGATTCTGGCATGTTGTGTCTTTATTCTTATTGGTTTCAAAGAACATCTTTATTTCTGCCTTCATTTTGTTATTTATCCAGTAGTCATTCAGGAGCATGTTGTTCAGTTTCCATGTAGTTGTGCTGTTTTGAGTGAGTTTCTTAATCCTGAGTTCTAATTTGATTGCACTGCGGTCTGAGAGACAGTTTGTTATGATTTCTGTTCTTTTACATTTGCTGAAGAGTGGTTTACTTCCAATTATGTGGTCAATTTTAGAGTAAGTGCGATGTAGTGCTGACAAAAACGTATATTCTGTTGCTTTGAGGTGTAGAGTTCTGTAGATGTCTATTAGGTCCGCTTGTTCCAGAGCTGAATTGAAGTCCTGGATATCCTTGTTAACCTTCCGTCTCGTTGATCTGTTTAATATTGACAGTGGGATGTTAAAGTCTCCCATTATTATTGTGTGGGAGTCTAAGTTTCTTTGTAGGTCTCTAAGGACTTGCTTTATGAATTTGGGTGCTCCCATATTGGGTGCATATATATTTAGGATAGTTAGCTCTTCCTGTTGAATTGATCCCTTTACTATTATGTAGTGGCCTTCTTTGTCTCTTTTCATCTTTGTTGGTTTAAAGTCTGTTTTATCAGAGACTAAGATTGCAACTCCTGCTTTTTTTTGCTTTCCATTTGCTTGGTAGATCTTGCTCCATCCCTTTATTTGGAGCCTATGTGCATCTTTGCATGTGAGATGGGTCTCCTGAATACAGCACACTGATGGGTCTTGACTCCTTATCCAATTTGCCAGTCTGTGTCTTTTAATTGGGGCTAGCCCATTTACATTTAAGGTTAATATTATTAAGTTTGAATTTGATCCTGTCATTATGATGTTAGCTGTTTATTTTGCCCATTAATTGATGCAGTTTCTTCATAATGTCGATGGTCTTGACAATTTGGCATGTTTTTGCAGTGGCTGTTACCGGTTGTTCCTTTCCATGTTTAGTGCTTCCTTCAGGAGCTCTTGTAAGGCAGACCTGGTGATAACAAAATCTCTTAGCATTTGTTTGTCTGTAAAGGATTTTATTTCTCCTTCACTTATGAAGCTTAGTTTGCCTGGATATGAGATTCTGGGTTGAAAATTATTTTCTTTAAGAATGTTGAATTTGGCCCCCACTGTCTTCTGGCTTGTAGGGTTTCCACTGAGACATCTGCTGTTAGTTTGATGGGCTTCCCTTTGTGGGTAACCCAGCCTTTCTCTCTGGCTGCCATTAACATTTTTTCCTTCATTTCAACCTTGGTGAATTTGACAATTATGTGTCTTGGGGTTGCTCTTCTCGAGGAGTATCTTTGTGGTGTTCCCTGTATTTCCTGAATTTGAATGTTGGCCTGCCTTGCTAGGTTAGGGAAGTTCTCCTGGATAATATCCTGAAGAGTGTTTTCTAACTTGGTTCCATTCTCCCCATCACTTTCCAGTACATCAGTCAAATGTATATTTGGTCTTTTCACATAGTCCCATGTTTCTTGGAGGCTTTGTTCATTTCTTTTCACTCTTTTTTCTCTAATCTTGTCTTCTTGCTTTATTTCATTAATTTCATCTTCAATCATTGGTATCCTTTCCTCCACTTGATTGAATTGGCTATTGAAACTTGTACATGCATCACGAAGTTCTCATGCTGGGTTTTCAGTTCCATCAGCTCTCCTCTACACTGTTTATTCTAGTTAGCCATTCATCTAACCTTTTTTCAAGGTTTTTAGCTTCCTTGTGATGGGTTAGAACATGCTCCTTTAGCTCAGAGAAGTTTGTTATTACCGACCTTCTGAAGCCTACTTCTGTCAAGTCGTCAAACTCATTCTCCATCCAGTTTTGTTCCCTTGCTGGCGAGGAGCTGCGATCCTTTGGAGGAGAAGAGGTGGTCTGGTTTTTGGAATTTTCTGCTTTTCTGCTCTGGTTTCTCCCCATCTTTGTGGTTTTATCTACCTTTGGTCTTTGATGATGGTGACCTACAGATGGGGTTTTTGTGTGGACCTCCTTTTTGTTGATGTTGATGCTATTCCTTTGTGTTTGTTAGTTTTCCTTCCAACAATCAAGCCCCTCAGCTGCAGGTCTGTTGGAGTTTGCCTGAGGTCCATCCAGATCTTGTTTGCCTGGGTATCACCAGTGGAGGCTGCAGAACAGCAAATGTTGCTGCCTGATCCTTCCTCTGGAAGCTTCATCCCAGAGGGGCGCCCGCCTGTTTGAGGTGTCTGTCGGCCCCTAGTGGGAGGTGTCTCCTAGTCAGGCTACACAGGGGTCAGGGACCCACTTGAGGAGGCAGTCTGTCCATTCTTGGAGTTCAAACGCCGTGCTGAGAGAACCACTGCTTTCTTCAGAGCAGTCAGATGGGGATGTTTTTAATGTACTCACCTATTTTTTGACCACAGTTGACTTTGGGTAACTGAAGCTCCAGAAAGTGAAACTGTGGATAAGGCCGGGGGACTAATGTATGTGCAGGTCTCTCAAAGGTTAGGCAAAAAGGGTTTTTCTTTTATAGGGAGGAGTAAACAAGGCTAGAAAGAACCACTGTGAAGAAGTGGGATGAGAGGATCAGGACAGCAGCTCAGAGAATGTTATAATCGTGAGACCTGCCTGCTCTCAGGATGGGCTGTCTGCTGGCTTAGGGTGAGGGTGAGCCAAAGTTCAGGGACACGGGGAAGGGGAGAAACTTAGCTAATGTTTGGTTTTCAGGCATTTTGTTCAGATTGTTCCTATTGAATGGTTGGGGATGAAATGGTTCTGGTGATCATTTATAAGGCAAAACATGGGAGTTTGGAGAGTCTGTGTCTAGCTTTGTCACAGGTGATCAAGGGAGACATCCATGGTTCTTATGTGAGTCAAATGGGGAAGGGGAGTTCTTTGCAGGATGGCATTCACTAGAACACAAAAGGGTGGGAGACCTTTTATTTTGAGGCAGAGTCTCACTCTTGTTGCCCAGGCTGGAGTGCAATGGCGCGATCTCCAATCGCTGCAACCTCTGCCTCCTGGGTTCAAGTGATTCTCCTGCTTCAGCCTCCTGGATAGCTGGGATTACAGGTATGCACCACCACACCTAGCTAATTTTTTTGTATTTTTAGTAGAGACAGTGTTTCACCATGTTGGCCCAGGCTGGTCTCGAACTCCTGGCCTCAAGTAATCTGCCCACCTGGGCCTTCCAAAGTGCTGGGATTACAGGTGTGAGCCACTGTGGTGGGCCCAGTGGGGGACTTTTGAACCTTCCATGCTTCCCAGGAGCACAGGGCTCAGGTGGAATTCAACACTATCACAACAAACCTGTCTGCTAAGAAGAAAACACATTTGGGAATCCTCTACTACTGCTGGGTAATCTTCTAATGTGATCTTGGTGATCAGCCATGGAGGTGGGTTATTATTATCACTCCCACCTTATGGATAGGTGCAGGATGGGGCAGAGGCTGAGGAGCTTCTGAGGCGCCACACCAGGTAGCGGCTGAGCTGAGACCTGAACCCTGGTTTCTCAGATTCCAGCCCTGCTTACACCCTTGGCACAGTACTGCCTTTTCACATGGTCTCAGTCAGTGACTTACTGAATACCATAAATCTGGTTTATTTTTAAGAAAGACACTAGCACAATTATCTAACATTGTAAATCATCCATAGGTATTTGTGGAATTTTTCATGATGATTATGTTACATCAGTATCCAACAGAATATGAAAGTGGAGATCAGTTACAATTTCAATTTCCTAGAATAAAATTTTGCTGTATAATTTCTATGCAGTCATTAGCATTCACCCTGCTTAACAGGCTTGGCTTCTAAAGAAAAAGGATCGCATTAGCACAACTGCGAAGCCCCCAGCATTGCAATCAATGCTGCTGCAAGCCTTCTTTACCAAAATAACAATTCTTCCTAAGGAATGAAAAAGAGATGTAAGTCTTACTATACCTTTCTCTTTATATGTTTTCAGATTCCCTGCCAAATAACCCCCACAACAAAAACCATGGTGATGAAGTATTTCATATGGCATCAGAGTGGGATAGCAAATGGAGGCTTTATTTTGGTTTTGAGAAAGCCATAGTCCTGAGAAGGCTCTGGTCACACGTGATTGTGACTGTGTGAGAGGAATCTTCTTGGAACATGGGGTAAAAATAGGATGCTGCAGAGAGGCAGCAAAGGGACTCAGGGTTCTGTGCTTCAGGCAGCACTGGTCCTTTGGATGCCTCAAGGCTAAGGGTTAGTGCCTGTGCTGCTTCCTTCCTCCTACTGCTCCCCCAGGCTGCCCAGGGCTGATACTTGACCGCCCCTATTCATACAGGCCTTCTCTTCTAGCTTCTGGGGGTGGGGTGGCAGTGGAGGCTGCCATCCTGCTTCTCCATTGGTACACCCACATCTCAATGTCTGGAGTGTATTGAGACCTCAGAGCCAGCAACGAGTACCCCTCAGTGTGATGACCAGCACAGCCCTTGCTATGGTCATGGCTATGGGCTTGGGTAGCACAGCCCTTGCTGTGGTCATGGCTATGGGCTTGGGTTCTAGAGGTAAACGGTTTCAGGTTCTATTCTGGTTCTTCCATTGACTTGCCGTGCAGCTTGGATAAAGTTGATGTAGCACTCTGAGCCTTAGCCTCCTCATTTGTTAAAGGTGGGGAGGATAACACCCATATCCCTGCCCTGGGTTGTTGTAAGGGTTAAATGAGATAATACAAGTCAAGTATGTAGTATACAAGCACTTCATAAGTGTTAGTTGATGATGATGATGATGAAGATGATGGTAAAATCAAATATATTAATCTCTGATAGTGGGAAAGGAGAACAAAATCTGCTGAATTTTTCTCCTCTTTCTTGCAGGAAACAGATGATCACCTTCAAAGCTAATTTCTGGAGCTTTGTTATCCGACCTATGGCTCTTAATTAATGCTCTTTTTGCCCTGGTGGGCCATAGCACTCTGGGTGGGACACAGGGTCTCACTATGATCTGACTCTCTCTCATGCTCAGTTTCACCTTTAATGTGACACATTCACCCCTGCTGATCTTCCTGACCTGCTGCTGGCCAGGAAGGATTCCTTGTGCAGTTTGGCCAAGCTTTCCTTAGCATGGGGTCTTGCTGCCTTATCTCAGGAGGCAACAAGGTGTACAGGAAAATATTTAACTTCTGCACAAAAAATATGTGGATTCAAATCCCAGATGTACCACCTCCTATCTGAATGGCTTTCTGCATACTAATACTTTTAGGCAAAAGACTTAATCACTCTGAGCCTCAGTTTTCCCTTCTGTAAAATAGAAATAATTAACGGTAATTTACCTAATAGAGCTATAATGCCTGGCATATAGTAGCAGCTGTTATCCATGTTAGTTTTTTTTTTTTTTTCTAAAAAGAAGACACTTTGGTTTTTCTTGTTCCCCTATCTGCAAGAAGTAGTTAAGAGTGATGAGTGGGATGTAAGGTCTGAAGTAAAGAAAAGCACGGATGCTCACAGTGGGCTTTGGAAGAGGAAGGCTATGGGGAAAGTTTTGGAGTTGGGTTGGAGGTCCCCAGTCTCATGTGCACACCCAGGGCTGATCCTAGGGCTGTTCCTTGTCCTAGTTTAGGGCCTTGGTTGTGCACATTCACATGCACTCCCTGACAGGCCTTGCTTTCCAAGATCCTGCCCTGCAGCCTTTAGCTCTGCTTTGCACCTGATCCCTGCTCAGGTGTTTCCAAAGGGCTGAGTCATTCATGCAGCACCACATGGAAGTAAGTGGAGGGCCCTGGAGCTCCTGATGCCTGCCATTTTCAGGGAGGAAGTTAGAGGCCTGCCGGGAACAAGTTTGGACGCTGGCTTATTACCTTTCCTGTTCTAACCAGTCAGGCAGTTAAATTAATTGAGTGTCTATCATGTGGAAAGTATGCACCGGATGCTGTTGGGAGGGGATGCCTGTCTTCCTTGTTGAAAAGCTCATAGACCATCAGGAAGTTAGGACACACACCAGAAAAGTCAGAACATAGAATTGACGTTTCATTACTGAGTGTATTTTTATGGACACTTCCTTCCTCCTCTCTACAGGGAGGGGAAGCTGAGCTGGGGCTGAGGCTGGAGGTGCTGATGGGAGTTGGATGACCCTCAGCAGGAAAGCTTTTCCAAGGAACATTAACTCAGGTAGGGTTTGGAGCCACACAGGGACACAGAATGTTGAAAAGGAGGGGACCAGGGTGTTGCAGAAGGGACAGAGGCATTTGCGAAGATGTAGAAGCAGGACCTATACAACAGATTATGAGCCCATTGATGTAGCTGGAGCAGGTCATCTTTGAGGCAATAACAATGATGAGTCTGTGAATTTGTCTTGGGGAGAAGTGGCAGGCAGGGGCAAGGAGCTGAGAGCAGGTTGAATGGAAAAGCATTCGCCTACATCTGGCTGGAGAACGTTTTTACAGGGGCTTGAGATAAACTACCCTCTACCCTGAGTAGGTTCATGGTGTGTGTGTGTGTGTATGTGTGCGTGTGTGTGTGTGTGTGTGCGTGCATATGTTTGGTTTGGTTGGGATGGGTGGTGAATTACTTAAAACTCTTTGATTGTAAGCAACAGAAACCAAATTGAGATAGCTTAAAGCAAAAACTTCTAAGGCTAGAAGACTTTTGAAGTTGTTCTCATGGCAAAACCAGTTTTTGCTCAAATTATGTGTTTATCTGGGGATGGATTGGGGACATAGATGGAGCTAATGGGTCAGATAGAGTCACCAGTCCTTCTGCTACCTCAAAGCCACTCTCTAGGCTTCTTTCTCCCACTCCTGTCTGCTTCTCTCTATGTGTCTGCATCACTCTGAAGCCCACCTTCCTTTGCACCTTAGAGCAGAGGGTGGGTGAATGGCAGGCCACCTTCAAGAGATGAATTTAGGCTGAATTAGAATTTTCTTATCTCTAATTCCAAATATTGGGAGAAAAAATCTGATTGTCTTGAATAGTCAGATGACCATCCTTCATTCAGTAACTTCTAACCAGGAAGGGAAACCACATGGTGCAGTATTACCGCAGGGTTCCACCCTCCTGGGTGAGATGGCCGGACACCCCAAAAAATGTCTTGGTAAGTGATTATAAGGAAAAGTGAAAGGAGTTAGGCTGCCACTGTGAAGTTTACCTGTGGTGGAGGTGAAAGGTGAGGGACAGAGCTGGGAAGCCTGGGTGTAAGCCCTGACTCTAAACAGCTATGTGACCTTGGCACATTTCCTCTGAGACTTTGCTAAGATTGGATTAACTCCTAGCTTTGGATTCCTCCTGGCTTTAAAAGCATATTTCTCTTGACCATGTATGAGACGATGAGGGCTCCTTTGGGGTGAGGGCAGTGGGGGTGGAGTGGATGTGAGAGAAACATCATAGAAATAATTGGCAGGCGTCAATGAAGGATTGTATGGGGTGTTAAAACAACTGGAGCATTCAAAAGGCCTCAGGAGCTTGAGGATGGAGATATTCCACATGGTGATAATGAGTCCTAGGAAGGAAGTCCATTTGCAGGGAGAAAGATGGTGAGTTCAGTTTTAGGTAGTGGGGCATCCAATTAGAGCAATGTAATGATAACCAGAGAGGTTGCTTATCATGAAGGCATCGGCTCAGAGTCAGAAATGTGGATCTGAGAGTCATCTTCATGGGCATGGCATTTGAAACCAAGGGGGATGCTGATGTTGAGAGAAGGAAAAGGAGAAAACAAGTCAAAGAGCCCTGGGAAGTAAAGAGTGAACAAGAGCCACAGGAGAGTTTTGTAGGTGCAGGGAGAAGGAGGCTTCAGCAGGGTGGCGACCCAGTCGTGTGGAACGCAGTGGGGATGCTGGAATGTGTGAGAACAGAAGCATACAGGAGGAGGGTGCTGGCAACTTCTCAGAGAGCAGTGTGCACAGAGGCAAAGGGGTTCAGGAGTGAGTAGCAGCTGAGCAGAAAAGGCAACAGGTGGGGCTTGTTTAAAAAATGATAATTGGCTGGGCACGATGGCTCACACCTGTAATCCCAGCACTTTGGGAGGCTGAGGTGGGTGGATAGCCTGAGGTCAGGAGTTCGAGATCAGCCTGGCCAACATGGTGAACCCTTGCCTCTACTAAAAATACAAAAAATTAGCTGGGCATGGTGGCAGGCACCTGTATTCCCAGCTGCTTGGGAGGCTGAGGCAGAATTGCTTGAACCTGGGAGGCAGAGGTTGCAGTGAGTGGAGATCATGCCACTGCACTCCAGTCTGGGCAACGGAGTGAGACTCCATCTCAAAAAGAAAAAAAAAAAGAAAGAAAGAAAAATGGTAATTGGGGCCAGGTGCAGTGGCTCACACCTGTACTCTCTGCATTTTGGGAGGCCGAGGTGGGAGGATCGCTTGAGCCCAGGAGTTCGACCAGCCAGGACAATATAGGGACACCTTGCTTCTGGAAAAAAAAAAAAAAAAAGCCAGGCATGGTGGTAGTACATGCCTGTGGTCCCAGCTATGTCGGAGGCTGAAGCAGGAGGATTGCTTTGGCTCAAGGGAGTTGAGGCTGCAGTGAGCTATGTTTGTGCCACTGCACTCAAGCCTGGGCAACAGAGCTCAAACAAACAACAAATAAACAAACAACAATAATTAGGCAATAAAGGCAAGAGAAAAAACCTAGGGTAGTAACTTGAGAGACAAGTAGAGTCAGTAGATTCACAAGATGTCTTTCCCCTTCCTCCCTCCTTTCCCTCTTTCCTTCTTTTTCTCTCTCTCCTTCTGTCTCCTCTTTTCAGAATGGGAAAAATCTCAGTTGTGACTGTAAATGAGATCTTGGAAGCACAGGGTGTGCTGGTCCCCTCTGCCACTACCTCCCTGGTGATCTCGATACTTGCTATGGTTTATGCCCCATGAGGTTCCACCCTCATGAATGAGATTAGTGCCCAGTGAGCTCCTCAACCTTTCTGCCATGTGAGGTCACAAGGAGAAGGCGCCATGTAGGAAGTGGGGCAGACTCCAAATCTGCCATGCCTTCATTTTGGACTTCCCAGCCTCCAGAACTGTGAGAAATAAATGTTTGCTGTTTATACTCTGCCCAGGCTAGGGAATTTGGTTATAGCAACCTAAATGGGCTAAGACAATGATCCAGTGGGGAAATTAGGTGAATGATGGTCTGTTCAGGTGACAGTTTTTTTTTTTTTTTCTATAGCTGTTGGCCTCAGATCACTAAGACAGAGATTGAACGATGTCTGGGAGATTCAAAGGATGTCCCAGCTATCAGGGCTTCATTCTCTTATTTCTTAGGCATCAACACCAAAGGGTCTCAATGAAGACGATGGGCACAGCCACCTGTGAGTGTTTGGGCAACAGTGACCCACAGGAGCAGAGGGCAAAAGGAGCCTGGCCCAATCCATGGGACAGGCAGTTTTGTGGTCCTCACAGGCCCTCTGGGGCCATGTCCCCAGCTGCCTCCCCTCTCAGGAGCAAAGAGCTACCTTGACCCCCTGGACCTGCAGTATTTCAGAGTGTGCAAGCCAAGGAATTAGGGAAGTCAAGTGTTGGGGGGATCAGCGTCTTTAAACTCATGTTCTTAAAGTGACTAAAAAGCATAGGACACACATGGGCTGCCACATCATGACTCTTTCAGCTTTCCTTGTTGCCAAACTTCCCACAGGGTTCTGGGGAGCCTCACTGAGCCTGTAGAGTTTCCCAGAGAGCTTGTTATTAATAGGCCATTTGTTCATCTTGCATCTTGTTTAACTCAATCTCAATGATCTGTCTCAAGCAACGGTTTTAAAAATACAGGACCTCCTCGCCTGAGATTCCCATATCCTAAAATGTCTCTGCCTTCAGTCGTCAGCCTCCTGCCTCCCACCCTGACTGGCAGAGCTGCCCCAGGCTGCTGTTAATGATGTGCTTCTCTTTGCCAGGTGGAGATCCCAAGGCTCTCCTGTCCCAGAATGGACCTGGAGAGGAATTGAGGGGTTTAAGCTGCCCTAATCGGACCTGCCCCTTGGACCGATCTGTCCTTTATGTCCCCTCAAGAATGGGTTCCTGATGGAGGCTGGAATGTATTCTGCATGGGAGGCTGGGGGAAGCACAGCTGGCAGGCAGCAGCATCAGGCAGACATCTGCCCACGGCAAGGTGAACACTCCTGCCAGCCAAAGATGTTTGGACTTCTTTCTTGGCCTGTGTTCAAGCCAAGACTGGGCTTCTAGTTGGCGGGAGCCCTGTGGATTTCCTTACTCAGAATGCCCCAAGCCTTATCTTTTATCCTCAGTTCTGCCATGGAAATGGTAAGAGGCTGGCTGCCTTTGAGGTGACCTGAGTCCCTGCGGCTGTGTGGACTCCCGCTAGAAGAGCCCGGGAACTTGGAGGTGGAAGCAGGTCTTCTTGGAGACTGCAAGCCTGAACCCAGCTTCCTGGGAGCACCCACAACTGAGCAGGGGGAGGGTGGGGTTGGGAGAAGTGAGTGCCCTCCAGCACAGAGCACCTTCACATGCGGTCACAGATGCAGGGACTTTTCAAAAACAACAGTGCACCTGCCAGTCCTCATGTTTATCCACTCACAGGATTGATTTTCTAATGAAGTCCTCCTGCTGCATGATTTAGGTTCATTTATATAAATTATACAGTGATTTATTTAATGACCTACTTGGAGCACTATAAATTCTATAGCATCCATGCAATTTATTATTTAAACCCCATATAAATCATGCAAGATGAGGAGACAGAATTGTGTGTAAGGATCATGGGGCCTGGTTCAAATTGTCTTATGGAAGCTCACAGTGGGCTTTGTTTGGAGTGTGGAAAACAAACAGGTACATGAACACATCAGCAATTTTTTTTTGGTAGAGAGGACTAGAAACCTTTGTTTCTATGCTCAAACAAGGCTATCCCACATGGGATTCATGGTTGCTCGGCCCTTAGACTGCAGGATGAGCATGTACAGGCTGCCCTGCTGTTGGAAGGAACCCTTGGGCTCTGTATGACCAGGGACTGTACAATCAGCTCTCTGACATTTCAGAGCTTTGAGATGTGAACTATGCTTCATGCAGAAGTGACAGAATAGGCCCTCAGGCTCTTGTCTAAACCCCAGCGCCTTTGCTTAAAAAATATCCTCTCTTATGTGAAACCACCAGCCCCTTCATCTTCCTTAGTTGGTAAATTCCATCTCCATATTTCCCTCCAGGCAGTAGCAGGGAATGGAAACCTGTGGTTATTTATAAGGAAGTCCTCCCCAAATCTAGGAACAGCATGCTATGACCTAGAAGCACAACAGGCAGGATAACTGTTGATGTGGTGGGTACATCACTCATATACTCACTCATGCACCCATTCACTTATGCATTACTGATTTCAGGTACTCTGTGTGTATCAGAGGAAGAATGAGCTGCTATGTACAATGATTAAGGCAAACTTGAAGTCAGCCAGAAATGGAGTCAAACAGTTTTGGGATCAGACAGCGTCTGCAGCACATAGCTAGGTGGCCTTAGGGAAGTTTTTTTTAATGCCCTGCTAGTAAAATGAGGATAGTAACAGTCCCTACCATCAGAGGTGATTATAGAGAAATAAATGAGATAATGCACATAAAGAATTGATAACAGGGCTTGGCATATGATAGATTCTCAAAAATTTTAGTTATTATTTGACATGAATTCTGCCCTCACAAACTGTAAAATATAGATGAGGATGCAAAAGTAGTGTATAAATGATGATGGCATAAGGTAGAAAAGATAACTACTATTGAAATAGGGCCAGGCCAGGCTTGGTGGCTTATGTCTGTAATTCCAGCACTTCGGGAGACCAAAGCAGGAGGATCGCTTGAGCTCAAGGAGTTTGAGACCAGCCTGAGCAACATAGGGAGAACTCATCTCTAATAAAAAAAAAATTAGCTGGGTTTGATGGTATGTGCCTGTTATTCTAGCTACTCAGGAGGCTCAGGTGGGAGGACTGCTTGGGCCCAGGGAGGTGAGCTATGATCATACCACTGCATTCCTCTAAAAAAATAAAAAAAGAAGAAAGAAAAAAAGAGAAAAAACAAGGAACAGAAGGAACAGATAGTGTGTTGAGCTAAGGGTTTTATTTTTTATTACTTGAGTATTTTGGAATAAGTAAAACATACACATGGTACAAATTAAGAAGGCACAAAAGAGATACAGCAAAAGAGTAAGTCTCCAGCTCACAGCTCTCCCCAGCCAGCCAGATCCCCTCCTTGAATGTAGCCTCTGTTAAGTCTCTTGTGTGTCCTTCCAGAGAGCTTTTGCACAATGAATATATGTGTATGTATATGTGGGTTCTTTCTTTTCACACAAATCTCAGCACACCACCACTGTCCTGACTGGGCACTTTTCTTTCAACACTAAGCAATGTATATTGAAGACCATTCCATGTATGGGCTCATATAGATCTGCCTCATGCCATTCTATTGGACGGAGGACATTGCTGAGTTAACCAGTTCCACCCTGGCAGACTTTTAGTTTGCTTCCGGTATTTTGCCATCACGAGACATACTGCAATTAATATTCTTTCTTGTTGAAGAGTTTCTCAAGCTTCCACAAGTAGATGTGGAATTGCTGGGTCAAGGAGTGTATGCATTTGTAAGTTTTCTAGCAGTTTCCAACATGTGCTTCCAAGAGCTCACACTGCCTTCACTCCCACCAGCAGTGGGATGAGAATGTCTGCTGCTTACTCCCTTGTCAACAAAATGTGCTACCAAACTTTTGACCTTTTTATTTTTAGGGGCCATTCATGTTCTTTTTTTTTTTTTTGATACAAAGTCTCGACCTGTACCCCAGGCTGGAGTGCAGTGGTGTGATCTCGGTTCACCACAACCTCCACCTCCCAGTTTCAAGTGATTCTCCTGTCTCAGCCTCCAGAGTAGTTGGGATTACAGGTGCGCACCACTGCACCTGGCTAATTTTTTGTATTTTTAGTAGAGACGGGGTTTCACCATGTTGGCCAGGCTGGTCTTGAACTCCCGACCTCAGGTAATCCGCCTGCCTCAGCCTCCCAAAGTGCTAGGATTACAGGCGTTAGCCACGGCGCCCGGCTGCCATTCATATTCTTTTAAATGAAGGCTCTTCACTTTCTGTGGAGGAGTCTCTATCACTTTCCCTTGCTGATTGGAAGGAGTTCTTTATATATTGGGGAAAGTAGCCCATTGCCAATGGCATATCATTTACACCACCTCTAGAGCTGCCTATAGTTCCAGTCAAGAGGGGTCCTTGTCTTGGCCCCACTCTGGTCTCCCGTGGACTTACAGTTCTCTATAGGGTGTGGAACCAGTGGAAGTGCTCCCTCTTCTCAGTCACTCTAAGGATACACAGGACCCTGGGATTTCCAGCTCAAACAGCCCCAAGTCCATTATCAGGCTTCTTTCCCAGGTCCATCCTCTGGAGGATGGCTTATGCTGCTAGTGCACACACTCCTGGAACTGTTATTGGTTGTGTATGTGTGCATGTGATTGTATGCATGTACAGAGCATGGACATGCACGCCGCATTGCTCGCAAGCAGGTGTGCAAGGCCCCTTGAGATGGAGATAGGAGTGGGAGAAAAGGGGAAAGGCTGGGGGAGGCTCTTCCAACTACAATACCGTGGTGTGGAACCCTAAGAAGTCAAGAATTCTAAAGTCCATCCTGGCCTTCCAGGTCATTTTGAAGGCCTACTTTGTCAAGGAAGAAGAACAAAAACATCTTTTATTTAATGGTTTATTAGCTTGATTTCTAACTTCTAAATGTGACCTGTAACACATGGGTCTCCATTTGTAATCTTTCCCTGGGCCCTGCCAATGTTAGGGCAGGCCTGACCACTTCTCCTAGAGTCAGCAGAAACTAAAGAGCATCCTGGCATTTGTTTATTTATTTATTTACTTAGATGGAGTCTCACTCTGTTGCCCAGGCTGGAGTGCAGTGGTGTGATCTCGACTCATTGCAACCTCCGCTTCCCAGGTTCAAGCAATTCTCCTGCCTCAGCCTCTCAAGTAGCTGGGATTACAGGTGTGCTCCACCACACCTAGCTAATTTTTTTTTTTTTTTGAGATGGAGTCTCATTCTGTCACCCAGGCTGGAGTGCAGTGGCATGATCTCGGCTCCCTGCAACCTCTGCTTCCCAGGTTCAAGTAATTCTCCTGCCTCAGCCTCCCAAGTAGCTGGGACTACAGGCACAAGATGCCATGCCTGGCTAATTTTTTTGTATTTTAGTAGAGACGGGGTTTCACCATGTTGCCCTATTTTTAGTAGAGACAGAGTTTCACTATGTTGGCCAGGCTGGTCTCGAACTCCTGACCTGAAGTGATCCCCCTACCTTGGCCTCCAGTGCTGGGATTATAAGTGTGAGCCACGCCACCTGGTTAATCCTGACATTTATTTGCAAGTTACTTTGGCATGAAATCACAAGCCTTCAATGCATCATGTATTTCAGAGCTTGAAGGAAGTACAAGAAAGTCATACTCACTTTGGTCAGTTGATATCTTATCCCGATTTTATAGATGGGACAACCTTGGCCCAAGGAAGTATATTGACTTACCCAAAGGTCAGCCTGATTCTTCCCTTTTTCAGTTCCTATGATGCGTTTGCTAAGGGTTCCTGTGAAAACTGCTTAAATATCCAGCATTTTGTTTCACAGTCAAATCAGGTAGTGATCAAGTCTCAAGGAAGAGAGAATACATATGGCTTCAAATGCAGGATCACACTGGATTTTACAGCTGACTGGAACTGTCTGTCTTCAGACGCAGCCTCCGTATGACTACATTTCATAACAGAAGATCCTTCTTTTTGATTTTCTCTTGTGTGATCATCTGGAAGCACATGCACCAGAGAGTTGGAACAGCGCCATTAAAAATATTTATGTTGGTGTGGAGTTGTTTGCATCTTAGCCTGTGTGCTACACTAATAGCACAGTGGCAAACATGACATTTTCCCCAAGTAATTATAGAAATCAGCAGACATTTACAGGGAGTTGGCTGTTCATTGACATGGGAAGCACAGCCTCACAGAATGGGAGTTCTGGAATCATGGTAGCATGGCTTTTTAACCCAATTTGTGCTTCTTCCTGGCAATGACCAGAGTTCCTGCAGAGAGCCAGGCACAGACTTCAGGCCTGGGAAGCAGCCCCAGGTGAAAGGTACTCATAATCTCAGCAGGTGAACTGAGAACACTGTGCTTCTCCTGCCACTCTCCCCTCCCTCCTCCTCGCCTGTGCTAAATGGAGTCTCCAGACCTGTGTGTGTGTTGCGGGTAGGGCAGGGGACCTTCACAGATATGACCCTCCACTTCAGGGAGATTTATCACCCGTCACAGCCCTAGACCAGGCCTGCTGCAGCCTCTGAAGGTCCCCACTGCCCAGAGAGGCTGAGGGGGCAATGTCCATGGGGATGCTGGAGGCACAGTGGGGGTGGGGGCAGACAGGTTTAGGCCCAGGGATCCAGACATCTTGGTCCCTCCGTGCCAGTCACTGTTTATGTTCTCCACTGTCATTTAGGGTGGAAACAGTATCTGCTAAGGTACTTCCCAGGGGGATGCTAAAGTTAGATTTCCCTCAGATGCACTTCTAGTCTTTCTTGTTCCTAAAGGAGAAACTGGGTCACACTGGAATCTAGTTAATATTCAGCATGGTGTGGCAGAAACATTCAGAGTCCAGAGCCAAACACCAAACAGGCTCAGGACTGA
Organism: Homo sapiens; assembly: GCF_000001405.40. Taxonomy (NCBI): domain Eukaryota; kingdom Metazoa; phylum Chordata; class Mammalia; order Primates; family Hominidae; genus Homo; species Homo sapiens. The sequence goes on from NC_000011.10 coordinate 112,344,344, forward strand.
GCCTGGCTCTCCCTCACCAGCCAATCAATTTCTCTGAGCCTCAGTTTCTTCCTCTGTTAACAGGGAATGATAATGTTTATCATTTAAAAGGAGGTGATACAGGATGTGCTGACCGCAGTTTGCATTGCTCAGTAGCTGCTGTTTTTAGAACTCTACAATGCTAAAATATTTTTAACTTTACAAAGAACCATCCCTTGGCTTCTTATGAAGCCTCAGAGCTATACTGGAAGGGAAGAAGGGTGGGTATGATCCCCCTGTGGCAGAGGAGGAGGGTAAGGCTCAGAGAGGTCTTTACAATTTAATGTGGCAAATATTCTTGATCATCTGCTGGGTTCAGAGCACCAGACCTTCCACACGCAATTCCTGTCCTTGAGAAGTTTGTAAGCTAATGAGCAAGGGTGACACTTGCGGTCAAATACATGCTCACCGAGGGGAGGAACTTTGGCCTTGCTCACTGCTGGATCCTGAGTGGTCCATAAATGTTTGTTGGCTGAATGTATGGCATGATTCTAATGCGAGACACAAGGAAGGGTCATAGCAAATTTACACACTCAGAAGAGGGAAGAGGAATTCCAACTAGGAAACATGGGAGTGCTTCCAGGAAGCAGTCACATTTGGTCTGGGCTTTGAAGTGCTGGCTGGATCTTGACAGGCTGAGATGGGAAGGAAGGATATTTCTAGAAGCAGGAAAACAGGGGTGAAAGCACTGACCTGCCAATGTAGGCTCCATTAAGGAAGCATGAGCGATGTGTCTTGGTTGGAGTTTGGGGTGTGTGATGCCCAAGTTGGGGCCAGTAGTTGGGAGACCTTATGCCCAGGTTGCCCAGAAAAAGTCCCACTTTATGACTCTCGTGGCTCAGTGAACAGCTGTTAATGATTCCTGTTGTCTCTTTTTACTTTCAAAATTGTTCCAGTTTGAAAGATACATCATGTGCTCCCTCTGTCTATAGCGAGAGATGAGGTTATGAGGAAGACTTAGGAAGGGATTAAGGGAAGGAGCCCAAAGAGTCTGGACTTAAACACTTGGCTGGGGTCCCACACTCCAATGTTTACAGTGGCCCTGATGTGGGTGAACAGCTGAAGCTGGTGGGGTGAGCAGCTGCTGCAACCCAGCTCCAGCTGATGGCTCCAGGTAGATATACGGACCCTTGCCAGCTCTCCTGGTACTTGAGAAAAGCCAGAAACCTGAATTTTTATATGCATTTCCTGATATTAAAATTATCATTCAAAAATTTTACAAACACTACGTAGGTCAAACAAAACTTATCTACACACTGCGTCTGGCCTGAGCCCATGGCTCTGTCCCTCTGCTGGGTGGTGGGGAGCTGGGGGAGATTTCTGAGGAGGGGAGTGGCCTGGCGAGAGCTAAATGTCCCCCTCACCCAGGTGTCAAGGTGGCGTCAGGAGGCATGAGGTTAGAGGGAGGAGTGCCATTAGGCGCTCTTTGACACAGTCCAGCTGGGTCACAAGGCAGATCTGAACAAGGGTGGGGCAGTGAGGATGCAGACGGACAACAGATGCCAGGCACAAAAGAGGCCTGTAGGGGGAGAAGCTGGCCCCTGCCTGGGCCTGGAAGGTGTTGGGGGGAAGGGTGCAGTGAAAATGAGGTGGGAGGCCTCCAGTAGGTTTGTGGCTTTCATGCTGTGAAAGTCACAGTCTCCACAGCAGGCCAGAGGGTCCTCGGGCCCCAGGCCTGTGAGGCTTTGCTTCCTCTTAGGGAGGTCCTGCCTGGAATTCAACAGCAACTTTGGTGAGAGAGGAGATCCTGGGAGCTCTGGTGGTGCTAATACCGGAGGCTAGCTCCTCTGGGCAGGGAAGCCAGCTGCCTCTGAGTTGAGCCGGTCACTGAGCTGGCTCAAAGGGTGGAACGACGTGGTTTCAGTCCCGGGGGGTGCGCTGCCTTCACAGGTGGCCTCTGGTGATGTGTGAGGAGCCCATTATAAGCTTGGTTAACTTATCTGGGGGACATATGCCATCTCTGAGCCCTCACCAGCAGCATTTATGGTTCAGAAGATATATATTTTTTCTTTTTTAGAGAGCAGGTATTTCAGATAGCTGCAAACACAGCCATCTCCTCACTGGGCCGCTTCCTGCCACCACAGCATAACTTGCTGATTCTGAGTCAAGCGATAATCCAGGCCATTGAAGTCAGAGGTGGACTTCTTATCCTGGGGCATTGAGCAAGGGATGGGTCAGCAAAGCCAAAGCCAAGTCTGGAAGGAAGCGGTCACAGAGGATCCTTTCTCTACTCCCTGGCCCTGTGTTCACTGTCTCATTGCACCCACCTCATGCCTCGCTCTTGTCCGTCAACTCATCTGCCTGCCTCCCTCACCAGGCCATGAGCTCCTTATGGGGAAGGAGCGCATCCATTGTTTGTCTCAAAACCAGCACAGTGACTACATCAGGGAAGGAGCACAACAAATGCGTGAATTAGCAGCAGCAGCTGCAGCAGCAAACACTGATTTTTATCAAATGCTGGTTACCTGTCCAAGCCCTTTACAAATACTTTACTAAGTCTCATTTTACAACTATTCTGTAATGTAGGTACTATGTTGTGTCCACAAGAGGCTTAGCAAGGTTAGGTATCTTGCCCGTGGGACACAGCTAAAAAATATTGAAGTTGGTCTTTGACCCCCAAATCTGCTGATCCTAGAATTAATGCTCTTACCACCATATAATCATGTGCCATTGATCTGATGTTTATTATTGCTAATTCTCACCATGGCCTTGTGAGGCGGATCTTATATTATCCTCCTATTATAGGTGAGGAAACTGAGACTCCAAGGGGAGAGGAGAGATAGGGCAGCAAACTGGAGAAAACAGACCAAATCAAGTATCAATCAAACTGTGACCTATTACAGGCAAGAAACACATACCTGCTAGACAGTGCTGACTGTGACTCTATGTAGGACACTGAGTCTTCACTCAGTAAAATACTGTTCTGATGGAGAAGAAATAATTTTGTGCCATTGCCATTCTTCTTCTTCCCTCTAACATTGTGTAAGTGCAATGTAGGGATGAGCGCCAGACCGTTTGGGTTTAAATCCTAGCCCCACCATTTAATAGCAGTATGATATGGAACAAACTCCTCAACCTCCCTGTACCTCAATTTCCCTATCTGTAAAATGGGGGTAAGGATGACTCCTATCTTACAAGGTTTTTGTGAGGCTTAAAAATGAAGAAATACCTATGTAACAGGATGTGTAAAAAGTTTCTGCCATGGCACCAAGATACAATAGAGGCTGAAATGCAAAGATGGAGTTATACCCAGACTACAGTAGATGAACAGCAACTAGTTCACTACTTCTTGAACTCCATAATCATAGGAGCATACTAAAGGGCTGAGAGAGATTGAGAAGTATTTTTCTGAGAGAGTTGTGGGTGAGCTGGGGGTCCTTCCCCATCCTCCCCAATTCCCAGGGGGAGTGGTGGAGAGGTGACCACTCGGAGAGCCTGAAGAACCTCCTACCACTGGGAACACGGAGGCCTGGGCATGGCTCATGACTGAGGCAGCAGAGTGGAAGATGGCATCTGGAAGCAGTCACATTCCTCTCCCATAGCAGGTCACACCTGCACCCTCGGCCAGGTATGAGATTTGTAGGCTGAAGGAGGCCAGAAAATGTATCCGGCCAAGAGAGGGCTCCCAACACTAGCATTAAGGCACTGTGGGGTGTCCCTGTTGGGGGCAGTAGCTGGATGTGATGGTTAATTTTATGTGTCACATAATTTTCTGGCCACAGAGTGCCCAGACAGTTGGTTCAACATCATCCTGGGTGTGGCTGTGTGTTTCTGGATGAGATGAACATTTAAATTGCTAAACTGAGTAAAGCAGGTTGCCTTCCCTAATGTGGTCTCATCCAATCAATTGAAGACCTGAATAGAACAGAAAAGCTGAGAAAAGAGGGAATTCCTTTGTCCTGACTGCTTTGAGCTGGGACACTTGTCTTTTTCTGCTTTGGAGCTGCACCGAAACATCAGCTCCCTTTGGTCTTTAGCCTGCTGGCTTTTGGGTTAGAACTACACCATCAGCTCTCCCAGGTCTCCAGCTTGCCAACTGTAGATCTTGGGACTTCTCAGCCTCCATATTTGGGCAATCCAATCCTCTATCTGTCTGTCTGTCTGTCTGTCTGTCTATCTATCTATCTATCTATCTATCTATCTATCTATCTATCTATCTATCTCTATCATCTATCTATCTACCCTCTCTCTTTCTCTCTATCTCTATCATCTATCTATCCATCCATTCATCCATCCACATCCTATTGGTTCTGTTGCTCTAGAGAACCCTGACTAATACACTGAAATTGAGGGGGAGGACAGGAAATGCTAGCAGAAGAGGCGCTGCCCTTATTGAGGAACCCATGAAAGTGCCACATAAGAAACGTGGTTGGTGTTAAAGCCCTGCCAGGTCCTGGGAGTGAGAGCCATCTTAAGTCAGGGCCAGTCTGGGTGTGAGACGGGAGGCGAAGGAGCAGTAAGTGAGATGGGAGGAACAGAGGGAGAAAAGGAGAAGCTGATGACACCTGCTTCCCACGCGGCCACTGGCCCCTTTGGCTGGTGAGGAGTAGAAACTGCCAGGCAGGAAAAAAAAGGTCACATATCAATTCAGGCTCCTGAGAGGCAGAGATTTGTTAGGGGAAATACCTATGAAGGATAAAGGGAAAGGAAGCAAGTTTAGGCATAAAGGCTTTGGTCCATGGTTCAGGAGTGGGAAAGAAGGAGGACTGGGTAGGAAAAGTCTCAGATGCAGTGCAGTGGGGAGTGGGTCTGGGCAAGGCTGGCTAGTCCCCTCTCTGGCCCTGGCCAAGGTTGCCCAACAGAAGAGTTCCTGGCAGGCAGCAATGGCCTGGTTCTAGCACCTTTGCAGCACTCAGCTTTTAGATGGGGGCGTCCCTGGGAACTATAGCCTTGGTGCAAATGTGGGGCAGATCCCAAGTGTGGCTCCTGGGCTGTCAGTCAACTCTGCTCCTCTTGGTGGGTTTTCCTGAAAGAGGTTTGAGTGGCTACCCCCATGGCCACCACAGACCACACCCCCATACCACTTTGTTTGTTCCCCACGGTCACACATGCTTCAAAAAGCCCCCACGCTGCAGAGCTCAGCTGGACACGGGAAGAACATTTCACCTTTTAGTCAAGTCTTTACTTTTGGTTATTGCGTGGAGTTGAACCATTGTAATTGTGGACTTAAGGCTGTTTGTACTTTAAAGTGACTCCAGAAGTTTTATTAAGGGGCCAAAAGAACCATGTGGACTGAGGTTTTATCCAAGAAAGCCCACCCCCACTGAGGAGGCATAAATAAATTGTGAGACTCAGAGTAAAAATACCTTTGTGTCATCACTTCCTGAGTCCTTCTTGTTCAATGCAATGGTTACAGCTATAAAGTGCTTAGAATAGTGCCTGGCCTACAGTAGCCACTCAGTAGCAGAGGTTAGCTTTAGGCAACCTGGAGGTCCTGGAAAGAGGAGAGAGGAGAGACTGGGGACAGGAAAGGAAGGGGGAAAGCAGAAGGAGACGGAGGCAAATGTGTCAGTGTGGATATCCAGCCCTATTTCTAGAAGCTGGGCTCTGGGATGCCCCACTCAAGCATGAGGCCTGGTCTGCTTCCAGCTCTGGGAGGGACCTGGGGCTGAGAGGGAATGGCAGAGGTTCCATCTCTGGAATCAATTGGTTCATGAAGCCACTGTGTTTGGAGGAGGCAGAGCCCAATGTGTCCAGCTGGCTGAAGCCAACTCTCTGAGGAGTGTGTGTACTTCCCTGGAGGAGTGGGTATGTGTTTTAGGTTTCAGAGAATGACCCCCACGCTGGCCCTACACCAGCATCAGCCATCTCCATCGAGCCCTGCCAGTGGCTATGAAAAGATCTGTATAAGTGAAAAGTCCATTCCTGTCTCAAGGTGCCAAAAATATAGGTAGGAGGAAAAGATGTGAATAGAAATTTGATAATAAGGACTTAAAAGCTCAAACTAAAATCTCCAGGTGACAATGAAGAGGACATCAGGATGTTGTAAACTTCACTGCCCTGTGAGTGCTTCAGGCCAGGGTTGCTGTAGGAGTTCAGCGTGGAGGGACCGTTGGACCTGGAGTCGGACAGGTGGAGTTAGGATCGCATTTCTAGCCTCACTTTCTGGTGACCTTGGACAAAATTCCTTAACCACTCTGAGCTTCAGTTTCCTAACCTGTAAAGGGGACATAGAATACAGGATGGGGCTTGAGCTGCATCTTTCACTATGAGGAGAGTTTGGTGTGTTTCTTATCACAAGGTAGATTATAGGGTGTGGGCCATCACAGTAGAGAAAAAGCTTGGAGGAGGGAATGTTTGTGGTATTTTGGTCAAAAGTGCCTGTAAACCTCTGATTCGGATGGGGGTAAGATACATAAAGTTGAATGGAAAGCTGATTTGGATGTTGACATTGTGGGGGTCCTTGAATTCCAGGATCCTAGTAATAGCTATGATCACTTAGCTAGTAGCATGGGCTGAATTGTGACCCCTCAGCCACCCTTGGCCAAATTGATATTTGAAGCCGTAGCCCCCAGTACCTCAGAATGTTACTATATTCGGAGACAGGATCTTTATACAGGTAAGTAAGGTAAACTGAAGTCATTAGGGTGAGCCCTGATCCAGTATGACTTGCATCCCTTCAAAAAGAGATTAGGGCACAGCATGTACAGAGGGAAAACCATGTGAAGACGTGGGAAGAAAATGGCCATTCACAAGCTGAGGAGAGAGGTCTGGAACAGATCTTTCCTTTATGGCCCTCAAAAGAAACCAACTGATTGACACCTTGATCTTGGACTTTCCAGACTCCAGAACTGTGAGACATTTCCGTTTGAGCCACCCAATCTGCAATATCTTGTTATGGCAGCCCTAGCAAACTAACATAGCTAGTGTAAGCACTTTACATGTGTAATTTTATCAATTGCAGTGGGAGCATTCTTTTCTTTTCTTTTTTTTTTATTATACTTTAAGTTCTGGGATACATGTGCAGAATGTGCTGATTTGTTATGTAGGTGTACACGTGCCATGGTGGTTTGCTGCACCCATCAACCCATCATCTACATTAGGTATTTCTCCTAATGCTATCCCTCCTGACAGGCCCTGGTGTGTGATGTTCCCCTCTCTGTGTCCATGTGTCTCATTGTTGAACTCCCACTTATGAGTGAGAACATGCAGTATTTGGTTGTCCGTTCCTATGTTAGTTTGCTTAGAATGATGGTTTCCAGCTTCATCCATGTCCCTGCAAAGGACATGAGCTCATCCTTTTTTATGGCTGCATAGTATTCCATGGTGCATATGTGCGACATTTTCTTTATCCAGTCTATCATTGATGTGCATTTGGGTTGGTTTCAAGTCTTTGCTATTGTGAGCACTGCTGTAATAAACATACGTGTGCATGTGTCTTTATAGCAGAATGATTTGTAATCCTTTGGGTATATACCCAGTAATGGGATTGCTGAATCAAATGGTATTTCTAGTTGTAGATCCTTGAGGAATTGCCACACTGTCTTCCACAACGGTTGAACTAATTTACACTCCCACCAACAGTGTAAAAGCATTCCTATTTCTCCACATCCTCTGTAGAATCTGTTGTTTCCTGACTTTTTAATGATTGTCATTCTAACTGGCGTGAGATGGTATCTCATTGTGGTTTTGATTTGCGTTTCTCTAATGACCAGTGATGATGAGCGTTTTTTTCATATGCTTGTTGGCCGCATAAATGTCTTCTTTTGAGAAGTGTCTGTTCATATCCTTGATGGGGTTGTTTGTTTTTTTCTTATAAATTTGTTTAAGTTCCTTGTGAATTGTGGATATTAAACCTTTGTCAGATGGGTAGATTGCAAAAATTTTTCCCCATTCTGTAGGTTGCCAGTTCACTCTGATGATAGTTTCTTTTGCTGTGCAGAAGCTCTTTAGTTTAATTAGATCCCATTTGTCAATTTTGGCTTTTGTTGCCGTTGCTTTTGGTGTTTTAGTCATGAAGACTTTGCCCATGCTTATGTCCTGAATGGTATTGCCTAGGTTTTCTTCTAGGATTTTTATGATTCTAGGGCTTACATTTAAGTCTTTAATCCATCTTGAGTTAATTTTTGTATAAGGCGTAAAGGAAGGAGTCCAGTTTCAGTTTTCTGCATATGGCTAGCCAGTTTTCCCAGCCCCATTTATTTAATAGTTAATTCTTTCCCCATTGCTTGTTTTTTTCAGGTTTGTCAAAGATAAAAATATAGAATGCTTCACGAATTTGCATGTCATCCTTGCACAGGGGCCATGCTAATCTTCTCTTTATCGTTCCAATTTTAGTATATGTGCTGCCGAAGCGAGCACGGGAGCGTTATTTTCACTATAGAGTGGTTACAGTCTTGAGCTGACTTCTTGGTTTTGTTCCTGACTTCACCATGTATAGCTTGGACATCAAATGCAGATGATGATGGCAATGGAGGTGGGGTTGGGAAGTGGCGTGTGAGTGGTGGGGAGATTTACTTAGAACTGAAGCAGGATGAAGCCATACACTGTCTAAAGTACATGCCCTGGACTTGGTCTCTAGATGACATCTATGAGCCCCGTCATCCCTGGAAAACTTCTTTACTGCTTTTACCTGGATCCTGACCCAGATCTCTCTATAATTTGCCACTGAAGTGTTTTTGTGTCTCAGTAGCACCTGCCTGTGATAGCTGTGCATTGATAAGTCCTCCATGTAGCCTGCATGCTCTGCTCTGCTGTCCTCAGCCCTCAGTCCCCTTCCCCAGCTGCCATGACCAACTTCCCTGTGCATAACAAGGTGTTAGTCATCAACTGGGTGCGGGGGTGAGGGAGGAAGAGTCAAATGGGATTGAATAGTGTTGAGTCGACTTGAGCAAAAGAGACACCATTAATGGAGGAAAAATGATATGTAAGATGGTATTACACATGGCTTTTTAAAGCATAGGGGACTGGTGGTCAGTAAAGAACTGAATGCAGTCAGAATAAGAAGATTGACTAACTTCATTGACTTTTAAAAAATATGTATATTTTTAATAGTTTTCTTCATTTAAAAGAAACATTTATTATAAGCAATTTAGAAAATTTCTCTCAGAGAAGTGAAAAGAGAGAGAAAAAATTTACCCATATTCTGATCACAGAATAACTGGCACACTGAGCAAGTGGAAATCCCCAAAGTGTAAACAAACAACTTTCAAACTGTTTTTCAAACTGTTGTTCAAGCTGGTTCAAACCTGCTCTCTGCCTGGTACTGTTTTGTTCCTTTGGTAAATCTAGGGCAGATGTCTTGACTCCTTTTTCCCCTGTCAAATAAGGGAAGTTCTCTTATAACTTTTAATCACAAAAACTCTGTCAGTGATTTAATTAATTAATTAATTTGTTATTGAGATGGAGTCTCACTCGCTCTGTCACCCAGGCTGGAGTTCAGTGGTGAGATCATGGCTGACTTCAACCTCCACCTCCTTGTTCAAGTGATTCTCCTGCCTCAGCCTCCCAAGTAGCTGGGACTACAGGTGCCTGCCACCACACCTGGCTAATTTTTGTATTGTTAGTAGAGATGGGTTTTCACCACGTAGGCCACATTGGACTTGAACTCCTGATCTCAAGTGATCCGCCTGCCTTGGCCTCCCAAAGTGCGGGATTACAGGTGTGAGCCACCGCTCCTGGCCTCTGTCAGTGATTAAAATGTCCATTCTGTGTAGAAGCAAAATTCAATATTTAAAATTTCTCTGTAACAAAGACTGACAACTGTCCACCAAAATCCATTTTCCCTTATAATAAAAGTTCTAATCTCATGGCTGGCCAGCAGACTCAATTTCCCAGTCTTCCTTGCAGTTAGAAGTGGCCGTGTGACTGAGGTCTAGCCAATGGAATGTGAACAGAGGGATAGGTTTCATTTCCAGGCCTGTCCCAGAAACACTTCCCATGTGTGCTTCTTCATACTATCTCCTCTTTCTGGTTGGCTGACATGGGAGTGATCCAGATCTCTCTATAATTTGCCACTGAAGTGTTTTTGTTTCTCAGTAGCACCTGCCTGTGATGGCTGTGCATTGATAAGTCCTCACGTAGCCTGCATGTGGGAGCTGTCTGTTAAAGATCATCAGTGTGGGACTCTAACTGCGTGGATGAAGCAAAGCCCACTGCTTTCCCTACTACCCTAACCTGGCACTTTCCTGTACTGTTATATGAGCAAGAAACAGACTTGTACTGTGTTGAGTCACTGCATGTTTGGGACTTTTTGTTACTGCAGCCTCTCACACTCTAACTGATACGCTCTCCAGCTGTGGTCTGTCAGGCTAAAAGCCTGCACTGGGAAAAGGAGGCACAATGAGCTCTCTACTATCCTGCTTGGTACCTCCTCACCCCATCCTCAATCTACTGACTTACTAACTGCAGTTTCTGAACACTGTAGGGTTGGCTGGAGCATAGAGGAAGTGGGAGAGGCAGGAAAGAGCTTACTTGGCTGGGACTGTCATGATCTTGCTGTTTTGGTGCCCCCATTGTTTTGGTAGACATTCAAAGTTGACCCTTTTTCTTGTGGGTTGCTTTTGTGGGGTGTGCTAGATATCTTTATTTGTCTCTCCATAGCCAACCTCTCATCCTCCTTCACCCTGCTTTGTTTCCTGGGCTGGTGCATGTAGAATGTATCAAAGGGCTCCCTTACCTTTCAGTGTCTGCTTGAGTTTGGTGAGTGGGGATCCCTGGCAGGAGTCTGGAGAGAGTCAGGGGAGAGAGGCTGGGGTAGTTATTCCCCTGGTTCCCTCTCTGTGGGGTCGACATCGTCTGGCTGCATCCCTCCATTGAAGGTTGCAGCTCCCAGCAGGTTCTCTGTAGACACTCCTCCCTGTACCTGGGCTCCCAGTTCTGCCCTATTAGGATGCTAAGGCTGTTATTAGCTTCAGAACACTGCACTATTCCCCCAAGGTCTTCTGCCCCACTCACAGCTTCATACATAATCTTTTTATTAATCTCTCCTCAAATGATCTAATTTGAGTGCCACCTATTCTGCTATGCCCCTAATACAGTGGGTTTTTTGAGATGCCCTCACCTGAAGCATCCAATAGTGTGCACTTCTGCTGATGTGGGTGATGCATCTGCTATGCTGCTGCTTATAATTTGTCCCTCGGCTCCTGAGCATTCTGTTATCTGTCCTTTCCAAGTGCTTCAGAGAAATGGGGGCTCAGAGATTTTCTGTGACTTGCCCAGGGCCCCAGGGTTAGTGGGTGGTTGAGCTGGTGCTCTTCTCCCTGCCATGTGCCACTTACATTACCAATCACTTTCCCAAAAACAGTTCTGCCAGGCTGTACACCAGCTAAAAAGTGAAATAATCCTATTTTTCAGCCTGAATCGAGTGCTACATGGATAAAAGAGTGAGTTGATGGAGCTGGCCTTGGGCAAGCTCATTCTTCGGCATGTGGACAAATGCCTGACAAGATGATTATGTCAGGAAGTTGCAGGAAGGAGACAGAACAAGCAATTTAGGCCTGGATTCTGCTGTGCTCTTGCCAAATGAGATAGCCAGGGACTCAGTGAGAGGAGGTGCCAGCAGGGGGCCCTCTGGGCAGGTAGGTGTGGCCAACTGGCCATGTTTGCAAACACTTCAGCTTGAGTGGAGGCTGAATCTGCCACCACCACCTCCTCCCTAGCCCTAAAAACATCGTATACTACTTGGGCATCTCTTGGCAAAGGCAGCGTTGACTCACAGCCCCTCAGCCTTAAATCCTAGAGGCAGTGTGGGATGCGGCCATTGCTCTGTTGCCTGACGCTCCCTAGAGAGCAGAGCTCTTGCCAGCCCCTCAGCCTGGGTTTTCCCCAAAGCAGATCCAAGTGGATCCAACTGAGGCAATTGCAGACATCAGGAGTTGCTCCCTCGGGGTGCCTTCTTTGACCCCACCCATGGGCTGGGTACTGCTCCTAGATGCTTTCATGAGGCCCTGTTCTTATAACCTCTCTTATTTCTTTTATTTATTTACTTATTTTTTTTTGAGATAGGATCTTACTATGTTGCCCAGGCTGGAGTGCAGTGGTAATATCACAGCTCACTGCAGCCTCAACCTCCCAGGGTTCAGGTGATCCTCCCACCACAGCCTCCTGAGTAGCTGGGACTACAGACATGCACCACCTTGCCCAGCTAATTTTTTTGTATTTTTTGTAGAGTTGGGGTTTCGCCATGTTGGCCAGGCTGGTCTCAAACTCCTGGGCTCAAGTGATCCACTCACTTTGGCCTCCCAAAGTGTTGGGACTACTGGTGTGAGCCACTGCGTCCGGCCATCCTTTATTATTTCAACAAATATTTATGAACACTGACTACTGTTGACCTTTCATATCTGTGGATTCTGCATTTGCAGATTCAACCAACCTTGGATTTAAAATATTTGGAAAAAATACAAATAAAAAATACAGTATAATAACTATTTACATAGCATTTACATGGTATTAGGTATTATAAGTAATCTAAAGATGATTTAAAGTGTAAGGGAGGATGTGCATAGGTTATATGCAAATATTACATCATTTTATGTGAGGGACTTGTGCATCCTTGGATTTTGGCATCTGTGGGGGATCCTGGAACCCATCCCCCTGGATACTGGACGGTGACTATGTGCCTAGGCCTATGCTAGAGCCTCGTTCTAAAATTTAGACTCTCTTGTAAGTAACACTTGTTATCATTGTTTTGTAATTATTTCTTTACCCCAGAAGACACCAGGTAAATCACTGGCTTAAAAAATTTAAATATTCTTATTTTTAGCTTGGCTAGAATGCTGCATGAATTTTGGGAGGCTGTGTCTTTTTGTTATTTTAAAAATATTTTATTAAAAAATCTTTGTAGCCTAGTGCCTTGTGCATTACCTACAAACAGAAGATACTCCATCCATGTTTACTAAATTAATGAATGGATGTGGCATTTGGTGTCGGCTATTGAATAAGCTGGGGCTTGGGGATTCCTTGGCAGTTGTTTTTTTTCTTTCTGTCAGGGGAGGAAAGCAAGTCTGTCAAGTGCTGTTCAATGAGATATCCAAGGCCATGGGCAGAGCTGAGCTCAGAGCTCAGAGTTCCTGGAGTGTCCACACCTCTCTCCTTTGTGCTTCTTGCAGCTCCTGTACCCCTTACCCTGGGGCAGCCAGTATGAATGCATGAGGCACATGTGGGGACTCTGCTTCTGAGTTCGGATACTGCATGCCATCACCATTATCCCTGAATGTTCCAGATGAGAACACTGAGATCCAGAGCTGCCGCCCCTCAAGGCCTCTAGGCAGAGAGGTGGAGTGGAGGCTAAGTCTGTTACCCTTCAGCCACCCAGCACTGCTATGCCAATGGGTTTACCATTTCAGTGCCTCCTCACTGGTCTAAGTGACAGACACTGACATTCACACATTCTCAGCCAGGGTGGGTGGCATCATGCCATGGATGGCACCAAATTGGGTGTTGGGGAAGTACTGCTGTGTCCCTTCCCTCCAGCTCTCCCAGCTCATTGGCCCCAGCTGTGCATGTAGCAGGGGCTCAGGAAATAGGTATGGGAATGAACGGAGTAATCTGCCTCAGGAATCTTAGAACAACACAAAAACAACCTTACCAACAGTACTTGGTCTAACACTTCATAGTCCTCTAAGTGGTTTCACTGTGTTATCTTGTTTCATGTACCTGCTCTCATTTGAAATTGTTGCAGGGTATAAGCATATAATTAAAATACCAATTAAGCCACATTCTGAAATACATCAGGCTGTGTGTGAGCATGAATTAGGAAAAAGTCAAATGACAATTCATCAATCTAGGACTCATTCCCCAGGTGCAATCCACAACCTACCTCCTCTGCATCCCAGTTTTGCTCCAGGTATGTTACAGTCCTCACTGCACTGTGCCTTATTAATTGTTCGTCATGTTGCTCTCTTGTCTCCTCTTTCGGGAATTCTTCCTCCCTTTTCTGTATGTGAAAGAAAATCTTCCTTAATCTTCAAAGCTCTGGTCCTGGAGTTCCAATTTTGTTTGTGCTTTCGTAACACCTTTCTCCCCGCTCCATTCTTGCAGACTTTGCTATTGCTCTGGATGCTGCCGCAGGCCTGCACTGTATCACTTCTTACATTGTATTGTAATGATTAACTTTTTCCTTTCCTTTCCTTTCTTTTTCTTTTGCTTTTTTGAGACAGAGTCTCACTCTGTCACCCAGGCTGGAGTGCAGTGGTGCAATCTCAGCTCACTGGCAACCTCCACCTCCTGGGTTCCAGCGATTCTCCTTCCGCAGCCTGCCAAGTAGCTGGGATTACAGGCGTCCACCACCAAGCCTGGCTAATTTTTTATTTTTTAGTGGAGATGGGGTTTTGCCCTGTTGACCAGGTTGATCTTAAACTCCTGACCTCAAGTGATCTGCCCAACTTGGCCTCCCAAAGTGCTGGGATTACAGGCGTGAGCAACTGTGCTCTGCCTGTAATGACTAATTTTGTTCCATCGCATCAGACTGAGCACCTTGAGGGTAGGGCTATTTTATTACCTCTAGTGCCTGGGACCCTATAGGCATTGAATGCATATCTGTTAGATGAAAAAATGGATGTTCCTGGGGCACTTGGTGGCCTGGTCAAGTCCTTGGCTGATTGGCATTTGTTAACCTTGCTGTTCCCCTCATCCCTCAGCCCAGTGCCCAACAGAGCAGGCTTCCTGGTGGTTAGGCCAGCACTGGGAGTATAGCCCTGTTTCGGCACAAAGCTGCTTGCCAGGTAAAGAATAAATCTCAAATGTTATAAGCTGCGTGCTTTATTTTTTAATCATTTAAAAAAACCCCAAAACTGTAAAACAAAAAACCCCACAAACACCACAAAAATCCATTCTCTTGGCAAACAATATCCCCAGGAAGGATTATGGGAGATTTGGCTTCTCTGAATGCACCTGGCAGTGTATTCTATGTTGCATTCTCCAAAAAACAATTGCCTCTGCAGACAGTAGATAAGACACGTGAGTGTGTGTGTTTGTGTGTGTGAGTGTGTGTGTGTGCATGTGTAAGTGTGCACACACACACTGAGGACATGGTGTGGTTGAAAGGGTATGGATTTCAAAAGGCAGGCAGACCGAGGTTTGAGTCCAGCTGGACTGTCACCAACAGTATGACCTAGGACATCTGTAAAATTGGACTAACAGAACCTATATTGGGAGGTTGTGTGAGGATCCAAAGGAAGCCACAGCACCACCAGAGTTCCGGAGACTCAAATGCTCTCCCCAAAGGGCAGAGTGGAGGCTGAGGATGCCCTTCAGTTCCTGGAAAGTTCTCTCTCTCCCCTGGAGGCTTATATGCATGATCCTTGTCCCATTTTTGTGGCATTTGACAGTACTGCCTGTTGTTCTTTATTTTTTTTTCTCCTTTCTCTCTTTCTTTCTCTTTTTTTTTTTTTTTTTTTTTGAGATGAGGTCTCACTCTTTTGGCCAGGCTGGAATGCAGTGGTGTGATCTCAGCTCACTGCAACCTCCACCTCCCAGGTTCAAGCGATTCTTGTGCCTTAGCCTCCCGAGTAGCTGGGATTATAGGAGCGCACCACCAGGCCTGGCTAATTTTTGTATTTTTAGTAGAGATGGGGTTTCATCATGTTGGCCAGGCTGGTCTCAAACTCCTGACCTCAAGTGATCCACCCACCTTGGCTTCCCAAAGTTCTGGGATTACAGGCATGAGCCATCGCGCCCGGCCATTGTTCTTTGTTGTTATTCTTCCTAATGAGACTGGAAGCACCTCAAGGGTGGGGCCACATCCAGTACTTCTTTCTGTCTTGCAGAGAAGTTCACGAGGTGGATTGGCCTGATGGGTCCTGGCTCCACTGGGAAGACCCCTGGGAGAATCTGAATCTTCTTGGAGGATGGGTCTCTGCTCTGCTTCTAGTTCTCCACCTCCAGGTTGGGAGAGGGTCCTGACACCAAAAGTTCATTTCAGAATCTGCCTTTCAGCCCTTCCTTCTGGTCAAAGGTGTGAGTATGGCTGGCATGATGGGATGGAGAGAACATGGGCTTCTCAATCCCCAATCTACCACTAGTAAGCTATGGGAGCTGCAATCCTCTCAGACCTCCGTTTCCTATTCATAAAAATGGGAACAATAACACTACCCTCATGGGACTGCTTCTAGGTGCAGTGACAGGGCAGCGGCACCATCTAACACATTAAAATGTCAGTTTTTCTTGCTAATACCATAAGGAGATTTAAAATATAAATGTATCTATAAATTCCCGGACCCCAGTGTTGCCCCGTTGAATAGAAACTACTGGAGGTTGGGTTCTGAGAATGTGAATTTTTGAGGCACTCCCAGTGAGACTCTGAGAAGCCGCGATGTTTGGGAATGACAGCTTTTCCATTCTTCAATTCCAGATGCTATTCATAATGAGATGTGCTACCGATAACAACTTCTCAGGAAAAAATGTGTGAATTACCAATTACATTTATACATTTCAACCTCAGACTCATTAAAAATTGCACCCCTGGACTGTGCATTGTCTCAGCTGTGGTCACAGGACTGAAGGAGAAGTCTATGTGGTGTGAGGCAATAACCATGACTGTGATTAGACGGCAGCCTCGATGATCACCTGGTATATGCCATGCTGGGAGGCCACTGAGAATGCTCTGCATCATCCCCCAGGCCTGGGATGCAGAGTGTCGGGGAATCAGTCCTGTGTCTCTCTTCTCCAGCATCTCTCAGCTGGATGCACCGGGCTGTCTTTGTGGTTCAGACCTTCAGGAGCCAAGCCAAATTGAGTCAGAGCATGCTCCTCAGTGTCTGCCCCACCACTGAGAGGGGTCAGCCTTCACCTGGCATCTGGCACACCAGTCTGCACTGGTGGGGCTTCTTCGTTGCTGTTGGAGCGTCTTTGCTCCTCACAGAGTTGGGAAGGGTGGGAGGGCCTCTTTCAGAGCTCTCTGCCCCTTTCCCTGTGTTGGCTGAGTCCCTAGGACTGTACTTGTGCGTTGATTTCCCTCTTCGGTTCATTGTATTTGTCAGGATTCAGGCAGGAAAACACAAACCAGGCTTGGTGTATCTGATAGAGGAATTTAACACTGGCTATAGAATGTGTAGATGTTGGAAGGCTGGGATGGCAAGAGGGAGACTGTGAGGTGGCCCAGGGCTTATGACCTATAGAAAGCTGCTGCCCCAGCTAAGGCTGGGGGAACAAAAAGAAGGAGGGTTATCATTAGGATTTGGGATGCAGAGGAGGAGCCGTAGCCTCGGGAGCATTGCTGTGGAGGAGGGACTGCTGCAGCTAGAGCTGAGATGATGGAAATAGCACAGCTGCTTGAGAGACATCACCTGGAGAAGAAGGAACGAGAGAAAGAGTGAGAGGAATAGAAGATCAACACTACTCTCCCAGCATCTCTTATTGAGAGAGCTTGTGAAGAAGTCAGCTGGCAAAGGAGCCAAGTGTGACTGAGCAGTGTGCAGAGAGTGTGGTGGGCCTGGGAGACAATAGGCAAACAATGAGTACATTCAGGCAGTCAGCACAAATTTACTAAGTACCTTTTTTTTTGAGACTGAGTCTCACCCTGTTGCCAGGCTGGAATGCAGTGGCGCGATCTTGGCTCGCTGCAACCTCCACCCCCCAGGTTCAAGTGATTCTCCTGCCTCAGCCTCCTGAGCAGCTGGGACTACAGACACACCCCACCACACCCAGCTAATTTTTGTATTTTTACAGGAGACGGGGTTTCACCATGTTGGTCAGGATGGTCTTGATTGCTTGACATCGTGATCCGCCTGCCTTGGCCTTCCAAAGTGTTGGGATTATGGGCGTGAGTCACTGTACCTGGCCTACTAAGTGCCTTTTAAATGCCAGACACTGTTGTGATGCTGGGGGGTGAGCAGGGAACAAAACAGAAAATCTCCTGCCATCTAGGAGCCAGCATCTTAGTTGGGGAGACAGTCAGCAAACATAAAAAAAGTAAAATATGTAATCTCTTAAATGGCAGTAAGAGCTATAGAGAAAAATGAAGACAGGAAAGGGGCAGAGAGTGGTGGGAATGAGGGGGTGGGCAGGAAAGGTCTCACTAAGAACAGTTTAAGCAAAGACCTGGAAGAAGCCAGGCAGCGAGCCCCGAGGCTCTTCGGGGAAGAGCATGGCAGGCAGAGATACAGCAAGGGCAAAGGCCTTGAGGCCTGCCTTGGTCAAGGAAAAATAAAGAGGCCTGAGCAGAGTGTGCGAGGGGAGAAGAAGTAGGAAATGAGGGCAGGGGGATACAGCTGAGCAGTTTGGGCTCCAGAAATAAAAAAAAAAGGGGACCTCTTAGGATAAGCGGGCCACCTAAAAATTCTTTATGCAGGTTTTTGTTAGGCCCTGGGCTCCCTCTGACTGATGACCTGGGTGACTTGCACTGACATCCCTTTACCCCTCTTGTAGGATCACAGAGAGGTCAGAGGGTGGGGCTGGAGGACAGACCCTGCAGGGTCATCATAATAGCTTTGGCTTTGATGCTAAGTGAAATGGAAAGCCTTCTACCCTTCTCAGTGCCCACTATCTCCTCCCCACACCCCAACTCAGGAGTGGAGCTCTCTGCCTTGACCCCCAGCTCAATTACTGGGATTCTCCTTCCCCTGATCCCGGCAGACACACCTTCTCAACTAGGCTGCAGGCTTCCCCAAAACAAAACCCCTGCCTATTTTACATATCACTGCACATCTACCTGGGGCTTGGCTCCCAGTAGGGGCTTAATAAATACCCGGTGAACGAATGAGCAGTTAAGCAGATCCTCAGATCTCACATTGGTCACCAGCTTTGTGACTCAGCTGCTCAATCAAAGTCAATGTCAATTGGGTGCACAAAATCAGTCCATTAGTTAACTGGAATCAGCCAAATAATAGGGCAGTTGCTTGACTGAATTTCTAAACTGGCCACATGAAACCTGTGTGGTTACAGTCTCAGTCTCCATGAAAACTTTGGGGCTGCAGTGTTACTGCACAGAAGGTGTGTCCACCCCACTGCTTTCTGGTAATGATGGAAGTTTTTTCCCCCCATTTATTAGTGATGAAGGGTTTGTTGGAGATAATTGTATTTTTAGCAGCACAGTTAATGAACTAGCTAAGCATCAATAGATGAAATCATAAAACCATTAAACACCAAGAGCAATAATGGGAAACTGCGTCTGGTGGTAATGAAATTAAGTGTCTTTATGAGGTCACTTTATTACTTTTCTCCTCGGCTCTCTTGCCCTCCCAAGTACATGGTGACTGCTGCTCCTAATTGCTGTTTCACTAAAATGCACAATGCTCTCCATTTTGTGTTTTAAATTCCATGTATTTCTAGGGCCTTCAGGATCACTAAACCCTCCACCAAGAGAATGCAATAGAAGTGGCGGTTATGAAAGTTTCTGGAAGTGGCCCAGTAGTACAGAAGAATGAGGATAGCAGAAAGGGTTGAGAAGGAATTAAGAAAGACCTGCTGGACTTTACTGAGCCCACACTGATGAGTCATGTGGTCAAGGTTGAGCCCATGCAACTTTGGCACAGCCTCCAAAGCCAGGGCAAAGTCACTCACAGAGGGACTGGATGGCTATGGTTAGACCTGTGCTTGAACCATGCTTTTCAGCTTGGGAGCAAACTCATATGCATAATTTCCTTTGACCCTGTGACAATCCCATATGATACGTTTTTACTCTCACTTTTCAGATGAGGAAACTGAGGCTCATAGAATCACCCGGGTCCTGCTGCTGCGTAGAGGGCAAAGCTGGTGTGCTTTCCCCATGCCAGAGGCCTTAGGGGTCTGGAGCCCACTCACTTGCTAGTGATTTAAACCTTGTGCAACCAAACTCATGGCACCATACTTAATGCAATAATTCAAGAAACATTCTTTGAGTATCTACTGTAGGCTAGGGATACAATGAGCAAAACAGAATCCTTCTCTATCCTCAGGGAACTTAGATGTACCTGGGGAGAGTTCCACAAGCAACAACGTGTGGTGAGTTAGGTGAATCAGAGAGAAAGCACCATGTTACGGAAGCTGCTGGCAGGAGGCTCCGATCTCATCTACAGGACAGAGAAGCCTTCCTGGAGGAAGCAAGGTTTGAGATGAAACCTGAAGGGTAGAAGATAAATAGATGAAGGAGGGGGAAGAGCACGCAGGCCAGGAGGAAGCCTGCACAAAGGCGTGTCTAACATGTAAGAGAAATTGGTGGCTGAGGAACTGGATTGATTTAGGAGGCATCATCAATTGATAAGGCTAAGGAACTGATTCAATTGTGGGGCTCATGGAGAGACAGGAATTAGGAACCCGCTCCCCCCACAACCCCAGTTCCTGACGTGGCCACCTGTGGGATGGCAGTGCATTTACTGAGACAGGGAGTGCTGTGGAGGAGCCTAATAGTGGAAGTGAGGTTGGGAGAAGATAATGAACGGTTATCTTATCTATGGTGATGAAAATGAGCCCTAAAAGGCAGTTCAGCTGACCCAGCTTTGTTATGATCTCAGGGCCAAGAACTGAATTAAAGCCCCGATGTAGACATGGTGTTAATTATTTCATTGAGGCCACCCATTAAGGCTGTAAACACTGAGTTTGTTTCCACCCTACTGAGAAATCGAAAGGACAGAGTGAAGCTTCAACATGATCGTCACCAGCTGGAACAATCAGGCTTAACACGATGAAATTTAACAGGGACAAATTTAAATTACACTCCTTAGGTTCGCAAAATCTGTTGTTTCTGTAAAGGATGAAAAACCTGACTTAACAGCAGCTCATGTCAACAGAACCTAATAGAGTCAGTTGGCTATGAATTCCACACAAGCTGACATGGTGATGTGGCTGGCCTTTTGTAAGGAACATGGCTATACTGCAGCCAAGCAAGGATAGGCCGAGGTAAACATCCTGCGTGACTCAGCCAGTTTATAGCGCAGGAGCATAGCTCCACTTGTTGTATAATCACAGCCATGTAGCCATAACATGGGAAGGCTCATCACTTGGCTTGGAGCCACTATCATCTGTAAAAGGTATAATTTCCCTGCTGACACTGTACAGGCATGCTTGTGTCCAGAGAAAGAGAGAGAGAAAGCCAGAGCTGTCTGTTTTGTAAACGGACATGGGGGAGCCAGGACACAGCTTGGCTTGCTTGTGCCCGTAGGGCAAGAGTTAAGCTGCTAACCCTGAAGAGAGAGCTGGTTGTGCAGCTGTATGTGGGAGCCACCGGAGCAAGCAGCCAAGACGGAGACAGTGTAAGAGAGATGCTGAATAAAACCACATTTCACCTACTTACGGCCCCCTAAGAGTTCTTCCTATCCATCCGCCATTCATCCACCCACTCCCTTAGGACCTCAGCATGGGCTGGAACCTGACCTTAAACTTAACACCCTTCTTCCACTTCTAATGTCCCCTTGATGTATGAGATATTGGAGAGGAACCCATGAAGCTTCCTCTGATCAGGATAGAGAAGAACCTGTAAGAAAAGTGCAGCAGCCAAGGAGAGAGGCCAGCTCAGAGATATGTCTGTAGGGAAGTCAGGGCTGGCTTGTAGGCTCGAATGTTGGGGAGCTGCATGCCATGTGATTGGAGGGTGTCTCTAACAAAACACCTGAAAAAAAAAGAGGCAAGGGACATAATTCTTAGCTAACAAGGGGGCCTCAGAGAGAGGGATTTGTTAGGGCTAGGAGAAGAAGGAAGGATGCACCAAGGAAATGATAAAGGATGAAGCATTGCAGAAAAGCCAATTGCTGTATTAATTCATTTCAGTCATGTGTTTGAGCTCTGATTTTGTGTATAGCCCTATGCTGTGGGAAATGCTATGAAACAACAGCCACAGAGTCAACAGCGCTGATTGGTATGGCTCAGATGACCAGTGCTGTTCAGAGGATGGTGAGGGGTCACCAGGGAAGAAGCCATGGAGGAGCTGAAGCTTGAGCAGGCCCTTGATGGAAGGGGTTGGGGAAGATGTCACTGCAGAGCGTGAGCTGGGGAAGATGAAGAAATCAGCTGACTGGAGTCTTCAGAAATGGGGTGGAATAGGTAAGGGAAAGCCCAGATCTGGGCATGCTTGGTGGGCCAGGGAGGAGCTGAGATGGGTGGAAGGTGTGGAGGTGAGCTCTTACCTGGGGAATACAGAGTTCGTGGAAGGGTCTCCTGGCTCCTGGCTGGTGAAGCTGAATTGAATAATGACGCTGAACCTATAACTTTCCTCTTGATTGTTTTCTCTCATCGTAGCGTGTGCCCTGTGTTGTTGACTACCCTTGTGTTGTGCTGATATTCCATCACAGAGGTGAGTGCCCAGAGAACGGTAAGGAGGGAAGCCCAGAGGAAAGGCTTTGCGGGGAGAATCCCCACTGCTTTCTTATGGGAAATCAAATGAATGAGATAGGGGTGAGCAGGTAATATCTAAATTGTACAGAGTCCCCCTTCTTCCTTCTTTTCTTCCTTTCTTTCTTCCCTGGTATGGTTTGAATGCATCCCCCCAAAGTCATGTGTTAGATAGTCCCCAAGGCAAGTGTTGTGAAGTGGGACCTAATGGGAGGTGTTTAGGTCATGAGGGCTCTCCCCTCATGAATGGATTAATGCTGCCATATAAAGGGTTTCTGGGAGTGGGCTCTCTCTCATCCTGCCTTCCATCATGTGAGGACACAACGTGCAAGGCACCATCGTGGAAGAACAGAATGTCTTCATCTGACATCGAACCTGCTGATGCCTTGACCTCAGACTTCTCAGCCTTCAGAACTGTGAGACAATAAATTTCTGTTTACAAATTACTCAGCCTGTGGTATTCTGTTATAGCAACACAAAAAGAAGCCACCCCCCATTCCTCACTCCCTCCAACCTTTACTGAGCAATAGCTGCCTAACTGTTTTGTGCTAAGGGATGGAGATACAAAGATGACTGGAACACAGTTTCTGCTCCCTAGGAGTTCTCAGTCAAGACACACAAGTAAGTAACACAGCTCTTTGATCTTAGAATGTACTCTCAATATACTAACAGATTTTCAGAAGAAAAAAAGTTAGAAACACTACCACACTCAGTGTCCACATTAGCAAAACATTCTGGTTTCAGAAACACTCAAGTGTGAAAAAAAAGTGTTTTAAAATTGAGCAGTATGAACAGAGTAATCATTTTCACAATAGGAGTGGTCCCATTGACCTATCAAAACATGAAAATGTGGGGGAAAATGTGTCTTGGAATTGGTAGTTACAGCGGTGTGATCATTGTCACAATGGGTGGGAACAAAACGCCATTGGAACCCACTGGAGGAACCCCTTAATGCTGTGTGGGAACACCAGACAAGGCTCCTGGCAGGAGATAGTGTTGGAATGCTGCCTTCTAGGCTAACAGTGGTGGACAAGAGGATGGTAAAGAGTCCAGAGGAAGCGGGGTTCCAGGCAGAGGGAGCAGCTTCTGAGAGAGGTGGGTGTGATGCATATTGAGAGCAGCTCTTTATTGTCTTTGTTTGTGATCGTTATCAGCAGTGGAGCAGAGAGGGGCTTCAGTCTGAAGGGGCCTGGACCAGTCTTATCACAAAGACAACAGGGAAGGAGACAGGAGCACTGCAGAGCAATTGAATGAAACATCTTTCCTGAAATTTCTCATCTCTTGAAAAGTTTTTATGTTTTCTATTTACATAAGTCATAAACCAATTGCCTAATGCAAAAATGTCGTGTTCTTGAATAGTAAGAAAAGGCAAACAGATTTCAATCAATAGACTCAGAATTTTTCATTAAATCTGCTTGCTTATTTCCTTAAACCTTTTCTCCAGGGCAAATGCGCCCTTTAGAAGTGATTGATTGTGTTGCTCCCATTGGTATCCACACTCCTTAGGCTCTTTCTCTCTCTCTCTTTTCCTTTCTCTGCATCTCTCTCTCATCTTCCCTGTTGTCAAGCTGTTGTCAAGCAGCTGCCCTCAGCTGAAGCATCAGGCAGGCATCAAGGAGTATATTTTTTGTTCAGATGCGTGCACATGTAAAGCTATTTCTGAATTGCATCTTTGCAAAATAACCTTTGGGTATCGGCATGATGAGGATGCCATTAGCAGGAAATTCATCTGCGTGGATCTCGGGAAGGGGAGAAAGCTACCATAGTGTGGAAAGAAAGCCTAACTAATAAACAGTCTGGAATGACCTTCCCAGGAAGGCCTGTTGAAAGAGATGAACAGTACTGGATTAATTAATTCTCCTGGGTGGTGCCCCTTTATGTTTCTGGGGGAATACATGTTCTCTTAGGGCCAAGAAGCACCCCTCTGGTCTGGTCTTCTCTGCATTTATTCAATAAATATCTCAACTCACCATGTGTCCAGGGGAGAGAATCACCTGACTGCTCCTTCTGCAGACTCTCTCTGAGTCCTGGGAGGGCCCTGAGTCATCAGAGCACAGAGAATCAGGGTGGGTCCAGGTTCTGATGGAAACTGCACCAGGTAGGAGTCACCAGCCAGCCTCCTCCTGCTGCTTCTGCCGCTGGAGCCCCTTTGGAGCATGTTTCCTCTTCTGTGAAATCAGCTTGTTTACTATGGTTGACCCTTGAATGATGTGGGTTTGAGCTGCATAGGTCCACTTTTACACAGATTTTGTTCAACGAACATATTGGGATTATTTTTGCGGGGGAAATGTACAACAATTTGAAAAGGCTCACAGATGAGCCGCATGGCCTAGAAATGCCAAAAAAATTAAGAAAAAGGTATGTCATGAATGCATAAAATATGTGTAGATACTAGTCTCTTTTATCATTTACTTCCATAAAATACCCCTGAGACAGCAAGACCTCCTTTTCCTCCTCCTCTTCAGCCTACTCAGCATGAAGACTTGAGGATGGAGACCTTTTTGATGATCCACTTCCACTTAATGAATATTTAATGTGTTTTCTTCTCCTTATGATTTTCTTAACATTTTCTTTTCTCTAGCTTACTTTATTGTAAGAATACAGTATATGATACATATGCCATACAAAATATGTGTTGTTTATGTTACTAGTAAGGCTTCCAACCAATTGTAGTCTATCAGTTAAGTTTTAAGGGTGTTAAGTTTTGAGGGAGTCAAAAGTTATATGTGGATTTTCAACTGTGTGGGGGCAGGGGTCAGCACTCCTGGCCCTTGTGTTGGCCAAGGGTCAACTGTAGATGATCTCTAAGACTCTGTTTCAGTTCTATGGCAGTAATTCAAGTAAGAGTGAAGACACCCATTGCTGAATGTTTAGACCATGTGCCAGGCACTTTGCTAAGAGCTTTACATATATGATCTCATTTAATCTTCATGGCAACTGTGTGAGGTTCATGCTTTTATTATCCCAGATGAGGAACTGAGGCTTAGAGGTGTTATGAACTTAGCCCTGGGAAACACAACTGGGAAGTGGCAGAACTGGAATGAGTCCATGTGTCTGATTCTGTCGCCCACACCTTTAGTGCATTATCTTTGTGTGCTTGGTCTGCTATAATAAAATACCACAGGCTGGGTTGCTTAAACAACAGACATTTCTCACAGTTCTGGAGGTTGGGAGGTCCAAGATCAAGATCCCAGCAGAATCTGATGAGGGCTGTCCTGGTTTGTAGATGGGTGCCTTCTTGCTCTATCTTTCCATAATGGGGAGTGAGGGTAGGGGAGCAGGTGGGAGAGAGAGAGAGAGAGTCTTTTACTCTTCTCATAAGGACACTAATCTCATGATGGGAGCTCCACCCTCAGGACTTCAGCTGAACCTATTGTTTTCTACAGGCTGCACCTCTTAATGCCAACACAAAAGGGGGTTAGGACTTCAACATAAGAATTTTGGGAGGACACTAACATTTAATTCATAATATGCATTATGCAATATTGCTTCCTTCCACGATACAGAAAAAGTGTGGGTGGGAAATACTGGGCCACCGTTAGAAGCACGGTAGGAGGCACACACCTCCCTCCCTCGAGAGGGAGTAGTCAAGGGCAAGCTGCTGTGTCTGTGAGCAGAACACAGGGAGCTGTGAAGAGGGCTTCTGTGCACTGCTTATGAAGCCAGATACACCTTGGGGACAAGCTACTACCTAGGTGTATCTGGGATTGTTTGTGAAGATCCATCTGTTCCTTTCACAAATACTTTTTGAACACCTACGTTGTATTAGGGTCTGGGAATTCAATGGTGAAACAATAAGATCGCATTGAATCCTTGGAAGGGCTTGATGGAGGGCTGTGAGAGTATTACTGGGGGTCCAGCCTGAGGCTGGCAGAGAATGTGGTCATTAAAGTTTTCTTTAAGGAAATGATTTCTGAGCTGACCTCTGTGGGATCTGAATGCTTTAACCAGACACAGGAAGGAAAGTGATGGGGAGGGCCAGTGCGGCTGGAGCTGGAGGAGGGTATGGAGGGCCAGGTTCTCTAGGGCTTTGTAGGTAATTAAGTAGTTTGCTACTTAAGTTAAGAAAACTTAAAAAGTTTTCTGTTGCACTTAAAATAAAGGTTTTAATCAGGATTTTAATCAGGAAAGCAATGTGAGTGGATCTGCACTAAAACAAAGTCCCTCTGGCTGCTGTTTGGAAGAGGCTCTGGTGGGAGTTGGTGGGCTGATGCCTTAGACCAAACAAGAGCTGGCAGTAGCTGGGCTAGAGTTGGCAAAGGAGATGGAAAGAATAGGAAGGATCAGTGGGATATTTAGGAGGTAAAATCAGCAAGACATGGGGGGATGGATTGAATTAGGGGTTGTAGGAGGCATAATCTACATAAACTGGGATGGGCAAGCACATTTGATACCCTGGTTTAGGAACCTGTGCTTTAGAGGTAATGTCCCTTCTTAATGCTTCCCAAGGTGTCTAGGTATATCAGTGATGATGACTTCACTTGCGTGGTAAGAAATCCCCCAACTCAATGGTTGTAAATAATTAGAAATCATCTCACATGGCAGGAAGTCCACGGGTGATAGCACTTGCCCTGGTGGTAGAATCAGCTCTGTGATGTCACCAAGAACCCAGGCTCCCTCCCTCTCTTCACTCTGCTGACTCCCACTGGGGCCAGCTTGCCTGGTGGTAGCAAGGTGACCTTGGCATTTCCAGGCACCAGACACCCAGTCACAACCACATCCTTCTCAGGCTCACCTGGCTAGACAGTCAAGTTATGTGCTCTGCCAGGAAAATGGGATGACTGTGAAGGTGTAGACTGCTAAGAATTTCACCATGGACTGCAAATGGGGCCATCTTCTCTGAAAAGTGGACAAATGAACTAACCCAGGGTCCTGTTAGGGGAACTAGACATGGGGGCTCATTGGGTTTGTCACACTGTCCTGGACGAACACATCTCAGATTTTGAATTTCTTAGATCAATAAACACAATACAAAGAGTGGGTGGGGGAACTGACATAGGATTGCTGACTTTTCATTTTCACCTAGTAAATATTTAAAAAATTATCATCTGTTGTCTCTATCATTTCATTAGAAGCACATCTTTTGTTTTTTTGAGAGAAAAGTAATTTTATTTTTTAAATTTATTTTTATTTTTATTTATATATATATATTTTTATTATACTTTAAGTTCTAGGGTACATGTGCACAACGTGCAGGTTTGTTACATATGTATACATGTGCCACGTTGGTGTGTATTTTACATTAGGTATATCTCCTAATGCTCTCCCTCCCCCATCCCTCCACCCCACAACAGGCCCCGGGGTGTGATGTTCCCCTTCCTGTGTCCAAGTGTTCTCATTGTTCAATTCCCACCCATGAGTGAGAACATGCGGTGTTTGTTTTTTTTGTCCTCATGATAGTTTGCTGAGAGTGATGGTTTCCAGCTTCATCCATGTCCCTACAAAGGACATGAACTCATCATTTTTTACGGCTGCATAGTATTCCATGGTGTATATGTGCCACATTTTCTTAATCCAGTCTATCATTGTTGGACATTTGGGTTGGTTCCAAGTCTATGCTATTGTGAATAGTGCCGCAGTAAACACACGTGTGCGTGTGTCTTTATAGCAGCATGATTTATAATTCTTTGGGTATATACCCTGAAATGGGATGGCTGGGTCAAATGGTATTTCTAGTTCTAGATCCCTGAGGAATTGCCACACTGACTTCCACAATGGTTGAACTAGTTTACAGTCCCACCAACAGTGTAAAAGTGTTCCTATTTCTCCACATCCTCTCCAGCACCTGTTGTTTCCTGACTTTTTAATGATCGCCATTGTAAATGGTGTGAGATAGTATCTCATTTTGGTTTTGATTTGCATTTCTCTGATGACCAGTGATGATGAGCATTTTTTCATGTGTCTTTTGGCTGCATAAATGTCTTCTTTTGAGAAGTGTCTGTTCATATCCTTTGCCCACTTTTTGATGGGGTTGTTTGTTTTTTTCTTGTAAATTTATTTGAGTTCTTTGTAGATTCTGGATATTAGCCCTTTGTCAGATGAGTAGGTTGCAAAAATGTTCTCCCATTCTGTAGGTTTCCTGTTCACTCTGATGGTAGTTTCTTTTGCTGTGCAGAAGCTCTTTAGTTTAATTAGATCCCATTTATCAATTTTGGCTTTTGTTGCCATTGCTTTTGGTGTTTTAGACATGAAGTCCTTGCCCATGCCTATGTCTTGAATGGCATTGCCTCGGTTTTCTTCTAGGGTTTTTATGGTTTTAGGTCTAACATTTAAGTCTTTAATCCATTTTAAATTAATTTTTGTATAAGGTGTAAGGAAGGGATCCAGTTTCAGCTTTCTATATATGGTTAGTCAGTTTTCACAGCACCATTTATTAAATAGGGAATCCTTTCCCCATTTCTTGTTTTTGTCAGGTTTGTCAAAGATCCGATAGTTTTAGATACGCGACATTATTTCTGAGGGCTCTGTTCTGTTCCATTGGTCTATATCTCTTTTTTGGTACCAGTACCATGCTGTTTTGGTTACTGTAGCCTTGTAATACAGTTTGAAGTCAGGTAGCGTGATGCTTCCAGCTTTGTTCTTTTGGCTTAGGATTGACTTGGCAATGTGGGCTCTTTTTTGGTTCCATATGAACCTTAAAGTAGTTTTTTCCAATTCTGTGAAGAAAGTCATTGGTAACTTGATGAGGATGGCATTGAATCTATAATTTACCTTGGGCAGTATGGCCATTTTCACATATTGATTCTTCCTATCCATGAGCACGGAATCTTCTTCCATTTGTTTGTGTCCTCTTTTATTTTGTTGAGCAGTGGTTTGTAGTTCTCCCTGAAGAGGTCCTTCACATCTCTTGTAAGTTGGATTCCTAGGTATTTTATCCTCTTTGAAGCAATTGTGAATGGGAGTTCACTCATGATTTGGCTCTCTGTTTGTCAGTTATTGGTGTATAAGAATGCTTGTGATTTTTGCACATTAGTTGTGTATCCTGAGACTTTGCTGAAGTTGCTTATCAGCTTAAGGAGATTTTGGGCTGAGACGATGGGGTTTTCTAGATATACAATCATGTCATCTACAAACAGGGACAATTTGACTTCCTCTTTTCCTAATTGAATACCCTTTATTTCTTTCTCCTGCCTGATTGCTCGGGCTGGAACTTCCAATTCTATGTTGAATAGGAGTAGTGAGAGAGGGCATCCCTGTCTTCTGCCAGTTTTCAAAGGGAATGCTTCCAGTTTTTGCCCATTCAGTATGATATTGGCTGTGGGTTTGTCATAAATAGCTCTTGTTATTTTTAGATACGTCCCATCAATACCTAATTTATTGAGAGTTTTTAGCATGAAGGGCTGTTGAATTTTGTCGAAGGCCTTTTCTGCATCTATTGAGATAATCATGTGGTTTTTGTCTTTGGTTCCGTTTATATGCTGGACTACATTTATTGATTTGCGTATGTTGAACCAGCTTTGCATCCCAGGGATGAAGCCCACTTGATCATGGTGGATAAGCTTTTTGATGTGCTGCTGGATTCGGTTTAACAGTATTTTATTAAGGATTTTTGCATTGATGTTCATCAGGGATATTGGTCTAAAATTCTCTTTTTTTGTTGTGTCTCTGCCAGGCTTTGGTATCAGGAAGAACACCTTAAAAGCAAAGAAGAAAGAAACCTTGTGTTTCATAAGTTTAGCATTATAAACATTTACTGTTTTGCATTTCTCTTACCTGAAATTTGGGAACCACTCTCTTGGGACCACACTGAGCTATATAAGGTAGAAGTTCTTAACTTGAGTCTGTAGATTGCCACTCCACTGCTGAGGGGTCTGTGGAACAGGAGCCAGAGGCTCCATGAACTTGGGTAGAGAAAAATTATAGCTATATTTTTTTTTACTATCTTCTATGTGAAATGTAGCATTTCCTTCAATTACAAATGTGGCAACAAACCGGTCATATTAGCTCTAACTGTGATTTTGTCATTAATAGAATTCGCAAATGTTTTCACATCACATTACAGTTGTTGTAGATATCTGGAAATGTCATTAACACCCACCACTATTTTGAAATCACAGTAGCTATCAGACTGGCTGCTAGACAGCATGTGAGCTCAGAATTCCTCACAGACTCTCCTGCTCTACATCTGGCCACTTGTGGCAACTTGGTGCCTCAGCAGGGCAGCCATCAAAGCAGCGGATCTGAGTGTTTTCCTCTAGGTGACCCAGACCTTCCAGCATCTCTTAACTGAATTGTTTGTGGATGAATTTGCGAGGTAGTTGAGTCCTTTTTATGGTTTGCTGAAGTTTTGCAATCTGAACTGTTCCGACTTGAATTTTTAACTCTCCGTAGGCAGTGCCACCTTGGGTGGCACAGCTGAGTTGGAATATTTCTGATTGCTGAGTGAACTGTCGGAGTGTGTTATTTAAAGCAACTTCTTGTGATTGCTGACAGATTGCATGGTGATGCAGGTCGTGCACGGTGCGATAAGCTCTGGGAGAAGCAGAAGTCCTCTTTATTTTTTTTCTGGATTTACTGTGTATTTGTGCAATGTCTGTGATATGAAATGCAGTCTTACATGCACACTATGTTACTCACATGTTCTTGCACTATTATTGTGTGAAAATACCACATATCTAAAAAAATACCTTTGTGAGAAACAATGACAATATCAGAAATGAGAATCATTATTTCTAAAAAGTCGTAGGAAGTCACACGCAGCACTAGCTAAATTTCAGGGAGGATAGGACCCGTGATCAACTGCAGTAATCCCACATCTGTGCAAAGGTTAAAAGATACTAACGGTACTTAAACCTTGGCTAATCATAAAACCTGTCTTATTTTACTCACTGGTCATAAAATTTAACAAATATTTGACACTTAATTAATATACAAATGATTGCCTCCTATGTAGGTCTATCAAACAAATTACTTAGGAGTCATAAACAAAATATGATGCTTCAAAGAATGTTAGTGGCATAAAACATTTTATTTTAGCTTTATTTATTATTTATTTTTTACAGACCCAATTTATCTTCAGGCTGGAAAAAGAAAAGGAAGGCCTGATGAAAACCGTGTATTTGGCTTTGTTTACATTAATGAAGTGATTGGACAGAAAAAGTCACAATGACTTTTTTCTTTTGTGAAAAAAATTATTGGGAATGGAATTTTGAAGTCAGGGAGACTGAAAGAGGACTCACCTATGTCTATCTGGAAGATGTATCCAAAACACCCAGGAGTTTTGTGCGCATGTGTATGAAGGAAGTTCAGCTAGGAAAAGCTTGCAGCCTGGGCAATACAGCAAGACCCCAATTCTAAAAAATTTTTTTTTTAATTAGCTGGGTGTGATGGTGTGGCACCTGTGGTCCTAGCTACTCAGGAGGCTGAGGTAGGAGGATCACTTGAGACTGGGAGGTCAAGGCCGCAGGGAGAAATAATAGCATCACTGTACTCTACCTCGACCCTGCCTCGAAAAAAAAATAAGAAAAGAAAAAGGAAAAGGAAAAGAAAAAAGTTCAGATACTTCAAAATGTGGATTTGCCATAAAAACCTTTTCTTGAAGCATTCTTGAAATTTCTTACCAGATGTCAAACAGAAAAAGCCTCACATTACTGGAGAAACTTTATCTAAAGCCACATACACTGGGAATATGGAGATTTGTGAATAGAAAGAGGTAAAAGCTGGAAGTGATTCCTTAGTCAGATGAGGTGCTTCCATGAAGAAGAGTAGGCATGTCTTGAAGCAAGTTATGGAGGAATTGGCCACCTCGCCATTCCTCCCACGTCACTCTGTGAAACTCCAGGTATCCTTCCAGGTAGTCACCTGCCTGTTTTGTTCATGATGTGCCTGCTGACTTCAACAAAGAAAGATTTTTTTTTGTGAGTGCCTTTGGAAACTACAAAGCTGCTGATGTTTTGCAGATGGTATAAAGGTTTTTTGTTTTGTTTTGCTTGTGTCAAACAAAAGTGACTCGACAGAAAAGGTTCATTTCCTTGCACAGACAGTGCTGTTGCAATGCGTGGCTATGCATCTGACTTTGCTACTTGAGTAAAAGGGAGCACCTATGTTGTTCTCACTCACCGCATTTCACACAAACGTATTCTGGCTCTTCAAAAACCCCAAGAGAAGTTTTGTCAACAGCCATAAAAGTCATCAACTTTTATCTAGTCTCTGAATCACAGCATTTTTGCAGGTTTTGTCAAGAAATGATGGCAGAAAATGAAGTGCTTCTCTACCACAGAGAAGCTTACTGTCTTTCAAGGGGAAAGATTCACTGTTTTCTAAAAGAAAAAGAAAATCCTCTCCTGGAACATGTAGCAAGAAAAAATGTTGTCTGAGGGTTGGCTGACCCAGCGGATATTTTTAACCATCTGAACGAGATGAACCTTCCAGTTCGAGGCCCTGATACCACCATTATGAATGATCCTGAAAACTTTACCAGCTTTTTTGGCTCAGCTGCCAATATGAAAGGAGAGTTCAGGCTGACATCTTTGCCAACTTTTGCGATGCTGGAGGAAGTGCTTTATCTCAATGAAGTTGACATACAAAATACTGTCAGTTTATCTGAAAAGAGAAATCTACAAACACCTGGAAACACTGTAGAACTCCTTTAAAAATTATTTCTATCTTGATGGTATCAAAGTTGGACCATAGAATTGCATTCTTTTTCTTGTTGATATAAACTGTCTCAAAGGTGTTTGCCTAGCCAAAGATGGCGAACATTGATCTTGGGATGGAAAACAGCTACAACTAGAGTTTAGCTAAAAAGTCTTGGAGAGTTTTGGTGCTCCTTGACAGAAACATCTGTCTACTTTGCAAAGGAGCCGTAAAAGCTTTAATTCCATTTTCAACAATATATCTTTGAGGATTGGAGTTTTAATGTTGTTACTAGAAAAAATCAAAATCAATTGGATGTCCAGCATGACAAGTGTATTATCTCATCAAAGACATCCCGCTGTCTCATATTCTTATTCAAACTAGGCAAAGCAGCCTTTATATGGGTATGTCTTTTAAAAAACAAAATTTAACTTCAATTTGCCTGTATTTCAAGTGCAATGTCTTATTTTTTTAAATGTGGTTCAAAGAAGCAAATCTGTTACTATGTAATATATATTTTAAACATACTATTTTGGTAATTGTACTTCAGTATACACGCTTGGTTTTCCTTGTAATCCTACGCCTTTATTTTATGCATCAAAAAACATTATTTTAAGAAAGGTCTGTAGGCTTCACCAGATTGCCCAAGGAATCCACTATGTAAAAACAGTAAAGAACTGATGGCCCCGCACAGTTGCTCAGGCCCGTAATCCCAGCACTTTGGGAGGCCAAGGCGGGTGGATCACTTGAGGTCAGGAGTTTCAGACTAGCCTGGCCAACATGGTGAAACCCCATCTCTACTAAAAATACAAAAATTAGCCAGGCATGGTGGCATGTGCCTGTAGTCCCAGCTACTTGGGAGGCTGAGGCATGAAAATTGCTGAACCCAGGAGGTGGAGGTTGCAGTGAACCGAAATTGTGCCACTGCACTCCAGCATGGGCAACAGAGCGAGACTCTGTCTCACACACACAAAAAAAGATCTCCTGATATAAGAGGACATGATCATCTGCCATGCTCTCAAGTTGCTTAACGTTCAAAAAGGCAGGTGTGTTGTGTATGATATGGTGCTTGAAGAAAGAGAAGCTCCCTTGACAAAAGGCCAGGCCAGCCGTTTGGCTCCTGTGCTGTCAGAAAACCCAGTGGAGGTGGCAGTCTTTAATGTTCAACCTCATCATTCCCAAGACAATGGAAGAAGAGGGCAGATACCAACCCAACATAGGAAGGCACCTCTTCTCTTTTCTTTCTATAGTAACTGATTCCAGAAAACTGGCCATTTCAATCAAGCCCCCGTTGCTGAAGTGAAATCTGTTACTGAGTTCTTCCTGTATTCAGGGAGTGATATAGGGTTACAGAGAAGGGAAACACAAAGTCTCTTCCCTTGAGGAGTAAACAATTTAGTGTTGGAGACAAAATTAATACATAAAACAATTAAGGGGAATTAAATGCAAGGCTAGAGGGTGTTTTAAGAAAATTCTGCCTGTTGACTTTTTCAACACAGTATCCTCAGGGTCTAGAATATTGCTTGGCACACAGTATATGCCAGAAAAAAAATCTTTGTTGAATAAATAAGTTGATGATGGAAATGTTAAAATAACATCTATTGTTATGAGAATAAGACAGTTGTCCCTCAGTAACCATGGGGAATTGATTCCAGGACCTCCCTTGGGTACCAAAGTCCAAGGATGCTCAAGTACCTAATATAAAATGGTGTAGTATTTATTTGCATATAACCTAAGCACATTTTCCCATATACTTTATTTATTTATTTATTTATTTGAGATGGAGTCTCGCTCTGTCGCACAGGCTGGATTGCAGTGGCGTGATCTCGGCTCACTGCCACCTCCGCCTCCTGGATTCAAGCGATTCTCCTGCCTCAGCCTCCCATGTAGCTGGGATTACAGGCTTGTGCCACCACATCCAGCTAATTTTGTTTTTTAGTAGAGATGGGGGTTCACCATGTTGGCCAGGCTGGTCTTGAACTCCTGATCGTAAGTGATCCTCCAGCCTCGGCCTCCCAAAGTGCTGGGATTACAGGCATGAGCCACTGCCCCTGGCCTTCCCATATACTTTAAATCATCTCTGGATGCTTACAATACCTAATACACTGTAAATGTTATGTAAATGTTTATAATTTATATTATTTTTTATTTTTTTCCAAATATTTTGATCCTCTGTTGAATTCACAGATGCAGAACCTGCAGATATGAAGGGTCAGCTATACATGTTATTAGAGAAAATGTAAAAATACAGAAGACTATAAAGAAGAAGTAAAAAAGAAAGGCTAACCAGCCAACATTTTTGCTATATTGCTATATTTCTTCTTAGTTCTTTTTTCTAAATACATGCATAACACACACACACACACACACACACACACACACACTCACTCATACTTTCTTTTAAGAACAGAATTGAGACTTGAGTTTTATAGCCCGATTTTTTTCTCTTAAAATTATATTGTGAACATTTTGCTGTGCCATTAAGTATTCTTCAGAACATTATTTTTAATGGCTGTATCATATAGTATTCTACAAATAAATCATGGTGTATGTAGCCTAATTTATTAACCACTTCCCTATTGTTGAACATTACTGTTGGGAACACCAACAACAGCTTTTATTTGTTGCTTTGCTCTGTTCCAAGTATTGTGCTGAGCTTTTTCCCTTGATGCATAATCTCATTTAATTTTGTTCTCATAGCAATCTAATGAGGTAGAATTCATTAGACCCATTTTACAGGGGAGAAACATGAAGGTCAGAGGAGTAATGTGTCAAAGGCTGCAATTCCAGAAAGAGGCAAATCTGGGATTCAAGTCCTGGTCCCATTTGATGTTAATGTCCAGGCACTCAAACATGACCCTGGCCTGCCTCACCAGCGTGTATGAGGAAGGTTCATGCTTTATCAGGCCATGAAAGAGATTGAGAAACACATATCAGAAAGGCAGGAGGAGACACGGAAGAGAGGAGTATGGAGGCAACAAAGGAGAGATCTTAAGTAGGAGGAAGTGCTTTTCTGTATTCAAAGCTGCGAAGATAGAAGGACAAGACCAATGCAAAAACTGATTAATCTTTTTCAAGACAGGCATTTCAGAAGCATAATGGGGGGTGAAATGCGTGTTCCTAGCTCAGTGCTCCTGACTTGGTGGTAGTGGAGTGACAAAACCATTCATTTATTTATTCCCAATACTGGGAGTCATGGAACAGCCTTCATAAGGTGGCATCCAAGCAGCACAATGTCCCTCCTGTTCCTGAGCATTTCCGCATCCCTGCATCAGTGAGCAGTATCACTAGCAGGAGCTCAGAGGCTTGTAATGGAAGGCAGGGACATCACCCTATAGGGACAGCAGAACTGCAGGGTGACCATAGGGGCTGGCCGGGGACCAGGCATAGGTGACCAGCTTTCCGGGTGTGCCTTGGACTGAGGGGTTTTCCTGGAGGCAGAACTTCCAGTGTTAAAAACAGGAAAGTCCCAGGTAAACTGGGATGGTTGGTCACCCTAGGCTGAGGCCCAGCTCAGAGTCTGGGCTTATCCAGGGGCAGGTCCGTGCAGGCTTCCTGAAAGAGTAGCGAGGGATCCGGCGCTGTTTGCGCATGCTCACCTCCCACTTTCGGCCCTTGCAGGCTGCCTTTCCCTTGGCCTCCTCACTGAAACTTCCTCCACAAGGGTCACCGATGAACCTTACATACTGCCAGATTCCACAGCCACTTTTGGTCCAAGTCACTGTCATCCCTCACCTGGGCTACTGCAGTAGTCTCCTAATGGTCCCCTGCTTCTATCCTTTGCCCTACAATCTATTTCCAACCCGACAGCCAAAGTGACCTTTTCCTTAAAAATTGAACTTTTTTTCATTAAGAAATAATGTATACATAGTAAAACTCAAGTGTATTAATACGCAATTCTGCATGCTTTGGCAAACACATGCAGTGGTTTAACCTCCACCGTAGTCAAGATGTAAAAATGTTTTTTTTTTTTCACTCCAACTAATTCCTCTGTACCAACCTATTTCCTTACCCCCAGTCCCTGTTAACCACTGATTTCTGTTTCTAAACTTTTTGCCTTTTTGGAATGGCATGTAAATAAATCATATTGTATGTAGCCTTTGAGTCTGGCTTCTTTCACTTAGCATAATGCATTTGAGATTAATTCATGTGGTGTGTGTTAGTAGCTCATTATTTTTAATACTGAATAGGACTCCTTTATTATGAATATTCTGCAGTTTGTCATCCATATGCAACAGATAAATGATGTGTGATACTTTCCAATTTTTGGCAGTTATAAAGTTGCTCTCTAAGCATTTGCATACAGGTTTTTCTGGAAGTTTAAATTTCTGGTTCATTTGGGTAAATGCCTGGCAGTGGGATTGCTGGGTTGTATGGTGAAAGTATGTTTCATTTTATAAGACTTCCAGGCTGCTTTGCAAAGTGTACCATTTTGCATTTCCACCAGCAATGTATGAGAGTTCCAGTTGCTCTGCAGTCTCACCAGCCCCTGATATTATCAGCTAAAAAATTATTTTAAAAATAAAAAATTATTTTAATGTGCCACCATGCCTGGCTGATTTTTTGTATAGACGGTGTTTCACCATGTTGCCCAGGCTGGTCTAGAACTCCTGAGCTCGAGCGATCTGCTGACCTCAGCTAGAATTACAGGCATGAGCCACCGTGGCCTGGCTGCTGGTAAATGTTTAAGAACTGACTCTGGGGCGGGTGGTGGGGAGGGAAGTCTTGATTTGTAGTTGTTTGCTGAGTTCTGCTTTTAATGTATTCTTACAGTGCATAATTTCAAGCAATCAGTGTGACAACAACTAGCCTGTAAAACTTCTGAAAATCTGACATTGGCTCTGATGAGCTGGTATGAGTTGGCTGCAGCACACCACTATGTCTATCCTTTTTTCCAGTATCACACTGTCTTGATCACTGTGGCTTTATAATAAGTCTTGATATCAGGCAGTGTGATTTCTCAAACTTTGTTCTTTTTCAAAAAAATTTTTTTTTGAGACGGAGTCTCGCTCTGTCGCCCAGGCTGGAGTGCAGTGGCGCTATTTCCGCTCACTGCAAGCTCTACCTCCTGGGTTCATGCCATTCTCTTGCCTCAGCCTCCCGAGTAGCTGGGACTACAGGCATCCGCCACTACGCCCGGCTAATTTTTTGTATTTTTAGTGGAGACAGGGTTTCTCCGCATTAGCCAGGATGGTCTCGATCTCCTGACCTCCTGATCTGCCCGCCTCGGCCTCCCAAAGTGCTGGGATTACAGGCGTGAGCCACTGTGCCCGGCCTCAAAATTGTTTTGTCTATTCTAGTTCCTTTATCTTTTCATATAATCCTTTATTGAAAATAAATTGCGTATATGATGCAACGGATGGATAGAGGTTCTTTTTTTTCGCATATGGATGTGCAATTTGTTCCAGCACCATTTGTGTGGAAGACTATCTTTCATCCATTGAATTGCCTTCATACTTCCTTGCAGGAGGGGCAGCAGCCAGCACGGGGGCTCACAACTGCCTAACATGCTAAGCTCCCTGGGTTGGGGGAGGGCGGCATTCATCTCTAGCTCCAGGCTGTGCTTTTCCCCTGCTGGAGCCAGGGAGGCTGGATGGTTTGGTCCCAAGACTTGTCTCTCACAGCCCAACACGTGGGCTGTGGCATACTGTGGCCAGAGTGCCTCTTCAGGCCTAACCCAGACTCATCTTTCCTCACTGGGCGGGGCTTCCCTGCAGGAACTCCAATAACCCCAGCCACAGGCTCAGAGACAGAACCCTGATCTCCCTGGGCCTGAGCCCCTAGGGGGAGGGTTGGCCACAGTCTCTGTTAGCCTTTCCTCGTGGTAGTTCTGAGGAATCTGGGCAGCCCAGAGGAGTGGGTTTCCCCCCAGCGAAGCACACCTCCTCCACCAAGGGACAAAGTGCTTTGCTAAATGGGTCCTGTTCCCTCTACCACTCAACTGGGTGAGACCCTCTAGCGGGGGTTGTCAGACACCCTATGCAGGAGTGATCCTACTGGCATTAGGTTGGTGCCCCTCGAGGTCACAGATCCCAGAAGATGGAGCAGGAACCCATCTTTACTGTTCTCCAGCCTCCTTGAGTGACATCTCCAGACACGGGAGCAAACCAGATGAATAGGGCCTGTAGTGAACCTCCAGCAAACTGCAGCAGCCCTACAGAAGACTGACCTGACCATTGAAAGAAAAACAAACAGAAAGCAACAACAACAGCATAAACAACAACAAAAAACCCCCACAAAAACCCCATCCAAGGGTCAGCAGCCTCAAAGATCGAAACTAGACAAACTCACGAAGATGAGAAAGAATCAATGAAAAAAACGCTGAAAACCCAAAAAGCCACAGTGTCTCTTCTCCTCCAAATGATCGCAGCATCTCTCCAGCAAGGGTGCAAAACTGGATGGAGGATGAGATGAATGAATTGACAGAAGTAGGCTTCAGAAGATGGGTAATAAAAACTACGCTGAGCTAAAGGAGCATGTTCTAACCCAATGCAAAAAAGCTAAGAACCTTGATAAAAGGTTAGAGGAGCTGCTAACTAGAAAAACCAGTTTAGAGAGAAATGTAGACCTGAAGGAGCTGAAAAACATAGCACGAGAACTTCATGAAGCATACACAAGTATCAATAGCTGAATTGACCAAATGGAGGAAAGGGTAGCAGAGTTTAAAGACCATCTTGTGAAATAAGGCATGCAGACAAAACTGGAGAAAACAGAATGAAAGGAATGAACAAAACCTCCAAGCAATATGGGACTTCATAAAAAGACCAAACCTTTGATTGATTGGAGTAACTGAAGGAGATGGGGAGAATGGAAACAAGCTGGAAAACACACTTCAGGATATTATCCAGGAGAACTTCCTCTACCTAGTAAGTCTGTTAATAGCTGGAAGTTTTTTTGCAGTTGCTGCCTTTCAAGTTGAGAAAAATTGCTTCTATTGCTGAGAGATTTTATTATGATTAAATATCGAATTTTTCAAATGCTTTGTTTGCACTTGTAGAAATAATTATGTCGTATTTGTTGTTGATTGAATTATGTACCCCCAAAATATTTGTTGAAGGCTGTCTTAGTTCATTTGTGGTGCTATAACAAAATACCAGATTGGGTAATTGATAAACAATAGAAATTTATTC
Source organism: Homo sapiens (assembly GCF_000001405.40). Taxonomy (NCBI): domain Eukaryota; kingdom Metazoa; phylum Chordata; class Mammalia; order Primates; family Hominidae; genus Homo; species Homo sapiens. The sequence continues at coordinate 112,384,249 of NC_000011.10, forward strand.
TTGCAGTTCTGGAAGCTGGAAAGTCCAAGATCAAGGCACCAACAGGTTTGGTGTCTGTTGTAAACCTGTTCCTCAGAGATGGTACCATCTAGATGACCTTGCATGGCTGAACGGACAGAAAGCAAAAAGGGAATGAACACTGTCCTCACATGGCAGAATGGAAGAGCAAAAACAGCCTAAGCTAATTTCCTCCAGCTCTTTTATATGATGCTAATCCATTCACAAGCACCCCACCTTTATGCCTTAATCACTTCCCAAAAATGACCCCATGTCTTAATACCACCATAATGGGGATTACGTTTCAACATGAATTTTGGACAGGAGACCATCATTCAAATAATAGAAAAGTCCTAATCTCCAGTTCCTGTAAATGTGTCCTTATTGGAAATAAGGTCACTGCAAGTGTAATCAGTTTAAGATGAGGTGACATTGAATAGGGTGGACCCTAAATCTAATGACTGGGTGTCCTTAAAGGAGACAGAGACTTGAAGACACAGTAAAGAATTCTTCCCTACAGCCCTCAGAGGGAGCATGGCTCTACTGACACCTTGATTTCAGACTTCTAGCTTCCAGAACCTGGAGAGAATACATTTCTGTTGGTTTAAGCCACTCATTTTGTAGTAATTTGTTATGGCATCTCTGGGAAACTAATAGAGTATTTCTTCCAGTTTGTTGACATAGTGAATTTCATCCATTGATTTTTTTTCTTTTTAATGTTAAGCATCCCTTGCATTCCTGGGATAAGTCACACTTGATTATGTGTTATCCTTTTTAATTATTGCTGGGTTTAATTTGCTAGTATTGCTTTTTCTTGAGGACTGTTGCTTTTGTATTTATGAAGAATATTGGTATACAGTTTTTTTTGTTATATATTTGTCTTATTTGGTATCAGGATAAAACTGGTCCCATAAAATGAATTGGGAAGTATTCATTTTTCTTTTATATTCTGAAAGATTTTGTAGAGCATTGTTATTTCTTCTTTAAATGTATGATAAAATTATCTAGTGAAGCCATCTGTGCCTAAAGTTTTTTTTTTTGGTGGGGGGCTTTAAAATGCAAATTTTACTTATTTATAGAACTATTTAGGCTATTTATTTATTCTTAAATGAGTTTTAGAAGTTTGTGTTTTTCAAGGAATTTGTCCGTTTCATCAGATTGTTAAGTTTATAAACATAGAATTGTTTGTGATATTTATTTATTATTTTCTTAATGTCTGTGGTAATGATGGTAATCATGATGGCCCCTCTTTCATTCCCGAGGGTTAGATTTCATTTCTTTTCTCCTTTTTTCTTAGTCAATCTAGATAGAGGTTTATTGATTTTATAGATCTTTTCAAAGAACCAGTTTTTTTATTTCATTAATTTTCTCTATTGTTTTATTGATTTTGCTCTTTCTTTCCTTTGGTATGTTTTGGGTTTAATTTTTCTTTTTCGAGCTTCTTAATGAAAAATTTAATCAATATAAGACTTTTCTTCTTTTGCAATAAAAATATTTAAGGCTATAAATTTCCCTCTAAGCATTTTCTTTAGTGCATTCTGCATATTTTGATATGTTGTGTTTTCATTTTTATTTTGATTCAAAACATTAAAAAATTTCCCTTGTGTCTTTGTCTTTGTCCATGGTTATTTCAAAGTACGTTGCTTAATTTCCAGATATTTTTCTTCTATTGATTTCTACCTAAATTTCATTATGGTCTGAGAATGTACTTTTTATGACTTTAAGTCTTTCAAAGTTTTTAGATTTGTTTTGTGGCTCAGAATATGTTATATATTGTCAAATGTTTCATGTGCACTTGCAAAGAGTGTGTATTCTCCTGTCGTTGGGTGGAGTATTCTGAAAATTTCAGTTAGGTCAAGTTGGTTGGTGGTGGTGTTCAAGTCTTTTCTATCCTTATTGATTTTCTGTTTAATTGTTCTATTAAATACTTAGAGAGTGTGTTGAAGCCTCCCATAAGTGTAGATTTCTTTATTACTCCTTTCAGTTCTATTATTTTTTGTTTCATGCATTTTGAAGCTCTTTTATTAGTTGTATATACATTGAGGATTTTTATGGCTTCTTGGTGAGTTAATCCTTTAATGTTATTTTAAGTCACTATTGCTTGAAATATTCATTGTTCTGACTTCTACTTTGTCTAATATTAATATAATAGCCTTATTTGTTTTTTTATATCAGTTTTCTTTTCCATGGTATATCTTTTTCCATTCTTTTGCTCTTAGTTTATCTCCCTGTGTTTAGAGAGCCTAAATTTGAGTTTTACTTTTATATCCAATCTGACAATCTTTGTCTTTTAACTGATGTGTTTAGATTGTTTATGTTTAATGTAATTATTATATTATTAAAATCTAATACCTTGCCATGTTAATTTCTGGTTTTCTATCTATTCTATGTGCTATTGTTCTGTTTCTTTTTTTCAGTCTTTTTTTTTTTTTCCTTTGAGACGGAGTCTTGCTCTGTCGCCCAGGCTGTAGTGCAGTGGCGCGATCTCAGCTCACTGCAAGCTCCACCTCCTGGGTTCATGCCATTCTCCTGCCTCAGCCTCCTGAGTAGCTGGGACTATAGGCGCCCGCCACCATGCCGGGCTAATTTTTTTGTATTTTTAGTAGAGATGGGGTTTCACCGTGTTTGCCAGGATGGTCTCCATCTCCTGACCTTGTGATCTGCCCACCTCAGCCTCCCAAAGTGCTGGGATTACAGGCGTGAGCCACCGCGCCTGGCCCCTCTGTCTTCTTTTGGATTAATCCTTTTTTAAGATTTCATTTTATCCACTATAGGCTTATTATTTATCTCTCAGTATTTTTTAGAGCAATTGCATCAGAGTTTATTTTATATATATATATATATATTTACTGGATTATAGTCTACTTCAAATACTATTTCTCTGATAGCATATGAAACTTACAACACTATATTGTCTTTTTCCCTCCCATCCTTTGTGTTATGGTTATCTGTTTTACATTCACATATATTGTATATATCAATACATTTTTTTTATCTTTAGATGGCCAGTTATCTTTCAGAGTAATTAAAAATAGAAAAGAAATCTTTATGCCATTTAAAATGCTTTGTATTTCTTTGTGTAGATTCAAATTTCTGTCTGGTATTATGTTACTTCTTGAGGAACTTTATCATTTCTTCTAGTGCAGGTCTGAATCTTCCTGGCTTTTCATTATCTCAAAAAATCTATTTCTCCTCTATTTTTCAAAGATTTTTTAGTGACTACAGAATTCTAGGTACATTTTTTTGTTTTTTGTTTTTTTTTTTTGCTTTTTTTTCCCCCAGTGTTTTAAAGAAATCATTTCATTGTCTTTTGACTTGCATAGTTTCTGATATTGGCTGTAATTTTTATTTTTATTTCCCCGTATGTAATGTGTCTTTTTTCCCATTGACTACTTTTATAATTTTTTCTTTATCCTTGGTTTTCAGCAGTTTGAATGTAACAAGTGCAGGTTTTAAAAATTGTTTTTGTTTTGTTTTGGTATTTTGTCTGCTTGGTGTTCTCTGAGGTTTTTGGATTTGTGGTTTTGTGTTTCTCATTAATTTTGAAAATTCTTAGCCATTATTTAAAAAGTATTTTTCTTTTTTTCTTTTTTTTTGAGACGGAGTCTCACTCTGTCACCAGGCTGGAGTGCAGTGGTGCGATCTTGGCTCACTGCAACCTCTGCCTCCTGGGTTCAAGCGATTCTCCTACCTCAGGTGTGTGCCACCACGCCCAGCTAATTTTTGTATTTTTAGTAGAGACGGGGTTTCACTGTGTTGGCCAGGATGGTCTCGATCTCTTGACCTCATGATCTGCCCGTCTTGGCCTCCCAAAGTGCTGGGATTACAGGCGTGAGCCACCGCACCTGGTCTTAAAAAGTATTTCTTTTGTCCCCCTCTCTTCGTCTCTCTTCCCGTTTCAATAACAGGTATGTTAGACTGCTATTTTCTCACAGGTTTTAGATGCTTCCTTTTCCTCTTCTTTCTTTTTTCACTGTTTTTCTATTTGTGTTTCAGTTTGGGTAAACTGATTCCTCAGCTTGTGTCTATTCTATTGATGAGGCTATTGAAGACATTCTTTATCTCTGTTACTGTGTTTTTAATTTTTAGCAATTTCATTTAATTTTTTCTTACAGTTTTCATCTCTGTGATAAAATTACACATCTGTTCAGGCATGCTGTGTACCCTTTCCGCTGAAGTCCTGAATATATTAATTAATATTATTTTAGCTTTTCTAGATGATAGTTCCAACATCTTGGTCGTATCTGAGTCTTGTCTTATTGATTATTTTGTCTCTTATCTGTGATTTTATTTTTAATTTTTTTGTGTCTCATGTGAGTTTTTGGTTGAAACTTGTTGCCCTGTGTAAGACAGTGAGAGAGGAGAAAGGGAAAAATCCCAGTCAGGTAGGCAGTTAGGGTGTGTCTTTGTTTGAATCCCTTCAAACAAAAGAACAACCTGCAGGCACAGATAAGGGAACTTGCACAGGGGGGTTTGCCTAAGACATGCCCACAGCCACACAGATAAAAAAGGCTATACAAGTGACTTGCCCAGACATACCTGCAATGGAAAATTCCATCCCCTGACACATGAGCAGTAAGGGGAACAAAGCAATATAGAGTAACTCAAGCTAAGGGCCCACATGCACATTAGGATGGGGTGGACCTACCAGAAATTCACACCTTATGCCAATGAGACACCCATCCCTCATTGGTTTTTTTATAAAAGCCTTTGCATTCAACTGTAAAAATGGCAACCCTTTTCCAGGCTGCTTCTTCTTTTGCTTATTAAACTTTTGCTCCAACTCCACCCTTTGTGTTCACACTCCTTAATTCTCCTGGTCATGAGACAAAGAACTCTGGGTGATACCTTACAAGAGACTGCTTGTGGTGCATTGTTGAGACTGTAACAACAGTAGTGACTGAGATAAACAATATTTATTCTTGAAAAGAGTTGATCTTTTCCTTTGCTAGATTGTTAGTTTTGGGGGTTGAGTCAATCTAGTTAAGGGTGGAGCTGGGCTTGGGTTTTGTTGTTTTTATGGTTATCCTTGGAGCACTTTATCATTTAAATTCTTCTGGTTGTTACCCCATGCTTCTTGAGGTGACTATTTTGCCAGAGGTTAGGTCTCCATTTGTACCTACATCTTAGAGAGTATGTTTCCGTGCTCTTGCTCCTCTTCCAATACTAGATTTACATTAATTCTTGCTTGATAGTCTCATGATGGGGGATGTAGGGGGCATTCTTTGTTGTTCTTGTTTAGCCTAAATCTTAGGTGTTGTAACATTAAATCTTGGTGAGAGGACATCCTCAGTAATTATATCCCTTCCCCAGGGGTAGAGAATCTCTAATGATTAGGGTCCAGGACATTTCCCTGGTTACCTTTCAAGGTGAAAAGTGTTTTGGGGGAAGTTCCCTTCTGTTGGGGGCTAAATTGTGCTCCCTCCCCTAACTTCATATGTTGAAGTCCTAACTCCCAGTACCTCAGATTGTGACTATATTTGGAGATAGAGCCTTTAAAGAGGTAATTAAGTTAAAATGAGGCTGTTAGGGAGGGCCTTATTCTAACCTGACTTGTATCCTTATAAGAAGAGAAAATTTGGACACAAAAAGAAACACAAGGGGAGCTCACACAAGAGGAGAGACCACATGAGGACACAACAAGAAGATGGTTATCTGCAAGCCTAGGAGAGAGGCCTCAGAAGAAACCAAATCTCCTGACTCCTTCCTCTTGGACTCTAAGCCTCCCAAACTGTGAGAAAATGCATTTTTGTTGTTTAAGCCACCTACCCTGTGGTGTTTTGTTATGGCAGCACCAGCAGACTCATACACATTCCCCAAGCTGTAATGAATCCTCAGCTGTGGCCTGAGAGTGATAGGGAAGGTTTTACTGCTCTCCTCTCACTGGCTGAAGACTTCTTGTCCTTGGAGGAGAGAGGGAAGAAGAATCCAGGTAAGGCTTTATGTATCCTTTCTTTAGATTTCAGGTTAGTTGGTTGCCCAGAGACCTCAGCTTTCAAGAAGTTGTTAATTTGCAGATTATGTGGCTTCTCTGTTGTTACAATGGTGGAAGGGATGCTCTTTCCAGCTTTCCACGGCCTGAGTAGAAGCCAGAAGCCAAAGTCATCCTTTTAAGACGTAAATCAAATCACGTCACTCCTTTGCCCAAAACTCTCTCATCTCTTTCCCATCCTTTCAGAGAAAAAGAAAGTCCTTTAAAAATCTACCAGGCTCTAGAGCAGTGATTGTCAATTCTGGCTGCACATTGGAATCACCTAGGGAGCTATTAAATTATCTGTGCCTGGGTCTCACCTCCCAGAGATTCCGATTTAATTGGTCTGGGGCAAGACTCTATTATCTTCCCGCCACCCCAAAGGTCCTCAGATGCCTCTGATAAGCACTCTGGGTTGAAATACATTGTCCTTTACCTTCGTGCTCAAGACACAGCCATTAGCAGTCGTGGCATAGTATAGGAGCTTGTTATAAAGGGAGAATCTTATACCTGCATTTTAATACATTACTCGGATGATTCATGTGCACATTGCAGTTGGAGAAGCGCAGCACACAGAACCTTACTCCCTACCCCATGTTCTCTCTCTGAACTCATCGCCTGCTACTCTGCCTCTTGACAACCCCACCCAGTTGGACCAGCCTCCTTGGCTTTTCTTGAACCTTTCAGGCAGATTCCTGCCTTGGGGATTTTGCACTGTTCACTTTATTGTTTCTCCCAAACAGCTGCATGGCTAGTTCCCTCATCTCAGTGAAGCCTTCTCTGCCCAACGACCCACCTTCCACTTCCCTCTCTCTCTCTCCCTGTCTCTCTCTCCATAGCACTTGTCACCTTCTAACACATTGCATTAATTTCCTAGGGCTATCATAACAAATTTTCACAAACTATGTGGCTTAAAGCAACAAAAATGTGTCTCGGTCTTGGAGGCCAGAAGTCTGGAACTCAGGTGTGGGCAGGGCTGGTTCTTTCTGGAAGCTGTGGGAGAATCTGTCCCAGGCCTCTTTCCTAGTTTCCAGTGGCTGCTGAAAATCCTTGGCATTTCCTGCTTTGTGGAGGTATTGCTCCCATCTCTGCCTTCATCTTCTCATGGTTTTCACCTCTGTGTGTCTGTATGTGTCAAATTCCCCTCTTTATCTTATAAGGAAACCAGTTATGGGAGTTAGACTTCTTAGCATTTCTTGTTTTGTGGAGACATTGCTCTCATCTCTGCCTCCATCTCACATGGTTTTCGCCTCTCTGTGTCTGTATGTCTGAAATTCCCCTCTTCTTTATCTTATAAGAAAACCAGTTACGGGATTTAGACTCACTCTAATTCCAGTATGATCTCATCTTGAGATCCTTAATTTAATGACATTTCCAAAGACGTTACTTCCAAGTAAGTTCCCATTCACAGGTACCAGAGGTTAAGACTTGGTCATATCTTCTAGGGCCACTATTCAACCCACTACATATACCTAATAAATTTACCTATTTATCTGCTTGGAATCTGTATTTCCACATTAGAAGGAAATCTCCATGAGGGTAGGGCATCTTGCCTGTTGCATTCACTTGACTGCTTTACTTGGCACCTAGAATAGTAGCAGGTACGTAGTAGTGCTGGATAAATCTTGGACTGATGACTGAGTGCATCTCATTTCTTCCTGCTGCAGCATCAGGCATGGCTGTGCACCTCTTTTACTTCCAAACTCCTCTTCTTTGGTTTCTGAGACTTCCTCGCTCTCCTTGTTTCTCTTTTGCCTTCTCTGGTTGTTCCTTCCCAGTCTCCATGGTTGGAGCATCTTCTTTTACTCAATCCTTCACTGATGTGTCCCTGCTCCTCTTTTCTACTCACTGGATTTCCTTGTCACAGCAACTCACCTACTTCCATGGTCAGTCACTTCCTGGATGCAGATTACCCACATTTCCTGGTTTCCATCCTGTCTTGCTTCTAAGCCCCATTTCCAGTTTCCCTTTTTATCTGAACACCACACAGGCACCTTATGATGAAGGTACCTAACACTTGAACACATTGTTTTTTTCCTCCCTAACACTTGAACACATTGTTTTTTTCCTCCAAACCTGTCTTCCCTCCTTCCAGGGTTCAGTACTACCAGCCTCCCAGTCACCAAAGCCAGGAGCCTGGGATGCTCTTGACTCTCCTGAGTCCCATCTCTCATCAGGCCCTGTCCATTTTTTCTCTTAAAGACCCCTTGGATCTGTCCACTGCTTTCTTTCCCCACGCCTCAGTTCTGCCATTGCCAGTCTCTCCTTGTCTCCCTGCTTATTTAAAAATAAAATGGCCCTGTTCCTTCTAAGAACATAACCCTCCCCTGACCCAAGAGGCTCTGCATTGCTTCCAGGCAAGACTGATCCTTAACCTCCCTGGGCCTTAACCTCTCCAGACCCCTCTACTGAGCCCTGCTCCTTGCCTCATGGGATCCAGCCACACTGACCTTGCAGTTCTCCACATTCACCAATTTCACAGGCTGGAACAGAGCGGGTGGGGAATCAGACCACCCCATTAGAGCACTTCCTCGTGTTTCCGTCTCCACCTGCCTGTCTGCTTTGTGGTCCCCTCAACCCTGGAAAACTGCACTAAAAGCTGTTTGGATTGAGAACATTAAAAAAAGAGAAAAAAGTCTTCACATTTGGAGGAGGGAGAATCATCTCCAAGAGAGACTTTGGGCTCCATTTTACTCTCAGGTTGTGGCAGTTTCCTGGAGAACTTCCATTCTGTCTCTGCTCTTTGGGGTTAATTGTTGGGATCGATGCCGCAGCAATTATGTAATGTTTACTGCAGCCACCACAGAGCCCAGGCTTAAGTGTTGCTAAATGTCACTTTCACGCTCCCCAGTGTATGGTGTGTAATTATAACTGGTTCACTAACTTCTTTGTGAAGAAGGCAGATGCTTTTAGCCTGAAAAGGAGAATAGAAATGCATTTTCTCTAAACATACAAGAGCACTCATTTCCAGAGAGATCCTGGACTGGAGGGACAGGAGCGTGACCCAGGCTGTTCATCATGAATGGTAGGGCCCGCTGGGAGCATGCTCCTCTCCTAAAATGGACTCACAACTCTTCCTCTCTGTCAGGCTGGCTGGGGCTTCCAGGGAGCTCAAGATCAAATCCGGGGGCAAAGAGACAGAAGAACTAAAACTCAGAGTGACCACCAATGCAGCTATGAAACAGGTGGCAACAGGTATGAAAAGAAGCTTGATGCAGGAAAGAGAAATGGCTGGAAGCCTTACAGTTTGGGGATTGTACTTAGCCACGTGCTTGGGATAATCACACTGACTCTGATTTCATTTTTGTCATCTGTCAAGTGGGAATAATAAATCCTGCCTGACTTACTTCAGTTAAATTCTGTTCTACAGCTATTTAGTGAGTGCCCTGCTATATTTTAAGCATGGGAGGATGCAGCAGTGCACACCTTAGACGTGGCTCCTGCCTTCAGGAGCTTATAGTCTAGAGCAGAAGCTGGCAAACGATGACCTACAAGCCAAATCTGGCCCAGGGCTTGGTTTTGTACAACCTGTCAGCTAAGATTGGAGTTTACATTTTTAAAGAGTTGGAAAAAAAAAAAAAGAATATGCAATAACAGAGCACGTGCATGGCCTGTAAACCTAAGATATTTATCTGATCCTTTACAGAAAAATTTGCTGATACCTTCTCTAGAGCTGTTCAGTACAGAAGCCACTGTCACTGTTAAGCACTTGAAATGTGGCTCATAAATCAAGATATGCTGTAAGTGTAAAATGCAAATTGGATTTCAAAGACTGTAGGAAAAGAGAATGAAAAATATCCCAGTTTAAATTTTTCATATTGATGACATGCTAAAATGATATTATTTTGGATATAGTGAATAAAATAAAATATAGTATTTACATGAATTATATTTGTTTCTTTTTACTTTTTAAAAATGTGGTGTTAGAAAATTGAAAATCATATTTGTGGCTCACATAATATTTCTATTGGATAGCACTGATCTAGTTGGGTGTTATGTTGCATATTAGTGTGTTATCTGGGCAAATGATTGAACTCAACCTCAATTTTTCATTTCTAAAATGGAGGGCAGTCATAACTGCTAATCGATAGGGTTGTTTTGAGGCTCAAACGAAAAAATCTGTGGAAAGCACTCTGTGAGATGCAAATTGTTATACACGTGTAACTGGTTATGCAGCTCTGTTTCTTAGCTACGTGCTTTGGGTAAGTCACATTGACTCTCTGATTTCATTTTTGTCATCTGTCAAGTGGGAATAATAAATCCTGCTTGACCTACTTCAGTTAAATTCCATTTCACAACTATTTAGTGAGTGCCCTGCTATATTTTAGGCTCTGAAGGATGCAGTGGTGCACACATTACATGTGGATCTTGCCTTCCATGAGCTTATAGTCTAGAGCAGATGTTGGCAAACAATGACCACAGGCACATCTGGCCCCAGGCTTGTTTTTGTACAACCTGTCAGCTAAGAATGGATTTTACATTTTTAAAGGGTTGTAAAATAAAAGAAGAAAAAAGAATTTGCAACAGGATATATATATGGGGTGTAAATCTAAGAGATTTATCTGATATTTTCTGGGAATGCAGAAGGCTATTTAGGGACCCGTTCCCTGTTATGGAATCTCCGTGTACTTGCGGCAGGGCTGATGCTGTTTCTGCCATTCATCACTCCTCTCTCCTAGTTCTCACCTGCTCGTCTGTGCCCTCTTTCCTGCAGCTTGGCTCTCAAGCAAGCATTTAGAGTTGCTCTTTCCTCCTGGAGTACTTGCATTTGACCTTGGAGACACAAAACTTCAAAATCCTCATGAACACACGTTTGGAGAAAGACCTTGTATTAGGAACCAGGAAATCTGGGTTAATGGCCATAAAAACCCAAACAGTAACTAGCATTAAGGTCTTGCCACGTGTTTTACATGTATTATTTCATCCAATAAAATAGCAATAGTAGGAGGACCTTATGTCTTCATTTCACAAGTGAGGAAATTGAAGCTCCGAGAGGTAAAGGGACTTTCTCAGGAGCTCTCAGCTGATAGGTGGCTGGGCCTGGGCCTGAACCCACATCTCTGGCTCCAAGTATAATGCTCTCCCCATGGCTTCAGAGGTCATTCAGGGTACTCTGCCTGACCTGGAGTGAGGATTGAGGCAGGTGAGCAATGCAGTGCTGTCCGGAGGAGTCAACATGGGGCAGTGGATGCAGCACCGGCCCAGGAGTCTAGTCCCAGGGCCGCCACGTATTAACTGGGTCAAGTCCCTTCCATTTCAGGGCCTTGACATTGTCATCTGTAGGTAGGTGGCACTGTCATCTCTCAGGTGCTCTTAGTCCTTACATTCCAAGAATTATGACGTGAGGCCAACTGCAGGGCCTCCCCATGCCAGCCCAGGGACCAGCTGCCTCAAGATCACGTGAGAAGTGGTCTTAAAATGCAGGTTCCTGGGCCCCACTCTGAAATGCCTTCTTCAGTGAATGTGGAATAAGCTTCTAGAATCTGTGTTTGTAAAAGCTTCTGTTGAGTTTCCAGGTTTATAAACGACTGAGTCAGAGGTTGTGGCTCTTAGTAGGACTTTGAAATTAGCACAACGGAAGCAATGGTCTCTAAGTGTCTTTGTCTCATATCTCCCAGCTAATTTAGATGCTAGTGACAAATTTTGAAGTATAACTGGGATCTGATCACTTCTCACCATCTCTATTGGCTGCCATCACTGTCCAAACTGCTATGATCTCCTGCCCAGACTACTGCAGAGAGGCGGCATAGCATTGCAGGGCAAAGGCAGACGACCTGGGTTCAAAACCTGCCTCTATCTCTTTCTTAATCTCTCTGTGCCTCTGCACCTCAACTGTGAAGTGGAGATACTAAAAGGTGTCTTTTGTTGTTGTAAGCATTATTTGAGTTAATATATGATAATACATGACATAGTAAGCCCTCAATAAATAATGTAGATAATTATAGAGTGGTATCCTAGCTGATGTCTATTTCTAGCCTTTTGAGTCATTTCCCACCCAGCTACTAGAGACATTTAAAAATGTAAATCAGATGATGTCACTGTCTAAATCGCCAACTGTTTCAAATCCCCCATCAGGCTCAGGATGAAATCCAAAGACCTCTCTATAGTCTATGAGCCCTTACTCACCTATCGCCCACTCTTTCCCTTAAAGACTTTGTTCTAGCCAGATTGGCTTTCTTGCTATTTCACAAACACACCAAGAGCCTCCTGGTCCCTGGATCTGTGCATTAGCTCTACCTGTTTATGGCCTGACATTATATTATATATTTGTTTAAACTGTCTGTCTCCCCAACTAGATTGGAAATCCCATGAGGGCAGAGAATATACATCTCTTGTTCACTTTCCTATCCCCAATGCCTAGAACAGTGCCTGGAACATAGCAGGCACCTGGTAGATATTTGCTGGGTGAAGGAATGAATGAGCTCATACCCTGTTCCTCCCACCTGCCCTTGCCTTCCAGCTTGTGAGCTCTCACTTGCTTCTTTTTTGCTTCGACCTCTCCCAGCTCAGACTGCTCTGTGGTGGGTGGTCTGAGCTCTGTAGTTTATCAAGGCATAGGGGATTATTTTCCTGGAAATTATAACTGGAAATATACATTGGTGTTGTGCTATGTTGTATACGCTAATAAATGACATGGAGGAGTAAATATTTCTGGAGATTCAAGTTGTCCAGCCAGGTCTTTTCTCTTCCCTGTCAAGAGGGAGGGGGTCATTTAATTACCCCCTTACTTCTCTCATAGCATCAGGGGCAGAAGGCTGCTGGAGATGTTACAAAGCTTCTATCGCACATCTGATTTTTAATTTGATCAATAAATCTCTCTCTCGAACCTGGCCATCTGTATTTAATGTATCCTGGGAGTGGGCTAATTAAGCACTGAATTAGATGGCCTCTTCATAGACAGCTTATGGTCTAGATTTTTCCCTGCGACCCATGGAATTTCTTCCCATAGGAAATAAATTTGAGCTCAGTTCCTTGAGCCGTGAGAGAGCAGATACCAGTCATTCATTTTCCTGTTTTCCTCCTTTGCTTGTGCCAACTTCTTAGCCTTCCTCTCCTGTCATTACTTCTCTTAGGCTGTTGCTTAACCCCCTAAAGCTTGCATTAGCAGAATCAAAATCATACTATTAATCCATCTCATGGTTGTGGTCAAGATTCAAGGTGCCACTCTGGTAAGTTTTTATCATACAGAGTGCATAGGGTGATATACAAAAGTATTTACTCACTAATGTGTCCAGTTGGTCAATCTGAGCACTGCTGGCAGGGGGCTAGGGCAGGTTGGTCAGCCTGCAGTTATTGGAGTCTGGGGAGGCCTGAGGGGGCCTAGAGGTAGGGTGGGTGGTCAAGTGATAGGAGACTTTGTTGGGCTCTGTGAGCTGATGTTTATAACTAGCATGATGTATTTCAATATCATAACAATGGGCATGGCTCTACTGCAGAGTTCTGGCTAATAGTCAGCTGGCCCTGGTGCCTAGCTCCTTCGAGCCACCCACCTGCCCCCCGGGACATGCATGTCAGACACCAAAGAATGAAGAGGCTCCAGCACATGTGCTGCCATTGTGGTTTTGGCTCTCTTGACTTCCGTTTCTTGTTTCTGGTTTTGTCCTACATCTGCCTTACCTGCTATCAACCTTCTGATTTACTCTCCCACCTGGGTTGGATTTGACACTCAGCATCACTCTATGGCCATAGGCCTGTCTTCTCTGGACAAGTGGGTCTGGTTCTCCATCCAGGCTCTAGGACTTCAGGCCACTTCATCCAGATACCCCTTTTGTTTGTCCTGGTCCTGGGGCCCTCCACCCACCAGCTCTAAATTTCCAGGCTTATCTGGTCTCATGAACAAGAAAGATCTCTGCTTGTTCAAGCCTCGCTAGTTGTCCAAGTCAAAGTCCACCTTGAAACCTGCCTCTTCTGAAGAGTTTTCTCTGCCATCCCCAATTGTGTAAATGGAAAAAAACAAAACAAACAAACAGAAAACCCAGCTACCACCCCCTGCAAATGCTATGTAGTCCAAGGCAGGACGTGATTTGTGGTAGACATAAATGCTCCAGGAGTTCAGGAGAGGGGAGCAGATGCGGAGCCTGGGATTTTAAAGAGTTAGGCAGATTTTAAAGAGTGACTCTTGGTTCTGCTGCTTATTGGTAGTGTCATTTTGGGCAAGCTGAACTTGGTGAGCTCTGTCGTTTCCTTCTCTATGAAACGGAGGCTCCTTGTGAGGGTTAAATCAAACAACATTTGTAAAATGTGTAGCACAGGTGTTAAAAAAATGGTGCCTGGCTGCCTGTTGTCCCATGTCCCATTCTGGTTTCTTCCATGAGAGGCAGTGTGGTATGGTGGCAAGAGGATAGGCTTTGGAATCCCGACAGATCAGAGTTCACCTGCTTATTCCTTGATCAAAGAGCTGTGAGACTCTGAGTAAGTTACACGTCCTTCTGAGTCCCATGTTGGTAGGACAGGGCCACTCCCACTTTCCCCAGGGAGCTTGTGGGATTACTTAATGAGATAAAGGGTGCCAAGTGCCCAGGACAATGGCTGGTATACAGTAGGCATCCCACGGTGCTGGTTCCCTCTCTTTCCTCTCTTCTCATTGATGAGCAATTTGTGGTCACAGTGATGGACAAAGGAACATGGATCCATTTATTTGATAAGGAGTAATTTTCTGTCCTTGTTTTGTTTTTCATTCTGGCATTAAGTTACTAGAGGAAACAGAATTATTGGAGAACTGTCTTATTTTCAGAAACATTAGATAAATTAGCTTACATATTCTGTTGTTTCTGAATATTGTGCAATAATTTATTTCCCTTCTTTGAAGACAGCGAGGGTGCCTGTTCCTATCCCCCAAAGGAAGGCTTTACGTTGTTCATGCTTGACGTGGTCTGCTCACCCTATTTACGCCTTGTTCAAATGAACTTGTTTTAATACAATTTTAATTGTTTTTAATGCTTTAAATTAATTATAGCCATTTCAGTGGCTCCTCTGTGTCTTTGCTATTTCTCTGTTTCATCTCCATGGCAACCTTTCTTACAAAAATGAGGGTGTCTGTGTGTGCACATATGCCTTTTCTGTTCTGAATGTTGACTTCAGTTTGCTTTTAAACTCTGTAATAACTCCAGGGAGAAGGATTCAGGGATACTAGCAAGTGAAAGTTGTTTATTGTTTTACACTTGGGAACAATGTCTGGCTTAGAACGTCAATGGTGACCTCTGCTCCGCTCGTTCCCCCCGGCAACCCATCTCTCCATCTTCTCGGCCTGTGAGCAGCTTAGAAGGATGGTGTGGGGTTAATGCGGGGACTACTTAGTGCACTGTTCAGAATTAATAAATTAATATTCATTGAACTCTTTTTTGTGCCAGACACGGCTCCTTACCAATGTTAGTTGATTTGATCCTTGCAGCCACCTTGGGAGTCTGGAGTTATTATTCTCACTTTACAGATGAAGAAAAGGCACACAGAGGTTAAATAGCTCAGCCAAAATTGCTCAGCTGGTGAGTGGTATGACCAGAGTTTGATCTCAAGTTTTTCTGATGCGAAATGACAGATTCTTTTCACTCTATCACAATGCTCTGTCCCTTCGCGAAGATGGGCTCTTGGACTTGTTTTGTCCTTTAGAGCCTGTCCAAAATCCCCTGTCTTCTTGAAGGCTTCCTGATAAACCAACAAGCCCCATCGATCCCTCCTATGATCCCTGGTGGCTTTGTTCTTGGTTCTCTTTGGCCCCTTCCCCGCATGGGTATCATTTGCATTCACCCCTAGGCTTTTCCTAGAAGCAAATTAAGGGCAGACTGGTGAGTCTTGTCATCCTTTTATGAGATTTGTGCTCAGCACAAGGCTTTGCACCAGGTGGGTACTTAGTACATATTGAACCAATTTGGGGAAAACTGCAGAAGAAAAAGCAGATGGATATCCTCTATTGAAAAAATGATAGTGGTTATTCTCTCAACCCCTGTTTTGCTGGCCTGTGTAGATGCTGGGTTCTATATTCAGGCATGCCTGGGAAAGCAGGGTAGAATTCAATCAGGCACATTGTAAAATTAGCTCATTTCCTGCATGCAGGGGCTTTGGGGCTCTTGCCTTTGAAGCACCTGAGACTGTCACCTGCCATTTCATTAGCTCTGGCAAGACTTGGGGCAGAAGCCATCTAACTCAGGAAATGGCAGGAGGGCCAGGTTTCTCAGGTTTGGGCTGTTCAGGCAGGAAAGGGAATGGAAGACTAATAGAAAAAGCTATCAGAGGCAGAAGTGGGAGGCTTGGAGCCAGGTGTATCCTTCCTTCCTTTCCTCTGGAACCCTATGGACTCCCTGAATAGGCACCATCAAGATCCCAAAAGGAAAGTAGGAGGATTTTAAAGACAAGCAGAGCTATATGAGGAGATGAGGCTGTAACGTGGTAATTTGAACCATTATTCTGGCACATACATCCCAGTTGGCATGTCCCCAATCCCTTCTCCTCCCAGCCTGAGGCCATGCACCTATTCTCTGGTGGCTGCCTTGCTCAGCACGGAAGTTAGAGCTTCTCCGTGGGAACAGCCTTCAGTACCCAGCTGGTTTATGAACTGGGAAGCAGGCAGTCCCATTGCCCTGGTGCTACACCTCATAAAGTGTCCCTGCTCCCCTCAGCATGTGGTCACTGGGCCCCCAGCCTCCACGCCTCTGTGAACCTCTTGCCTGCTCACCGCGGTCAGCCTGAACACATGCACACAACTGGAGCTCCCCCAGTGTTTGCTGCTGGTGGGCCTGGTGAATTGTTTGGGTCCCTAGTGATGACGTGGAATTCATCAGCAGTTTTCTCCACTAGTGTCCCTGGAGCCAAGTTCTGCACTTGGATTCATGGCCCGGGGTGGCTTCTGCTCCGGGAGGGCTGTGCTTTGTCTTCTCTGCTCCTCTACATGGAATGTTACACTTCTTGACTCAGAGAGACTACCCTTTGGGCTGGATCTTGTGGAAATGGGCTGGCAGGGCTTTGTGGGGCTGACATTTGCTGGCTGGTACTATCCTGTTACTACCCTGGCCTGGGCAGCTTCTCTGTCTTTCCTGTCAAGAGTGAGTCATGTTAATTAGCGGTTCAATTTCCTTGAAGGGAAGGCTGATCAGTGACTCTGCCCTCATCACCTCATGTTTTGTACTTGAGTAGTGTCCAACGAACCTGGCATCCTGGGGCATCTGGATGGGTACTCAAGGTCAAATTCAGCGGCTTTGCCCAGAAAGAATATTTGGGAGAATTTTTTTTTTTCTGCAGGTCAGGGCATGGCATGGAATAGACTTCTTGAATTCTGTGATCTATCAACACCCTTTCCAGTATCTACTCCATCCAATGCCAGCGGGACAATTTCCTCATCAGCCAGTTGTGCCTAGATGTTGCTTGTGAAGCTATCTGGGTCATCTCAGCCTCAGGGCCCTTTGCACAATTAACTACTCAGCAGATGGCAGAAAGTATGGTTTTAGGAAGATTCTCTCCGAGGCTATGGTAGGGAAGGAAGAGGGATGTCCTGTTGGTGTTTCTGCTTCTCTCTGTCTCTGCAAATGCTTGAGGAAAAAGAAAATTCTGGTCCCATGAGGCTGTGTGAAGGCACACTGTGCCATTTCTGCACAGAAACAAGCAAGCATATATTCACAGAGAGAAGCGGACACAAAAGCACACCCTAGCACATATACAAGGTCACATACACAAGCACATACACTACAACACAAGCATACGCACACACACCAGCACACACACATGAGCATACACACAAACATATACAGGTACACATACCAGCACACACTGGCATATATACACAGGCAAACATGCACACAAGCATACATGCTAACACACAAACATAAGTATACGCACAAACATACACACAAACACACATTCATCAGCACACATATGCAAACACACAAATACATACACAAGCACACACACATACACAAGCACACACAGAAGCACCCACACATGCCAGCACATGCACAAGCATATACGCACACATCCCAGAATACATACACAGCACATACACAACATACAGACACAGCAGTACACATACACAAGCGCACACAGAAGCACACACACACAGGCACACATATATAAGTCCACAAGCACTCACATAAGCACACATGCAAGCACATATGCAAATGTACACAGAAGCACACACACACACAACCCCACAAGCATGCACACACACAAGCACACACGGAAGCATATACATCCACACTGGCACACATACACAAGCACACACACACACCAGCAGACATGTAAGCATATACATCCACACTGGCACACATACACAAGCACACACACACAAGCACACATGCTCAGTGCCTCAGCACTAACCCTCCCTTAAGGATGACCTCTGGTTGCTCAGGCCACCAGTGGGTGAAGGGCGAAGAGCCAATGGCCTATGGCCTCTTTAGTCCCATGAAGACCTAAACCTGCTTAGGCCCAAGGTGATCAGCAGACAGAAACTCAAAGGGAGGAGCTGCCCCCACCCCTGAATACAGGGGACAGGACCAGATCAGGGCAAACCTGGGATGAGAGGGGGCTACACTTGGGGTTTCCTCGCACCTTCCCTTTCAGAACCTTCCTCCCCACAAAACTTCATTCATTTAGTGCTGGGCTCCATGGGGTCACAAAAGGGCACATACAAAGCAGAAACTTGTGCCCAGGTCATTTTGTCACCCCCAGTTTTATGTGATAATGGCCTTTACAATTGCCAGGAAACATGAAGATCTATGCTTGGCCCTCATCCCTTCTCTGAGGCCTTGTCCCTCCCTTGACCTGCACTTCATCCTACGTGCAAACGCCATCCTTGCCGCTTGCCCTTGGGGTGAGTCTCAGGACAGGGTGAGGGATGAAGAGAGGGCCAGGGATGGGCTGAAAGCTCAGGAGTGGCCACACATCCAATTTGCTTGGGACAGTCACAATTTACTCCTTGTTTTGGCTTAATGGCTAATAGCACTCTCTTTCATTCTCAAAAGTGTCCTAATTTGGATAAGTTATATGATCACCCAATTTAAAGCCCTCTTTACTTGCCATTGATTTGCAGAACTTGCTTTTATGCTATCTTGGGATGTTCCCATATGAAAAAGGCTGCTGTGGAATACTTCATAACCAGGGGCAGGGCCCAGCTAAGGTAGGGAAGATGGAGGCATGGGTACAATTGACCTCAGGACAGTCCTGGCGACCCTCTCTAGCTCTAGGAGTTCCCTGTCTTGGAAGCAATTTTATTTTCATAGGAAATTCTTGAAGAATCTTCCCCACTATCCTCTAGGTGCTAGAGAACCTAGGCTGGCTGTTGGGTACTTTGGGCTCAGCCTCCTGACCCCATTGCCTTCACCAGGCAGCCAGCTATCCAAGGGCCCTAGGAGATTACATTTGCAGGCAACCCGCGAGCTGGGGTCTTGACCTCTGTGTGGGATGTCAGGTCCAGCTGGGGCTGCTGTGGGTGGAGTTCTGGGTCTGCGCAGAGAAACAAGACAGGTAGTTTTTCTCCCATAATTCACAGCTTTGCCGCAGCAGAGCTGTCTGCTCTACCATGTTAATAGGAAATAAACACATTGTTTTGTTGTGTTTGATACCGTGTTAGGCTGGAGTCTTTGAGGGCTGTTTAAAATTTAATAAGTTAGAATAAAATAAGGAGGAAAAAATATTCCTCTGGGGCATCTGGCTGCACCAGATTTGCTAATTCTGCTCTGCATCTCAGCAGTAGATAGTAGACTCAGCAGTAGATAGTAGACTTGTTCTTTGACTATAGAAATAGACCCACCATTGGGAATGCCAGCTGATTGTGGCTCAGGTGGGAGCCAATGCAGCTCAGAGAAGGAGGGTTTCTAGGAAGCCCTGAATAATTTTGGTTCCCTGGAGGGCCCTGATATCCACCTATGGTCTTACCAATTTTTTAAGCAGACTTTTATGGAGCACCTACTGTATGCCAGGCAGTGCTAGGTGCTGGGACTAGAGATGAGAAAAGTGTGGGTCTATGCTTAAGGAGATCACAGACTGGAATCACACAATTACAATGCAGTATGAGTGAGCACCAGGTGTGCAGGAGTAAACAATAGAGGTTCCCATGGAGTACTCCGTGATACACTGCAGAGAGCCCTCTTGGGAACAAAGGACATAGTCCCCAGCTGCTGGAAGTGCTTCAGGCAGAGGCAGAGGGAGTGCCTTCAGCTGTCAGAACTCTGTAGAGATTTCCTTTTTTGAAGATCATCCCCAAGCTGGTGCTCCCTTCTGGGGCAGCTTGTATCCAATTACTGATGGGTGTGGGTGTGTAAGGCCCAACCTCCTTGCACCAACTTGGACAACTCTGGAGAGTCATTCAAGCCTCAGAAACCCCATAAGTCAGCTGAGGCCTGTTGGGAGCTGCCTCATAGCTCAACTTCTTCCTCTGCCCAATCCCCCTTCCTTCCCTTCCACAGGTGTTGATTGCAAGAGCACTCTATAAGAAATATTCTGCACATTAATCTCTGTCTCAGACTCTGCTTCCTGGGGGACCCAATCTGCAGCAGCACCTAACATGGTCAATGTTGTTTAGGGAAAGCCTCCTAGAGGAAATGCCTTCTAGGCTGAAATCTGAAGGATGAGTGAGAGTCAGCCTGGTGACAGCTGTAGATCTGAGGGGAAGAGTATTTTTTGCAAATAGAGAAAGGGAGTGTATATAGTCTGATAGGCAAAAGGGAGCAGGGCATACTATGGTGGAGAATGGCACAGTAGGAGGCTTGGGGTTCTTTTGAGTTGTGATAGGGGCTTGGGTTTTATTTTAAAGGCATTGCAATATCACTGAAGGGTTTTAAGTAGGAGGGGTGATGCAGTTGATTTATTTCTTTATAAAAAGAGAATCTCAATAGGAGGCGCATGAAGACAGAAGCAAGAAGACCAGCTAAGAAAGCTGTTATAGTAACTTAGAAGAGAGATGATAGTGGCCTAACTCGAGTAGATGGAGGGAGGTGGATGGATATAAGATATTTACTAAGGAAAAGGATCAGTTGTCAGGAACCGATGACAGATGGAATATGGAGGGAGAAGGAGGCAAGGATGATGTTTGAGTTTCTGGCTTTAGTAACTGTGAGGATGCTGCTGCCATTTAGTGAGGTGAGGAGAAAGTGGAGGAACAAATTTGGGAAGAGCATGATGGAGGGGAAAATGTGTTTGCTTCAGAAGTGCTGAAGTTACTTATCTTTGGGTGGGATATTCAAGTACAGAGCTGAGACATTTAGCTATCTGAATATAAAGCTTAAGAGAAAGAGCTGAATTATTTATTTAGTTACCTATTGCTTATAATAAATTACCCTCAAGGCTTAGCAATTTAAAATAATAATAAATATTTATTATTTCACATTTCTGTGAATGAGGAAGAGGGCCTTAGCTTGGGGATCTCTCATGAGGTGGCAGTCAAAATGCTGGCCAGGGCTGCAGTCACCTGAAGGTTTGACTGGGCTGGGAAAAAGTGCTGTGCTTTTAAGATGGCTCACTAACATGTCTATCAAGTCGGTGCTGTCAGAAAAAGGCCTTAAATTCTCACCTCGTGGACCTCTCCATAGGGGTCTTTCGAGTGACTTCATGACATGGCAGCTGGCTTCTTCCAGAGCAAGTGATCCAAGAAAGTAGGGAAGAAATGGCAATGTCTTTTACTGACCACACCTCAGAAGTCACACACCATCACTTCCACCATATTCTATTGGTCACATGAACTGACCTTGATACAATGATGGACGGACTTTGCAAGGGTGTGAATACCAGGCTTCAAGGATGATTGAAGCCATCTTTAAGACTGGCTACTGCAGTTGGAGATATAGATTTGAAAATCATTAGCATTTAGATGATATTTGAAGTCTTGGTAATGGGAGAGATCACCTAACAGAAGTGGGTGCGATGAAAAGAGGAGGCATTAAGGACAGAGACCAGGGAGATACTGGCCTTGAAGGATAAGCAGAGGAAGAGAAGCCAGCAAAGAAGACTGAAGACAAGTGTGATCATGTGTCCAGGTGTGCCTGCAGTTTGTTCTGCTTTATGCCTGTTGGGCCCATGTGATAACTCTTCTGCTCCTTTGCACTCTCATAGTGCCCTGGGTTAGATGAAAACTGTATGGTCACCTCATGATAAAAAGCAGACAGAGCAGCAGTGGAAACCTGAGAGCAGCCAATATAATGATGGACATTTGATACCATGATGAGGCGGTCATTGAAGATTTCAACAGCAGATGTTTGAGTTAGGGGCATAGAAACCAGGTTTCAGTGGATTGAGGTGGGTGAGAAATGAAAAAAGTATAGAGTTTTATTTTTAGAATGTTAACCAAGAAGTGAAGGGAGAAAATGGGGCCTTAAGAGTTTGTCGAGCCGTGGGAGAATTTTTCTTCTGAGATGCCAGATACTAGAATGTATATAATTGATGAAGAACGAGACTCCAGTAGAGAGAGGAAGGATTTTTTTTTTAACCATCCAGGTTCCCCAAAGCAGGAAAATAATCTGGAAGATAACTTTGGGGGCCTTGACGTCAAAATCAAGGTGCAGAAGCTGGTTAGAAAGGACTGGCAGCTATCTAAGACCCCTAAAGTTCCCAGGTTCACATCAGAGCCTGCCTGGTGATCAGTGGGGGCTTTCTACTCTGAAAGTCAATGTGACATTGCATCACAAGTTCTCCTGAGGTCAGGAGAGCCCCCTTTACTGCTCACCTTCACACACCCTTTGGGCTGCTTTTCTGGGCCCCTTTTTGGAGATGCTCTTGCATTAGTGGCTGGCAGTGGAACAGCAGGACTGATGAAAGGTGAATTGGATGCCTGGTCTTGTGGGTTGGGATAGGGATGTTGGAGGTACCTTAGTTTGCATGTGCAGCAGAATGGAGCAAAGTAGTCCCTACCGCATTTCCAGTCATGGTAATGAGAGAAAATTAGAAGCACTGCTCCATTGTCCTAGACAGAACAGACAGAGGTATTTAAGGGCCCTTTGTAATGGATTGGTCCAGGAAGGAGAGAAATGATTCTTTATCATAAAAAGGTCAAGATTATTGTCTCAAGGAATAGAGTAAAAGTCATATAACTAAAATGAATATATGGTTTTCAATAGAAAATGAATTCTTGTGGCAGTGAGGTACATCTGCACTTCAGAAAATGACAAGGAAGCTGATGTAGCTAGTTCTGGGGAGAAGAGACCTATGTGCCTTTGAAGTACTCACATCTCTCCCTATGCCCAGGAGACGATAGTGGCTCCCCAAATCCCCAGGAGTGAGCAGGAGCCCAGATAGGGAATAGCTTCACTGAGACCCAGCTGAGAACTCCCATAAGAAAAGTTTCCACAAGAAAGGATTCAGGACTGGGGCTCTCCTTACATTTGGAAGGGGTGAGGGTTCCCAAGAGAGGAAAGGAGGGACCCTGAATGGTAAGGGCTTACAGAAAAGAGGATGGGGGAATGAGGATCAGCTAATAAAACTTCCGTGGGTGAGTCCTTGCCCTCACCTCCGCCATGTGGCATGATGGGCAAGTTAGGCAGCTAAAGTCTCCCCAGCTGCCTTCTGAATATACCAGGATACTTTCTGGGACCTTTTATTAAAGGAGAGCTGAACCCTTTATTGGAATAGAGGCTGTGTTCAGTTCTATGAAGATGGCCATGAGGTCCTGCAGGTGATGGGGCCATCCCTGTCTATTTCACCTGACACAGACGATGCCCTTGCTGCAGGGATGAGAAGCAAGGGTAGATTACACACAGAAGGTGATGCTCCCATCCTGAGAGGCCAGGAGGCCAGCTTCTTGGATAGCCTCTCCCCATAGATTTCTTCTTGGGCTCTGAACACACACAACACAACAAAGAGAAGTGCATCCCCTGTGGCACTGCAAGGACATTTAGGTCAGTGTCCAGATCCATAGAGGACACATCTAGCAAATTGTGCATATGCTGAAATGAGTTCATGCTAGGCATTTGCAGCTCAGTACCTCTGGAGCGGGGCGGGACTGGGTTTGAGCTTGCCCACCTCCTTTGCTCCTTGACTTTGGCTACACACGCAGGCACATAAATCCTCTGCCCTCTGGGTCTGGACAGATTGGTGGTCTCACCACATCTCCTAGAGGCTGCCCCAGAGCCCCAGTAGCATATTTCCTGCAAGGAGTTGACTCTTCCCAGCAGCCTTATAATTTAAAAACAAATTGATATGCTCTAATTGCAAATGTCTGGATTGTTTGTCTCCGACAGCAATCGTCTGAAAGCAAACAGCTGATTGGTCCAGCTGGGGGAGGTTGTTTCCTGACAAACACGCTCTGCTAATACAAGGATGCCTTTGCATCCTAAGTCCTTCCCCATTTTATGGCAGGATGTAAATTCTGCATAGAATGTTTTTGGTTTTTATTTATTTATTTATTTTTTATGATTCCCTTTCTTGACGCTTGATTTCTGAATTTCATTTCTCCCCAGAGAGGTGCTGGAATCATCCAGCCATCCTCCTTGTCAAAGTTATGGGCAATTTGACCTGCCATTTAGCCATTTCCTGGAGCTGGTTGAGTGGTTCTTTGGGCTGTTTCTGCCTTGAAGACAACACACGGTGTGTTATTGCCTATGCAGATGAGGACGGCGCTGGGACCTCTGGCTTGAGACTTGTTGCCCTTGCAAATGTTAATTCTTCCTCCACAGGACTGCTGAAGGTTTTGCTAAGTCCATAGACCTTACGCCGGGGCACGGGCTCTCCCTAAGTGACTGGTTTAGTTTTGAAGAGTGAGGGGTTGAATAGACAAATCAAGGACAGAACAAACCACAAGGAATATCATGTTACAGAGAAATTTCCAGAAGCCTGGAAAGGTTACGTGGATCTCTTCCAAGCCATATTGATAGGGAAAAAGTGAGCTGGCCCCATGTGTAGTATGTTCCCACTGCATTCATGTCAAACACTTATTGAGAACTTATGGCAAGGTAGGCACTGGAGATGGAGACCCAGCTTTTCTGTGTAGTGGTGCAACAGGCTGTCATATGATCATTTCAACACAGTGTTGTCCGTGCTCGGACATAGGGAAACCTCAACATTTTGTCGGGAGGTGGAATGGGAGTGGCAGTTTCATCATAGCAGCTGAAGTTTGTTGAATTCCTACCATGTGATAGATATTACACTAAATGCATTACCTGATCAGTCACATCTAATGCAACAACTCAGTGTAGCAGTTATTTTTCTTCCCATTTTATAGATAACAAAGCTAGAGCTTAGCAAGGCTAAGAAACCAGCCAAGCCACCTAGGTAGTAAGAGGCAGAGCTGGAATTCAATACCAGGTCTATTGACGATGCCGCATTTCCCACCTCCCTTGCCTGAGAGGGGTTAGAAGAGGCTTCAGGACCCTTAAGCCATATCCTAGTGTTGGCCAGAATGGGGTCTTCTGAGGCATGTCTTTTCAGGAGGTACATAGGTTAAAACTTGACCTTGGCTCTCAGAGCTGCCATCTTCCTTCCAGCTACTCTTCCAGATGAGATGGGCCAGAAGCCTCAACAGGAGACTGAAAATTGGTAGCAATTTAATTGAGGAGTTTTGCTGCAATTGGAACCAGCTGGAGAGAAGGAGAAGGGTAAGAGATGGTCTTTGGGCTGAATCTAAATATAGCATTGCGGAAGTGCTTAATGTTTTTTCTTTTTCCTCATCACTTTGTTGTTGATTTTGAAGGAGTTTGGCTCCTTGGAAGAAATGTTTCTGGCTGGAGAAATAGAGTTTTTTCTTCAGTTTGCCGCCTGTGTAAATAAGAAGAACATGAAGCACAAATGTTTCACTGGTTCTTATTGATTAAAGTCCTAATACGTTAAATAGTTTTACAGTTGGCTAACTTAGTCTTCTCACGGCTGCCATGCAGCTAATTGTCTGGAGGCCATGATTGATGTTAAGAAACTTCTGTCTTGGGTCCTAGCTCCTCATAACTCTTCTGCTTCTTTGTCTCTCTCTCTGTATTGTTACCTTCTTCTAGTTCTCTTTGTAATCTTATCTCCCATCTCTTTCTCTTCATCTATGTCTCTCCTTTTTTTTAAAAAAAATAATTTCCTTGAGTCTTTCCATCTTGCTGTTTTTTACTTGGGATACTGCAATAAATAGAGCAGACACAGACCCTGTGCTCAAGGAATTTATAATTTGGTGAACTCTCTCAGGTCTTTCTATATTGTTCAGTCTCTTGTCAGTGGCTGGGTGCAGCTGGTGACTGTCAGGCCTGCCTTTGTCGCTGTCACCCCATACATTTGAAAAGGAAAGGGAGCAGTGCATTTTATGACTGAAGCCCTCGGGGACACATGTCCCACTTAGCTGTTTGTGAATCTTGGTTATTACCTCGAGCTTCTCAACTTGAGGTCTGTGCATGAGCTCTAAGGAGATGAGGGAGCCTCTGAAACAGGAAGCAAATTTCTGAATAAGTGTGTCGTTGTGCATTTTTGGCGGGGAGGAAGTTGCAAGGTTTCATGGTATTCTCAATATTGACTGTGTGAGTCGAATAATATCAAGAACAACTACTCTGCTAGTGAGGCACTAGTCATTTAAAATGGGTCAGAATTCAGCTTTGGATATGTGTTCTAAGTGGTTCTCTCTCTCATTCAGGAGCCTTCTTTATCTTTACATGGTGTCAGTGAAGAAAGAAACCAGTAGCCACATTTGACCTTTAAATCTGTCTTAAACAAATAATTTTATTTGCATTTGGGTCTTATTCAGGGGTTAATTCCCAAGTATAATACTGAATTATTGGACTTTATAATGTACTTGAAGTAATAGAATATTTCCATTCTAGGGGAAGGATGGTTACTGTTATTTTATTCTTTGTTATGTCCTAAAATTGCAGAGGTGTAACAGAACTAAAAGATCATGTAGTTCACCCCACAACCCCAACTCCTGTTGCCTCATCCAGAATCTTCTCTATGACATTCCCATCAAGTGACCATGTAGCCACTTCCAGGAAAAGAGAATGCCCTGCCTATTCATTCATTTGTTCATTCAACTGTATCCTCTCAAGTGCCATGGACTCTGGTGAGTTTTAGGAATTTGATGGTGAACAAGACAAATGAATGATGCTTTTCTCCTCAGGGAGCTTCTAGCCCAGCAATCTATAAAGACAGACATTGAACAAGTATGAAGAGTGTTAGGTTAGGGAGAACTCTGAGGTTAGTGAAGACTACTGTGGCTTGGGTGGTAGTGGTCATGGAAAAGTTCCTAGAGGATGTAACTTCCAAGCTGAGCGGAAGGAGGAGTGGGAACCAGCAAGATAAAGGAAGATTTGGTGGCAGGAGGGTTGCATGTAGAGGAAATGGCACATTGAAGGATCCAAGCATGAAAAAGAAAGAGTGAGGCTTAGTGGAGAAAGTGAGAGAAGATTAGCATGACCGGAAGAGGAAAAAATATGAGACAGGAATAATACAGGGTTGTCACAGGAGATTAGAAAATTCTAAGCAGTAGTTTTACATGACTAGCAAAAGGAAATCTGAAATAGCTGCAGAAGCTATGGGCTGATAAAGTCCTGAAAAGTCAAGGTGTGGACAAAGCTGGCTAAGATCTACTGGACCCAACATGACACTGTGTTTGATGTAGGTTTCACCTAGGACTTCATTATTAATGTATGCTCATTAACATACTAAATCACACACCTGCCAGTGTCATGGCAGTTTTGAGACCACCCATATTTAGTGTAAAAATGGATGGCACCACAGTTCTAAGAAATCTCCACTTTTTCCAGGAATTTTCATAATATTCCACCCCATGGTTAAGAAAACCCCATAAAGATAGAAACTCCAAACCCTTACGTGTGAGTCTCTTGAGTATACCTGCACTCCCTTTTCTTGAGTGTGTACTTTTCCCTTTGCAATAAATCTCCATACTTTCACTATTTTCTTACTGGTCCTTAAATTCATTCTTGTGATGGTGTCAAGAGCCTGGACACTGGCTGGGGTCAAGGTCCCACCAGCATTTAGGGACCAGTTTGCCAGTATCAAATGGAACGGTGGCTACTATGGCAGCCCACTTCAATTTTGATAGCTTTGAGCCAGAAATTTCTCCCTGACATGTCTTCCTTTTCCCTCCATCTATAGCCTTTAACTTTCCCACCTATAGTCTATACTCTCAGGCAGACAAAATCTTAATGGGATTTATTGAAACATGCACACACACTAGCCATGAGATTCTTCTTCCATTTCCTTATATTTGGGCAACACTTTTAGACAAGAAACAAACAAGATTTGGTAGGTTCTTGTTGTGGGTCCTCTGTATCCTTGACATGCCCACTACATGTTCCCAACCTTGTCTACTCAACGAACTTTTGATCATCTTTTCGGTCCCAGCTCAAGGGTTTTATAAGTATGGTTTCACTTGTTTACCCTCAACCCCCATCAGACTGTGTACTCCAGAAGGGCAGAGACTATGACTCATTCTCTCGTAGTAGGGAGTGTGGGGGTGTGGGGCTACTGCAGAACTTAGTACACAGCAGGTGCTCAATCAGTGCTTTGTGGTTGACAAATGAATAGATGAATGGCTTAGATGCTAATCAGTAAGGAATCAGTGAGGAATCTTATAAACAAATCTCGGGACAAAGTAGAGAGAGACAAACAGGAAAGCTGGAAGAGCTACAGCAGGAACTGTCAGTGTTGTGCCAGGAAATTGAGGTTCCTTCTAATGCCACAGATTTCATGGATGTTGTGATTACTTTCTTTGGTATATATTTCTTTCTTCCAAATTACGGTAGTTCCCCTGGTTACACAATACTTGACTTACACAAATTAAATAACATAAAAACATTTGCATAAGAACCGTAATTTAAAAAAAGAACCATAATTTTAAAGGTCTACAAAGTCTGCATTACCAACTAACAAAGCAGTCGAATGTGATGCTGAATACTGCAAGACAGAATGCAAGACTGGCAATAACTAACCTGAAGAGAAGGCCTTTTCTCTCCATTCTGTGTTTCTGTTATTTTGACTTCTCATTGCTCTGGTGTATGTTGTCTTACTTTTATTTGATATGATATAATATTATTGTGGAAATAGCCTCCAAGAAAACACAACGACCCCTGACTCCTGATACTCATGGTCTTGTGTAATGCCCTCTCTTTGAGTGAGGACTGGATTTTGTGTCTCATGACTAGCCAATAGAATATGGGAAAAGTGATGGCATAGCAATTATGAAGTGAAGTTATAAATAAAGACCCAAGGTTCAATTTTGGGTCTCCCTCTTTCACTCTCTCATTCACTTGCTCTGAGAGATGTCAACTGCCATGTTGTGAGTTGCTCTATGGAGAAGTCCGCATGGCAGGGAATCAAAGGATGCCAGCAACTAGCAGCAAGTAAAAAACTAAGGCCTTTAATCCAACAGCCCATGAAATCTAAATTCTGCCTACAATTATGTGAGAGAGCTTAGAAATAGATTCTCCCCTAGTCAAGCTTTCAGTTGACACCATAGCCCCAGCTGGCCCCTTGACTGCAGCCTTGTGAGAGATCTTGAAGCTGAGGCACCTAACTAAGCCACATCTGGATTCTGGGCCCATATGAATAGTGAAACAATAAGTGTTTAATGTTTTAAGTTGCTAGGTTTGGGATACTTTTAAAATACAGCAATAGATACCAAATATAGGTTTTGGTACCATCAGTGGAGTGATGCTATTAAAAAAATACCAAAAAGTGTGAAGTGGCTTTCTGACTGACCAGTAAATGAAGGCTGGGAAGACTTTTTGATGTATATATTAGAGGAAACCTAAGTTAAGCTGAACAGACTGTTACATTATTATTGTTTGCAGTAATGTGGAAAGTAGGAAATGTACCCAATCACCCATTTGGGTGATTTAGCTTAGGAGATTTCCAAGCAAAGCATTGAAGGTGCTGTCTGATTTCTTCTTGCTGCTTGGGGTAAAATGCAAGAGGACAGAGATAAATTGAAGAAAGTACTGATAAACAGCAGCCAGGAATTGATGAATTTGAAAATTCCCAGTCTGGCTAGATGGCAAACACTGCTGTATTTCAGAAATGCCTTCTCAGCAAAGATAAAATCCAGGGCATTTCCAAGATCTTCCCCCAGTTGGGCCTTCAGATAAGACTGCAGCCCCAGCTGACATCTTGTTGCAGCCTTCAGAGAAACCTTTAGGTGGAAGCATGAAGCTAAGTCCTGTCCAGATTCCCAACCCAGAGACTATGAGACAATATTTAAGTTACTTAGTTTGGAAGTAATTTTTAGTGCAACAATAAATAATGAATTATATTGTAGTAATTATTATTTACGCAGCAAGAAGAATGTCCACCTTCCATTATGGCAAAGTAAAACAGACAGTCTCTGTATCAAGAATATAAGGCAGTTGAAGATGGTATAACTATACTGAAATAGGGAGATTGGGTAAAAGTTAATACACTGAATATTGTACCTCTAAGATTTTTTTCTGAGAAACTTGACCAATTCAAGGGAAAGATCTAAGGAAACTAATATCAGGGGTTCCTTAAGGATAGGATACCCAGATCTACTGTTTATCTATTGTAAAGACCAAGGTTGACAGGCCCCAGCCATCAACACGGAGCTTCCAATCCATGCTTTAGCATGCCACTTTTAAATATGAATAGATGCCCAAATATTTGAGGAAAGCACATAAAATGGAAGACATAAACCAAGACAAATAAAGTCATTGTGGGAGAAGTGAAAACAGTATAAGAAGAAAACTTCAAAGAAATCTATCGAAATGCCCAGAGACATAAGAGAAGATAGGGCAGCCCCAAACCAGAATAGTCTGCTATGAAGAAGGAATACATAAGGATGACAAACATCTCTTGGAAATTTAATATTTGGTAGCAAAAACAAAATGCTCAATAATAGGGTCCAAAGGCTGTATGATCAATTATGACAGGGTTTTTTTTTGTTTGTTTGTTTTTGTTTTTTTATAGTGGTATTTCCAGCACCTTGAACATTGCCTGGTACATAGTAGGTACTCAAAAACTTGTTAAATAAATGAATTAGAGAATGATAATAAAGTTGGGCAAATCTCTGAAGTAGAGAAGAAGATAGAGAAAATAGGAAATGAGGAAATTAAACAGAAAATGGAAAATAGGAAAGAAAAATGGCAAAGCAAAAGGTCTCCAGGAAACCCAACATCCAAATAATTGGAGCTCCAGAAGGAAGGAATAGATAATCAGATGGGAAAAAATAATCAGTAAAAACTTCTCAAAATGAATGACATGAATTTTTAGAATCAGCACAGTAGAGGAAAAGAAAGCTACACCAAGGCACATCATGGCAAAATTTCAGGACATAAGGGACAGCCATGCTGGAAGCTAAAGACAATGGAACAATGCTTTCTAAATCTGAGGGGAAAATAATTTCCAACCAGGAATTCTATACCCAAACAATCAATTAATGTGAAGGTAGGATAAAGACACTTTAAGGCATTCAAGTCCTGAAAAAATTTGTTTCCTGTGCATACCTTTTCCAATGAAGCTACAAAAGAGTGCAATGTACCAAGACGACAAAATAAACCGAGAAAAAGAAAGACATGAGATCCAAAAAATGGGCTCCAACACAAGACAGAGGTGGGAGAAACACCCAGCATGTTGGTGAAAAGAGGTCCCCAAATGGCAGCTGTGCAGCAGACCTGGAGAGCAACCAGTCCGGATTGGAGCAGGCCAGAGGCTTCAGAGAGATTTCTTCAAGAACATGAAATTGAATAGAACGCTTAATGTGTTTGAATGCATTGAGAGGAGATTTACACAACTAGGGAAGTGTTGGAAGTAAATTAATGAAAATTACATAGAAAACCTACAAGACCATTATTAAGTACAGGAGAAACAAAATGTTGTGCAGGCATGAAAAACTAATCATGGTGTACAAGTGACTAGGCTGTGATGAATATTTATATGATAACAGTAAGGTAGAAACTAAATATTGACTTAGCCAAATTTACTGTCTGGCTCTTTGAGGAGAATGGGGTCAGAGAGATGGGAAAGTGTGCATTTATGCAGTGGGACCAGGAAGGGGAAGAAGAGGAGTTAAATCTTCCTCTTCCAGGTGAGTCAACAGAGTTTAAATATTTTTTTCTTTTAGTAGCAATACAAGCATGTTATTTAGAAACATAGAAGTAAATTCAAAAGAAAATCAGTTTAGTAATTTGAATATAGTTACCTCTAGGGAGTGGGAAATGGAATGGAGACTGTGGTAGTGGTAGTGGGGCATGTTGTTTTTAAATAATAAGCCTTATATAACTATTTACTTTATGTGCATGTAAATCTTTGATTAAAAAAGGCAAACTGAATTAATAAAAAATTTAAAAAAGAAGAAAAGTAAACCAGGTGGTACCAAAAGAACAGGACCAATTTAGAAAAAACAGAACACTGATTTAGAATAAGAAAATGAAAATACTAAAAAGCTTTGAAGGTAACCAACAGCCTGCCTTTCATTCCACATGAAATAGATTTTTACTGCCTGAACTGAGAAAAATTATTTTGGATGATAGTGGGTTTACAAAAGAGCTTATGAAAGTAAAATGCCTGTCATGTTAAAGAAGCAGCATTTTTGACTTAGGCAAAATATGGACAATCCTTTAGAATAAAAGACAGTGTAGGTCGAGAAGTGTCTATCTCTTGGCAGAATGCTTTTAAGGAGGACTTTAAACTTCCTTTGCAAGGAAACAACCCTTCAAAATGACCATTCTCATGACTTGAAACCAATTTAAGATGTTTATTTATTAAGCATCTAATGTATGCCAAGCCCTTGCTAACAGCATTAACATAGACCATGTTATGTATTTTCACATCAACTTTGAGAGAAGGATATCACATCCTTAATATATATAGATGGAGAATTTGAGGCTCAGATAGTTTAACTCACTTGTACTACTTCACTTGATGAGTAGGTGGTACTGATTGGGTTTAAGCCTGGGTCTATCTGAGTTCAATGCCAGGGCTGGGGAAAAGAGGCAGAAATCCCTTCCTGTGATGTCTGGGTGTACACACCTGGTCCAAGTCATGGGGATTTAATGAACTCCAGGGTAATGACCTCCTGCCTCCAACATCATGAGAGGCCATGAGTACAGAAAAAGAAGCAATGAAGCAAGAGGTAGGGTTTTAGGGTCTGGACTCGACTCTGCCCCTAAGTTACTGGGTGACCTGGGACAAGTTACTTCATTTCTCTGTGCCTCTAGTTCTTCATCTTCAAAATGAGGAGGTAGAACCAAGTGATCTCTTAGTTTCCTCCCGTTCTGAACATTAGGTGTTTCTAGAATTCATCTCTGATGCACAAAAAATATGATAGTGACATAAAGATCAAGGGTAGTGGGCACTGGTGTCAGCCCCTTCTTCAAAGTTGCTTGGGGCTTGAAGCTCTTGGCGGTACTCGCAGAGGTAGGTGAGAATTAGGGGCAGAACGGCAGTGACTTTCTGCTTTGTTTCTTTCTTCTCAGTCTCCTCCAGCTTCCTGTTTGCTGGTTTGACTGTTGTCATTGTGTGTGCTTGATTGTAGTGTGAAAAGACCATGGGTTTTACATCAGAAGACCTGGTTTAGAGTACTGGCTTTGCCAGTTTATTTATTCATTCTTGCTTTTATTTATTCTATAAATATTGATAAGGCATTTACTATGTGTTGGGCACTGCCAGGGAACACAGAGATGAATTAGATGTAATCCTTGCCCTCTGGAAACTCTTAGTATAGTAGGAAGAGAGATACATAAACAAATGACTGTAATGAAATATTTAGTGTGTCTATGAAAGAAATCTGTATAGGGCATAGTTATGACAGAAGGAGGTGGTCAGAAAAGGCCATCCAGAGAAGAGTCATGAATTACTCTTGGCAGATGAGTTAGCACTTCAGGAAGATAGGGTTTGGGGATGAGGATGGAATAGGTGGCAGGAAAGCATTGCAGGTAGAGAGAACAGCATGAGCAAAGGCAAGGGAGTATGAAACAATGGGTCATGTTCAGAAAACTGTGCAGAGAGTGAAAAAAGTGGGCATCTGCTTTTTAGCTCTGGAGGGTGGGGTGGGCATCATTCTGAGAGAGAGAGACATTAAGGCTCAGAGATAGAGGGAAGGTTTTAAGAAAGGGTGGAGAATGTAGTTGCAGATATTTTCACAGTGGAATAAAGGCTCACAGTACTGGATTTGCAAGAAGGCCACAGTGGCAGGATGACAAGGAGAAGCACAGAGCTACGTGGGAATCAGGATGGATGAGCAGGGGCTGCATTTTGGTCAGACCTGAAGACGGTAGGGATAGAGGTTGGTAGATGACACTCAGTGGTGCTGGCTTTCCAGGCAGGCAGAAGCTGTCACCTAGGGTGGAGTTAAAGGCTACTGGAGCTGCCAATTTGTGGCCCTATTGCTAGGGCACCTTTCACTTAGGGTCCTAGCTAGCAAAGGTGAGAAATACTTCTGAGAAGTACCCTGCCCACATGACTTAGAGGGCTCTGGCTGGCACAAGGGATGTCCTCCTCTAGTGGAAATTCTTTTGATCTCTCTGAATCTGTTTCTTCCACTATAAAGCAGAGATGACAGTAATAACAGTATCTAGTTCTTGGGGTTGTATCAAGGAGGACTAAAATGAGCTGGTGTGAGTGAGACAGTTGTGTGAGCTGTAAAGAATGGTGCAGACTGGAGTTATCTTAAACTTTCATAAACTCTAGTCCTCTGCTCCTTGCCCCCATCACCTCTTTGAAGAAGACGGTGTATTTGGCCTCACTTTGGAATTAAATTTGAGTTAACCTTGCACCTTCCAATTGCCAAATCTACTTTCAGGGATCTGTAATCTTTGTGTTGAGTTGCTCAGCAGTACTGAGATGGATGAAACATATTTATTCTCTTGAACACTTTAAATTTAGGTGCTTTATATTTAGCAGGACATTGCTTAGAATGATTGAAACATTTGATATTTGATAATTCAGCTTTTTGAACTCATATATGTTCAAAATAATTTGTGCCATATGTGTGCATGTGTGTGTGTGCACACTTTATGCAGGTATTGACCCTTTCTTCTTTAGGAGGTTGAAAGAACAAAAAGTAGGATCCTAGGCTATTATTTGGGGCTAGACTTGATTACAATAACTTCACCTTCCTCCATTCTGTATCACTCCTCCCCTCCAATATGTATTAATAGATTTCTGCCCTCAAAAGC
This sequence comes from Homo sapiens, assembly GCF_000001405.40. Lineage (NCBI taxonomy): Eukaryota > Metazoa > Chordata > Mammalia > Primates > Hominidae > Homo > Homo sapiens. The sequence continues at coordinate 112,419,241 of NC_000011.10, forward strand.
AGTATGGCTACAGCCTCCTGAGGGTGGTATTTTAATGTCAGAGGAGAGGTGATGTGCTTAGTGCCTTCAAAGCCTGGACCCCACTGCTGGACCCTGGTTTTGCTGCAACAAATATCTACTCCAGTTACAATGATTAGCTCCTAGTGGAGATGTCTGAGAACGAATGTTTTGGGGTTTAGCCCTTTCTTCCAATGCCAAGTTAATTTGCGAAGCCTAGCATTGTTGTGGGGCTCCCATGAACTGGAACCAGTTAACATATGTTCAAGGATGCTATGCAGGAAATATGGCCTTGTATGGCACACAGGTGATATTCATTGTGATGAAGAGTTTGAATATCACTCACTGTCCTTTGGATCCCCTTTTCACTCCTTCCCTTCTCTATTGCCAGGTCAGTTTCCCCTGCACCTGGTAAGAGTATTTGCTAGAAAGAAACCCACTCCAGTTTTCTCAAGGAAAGAGGGGGCTGGTGCTGGAGGCTCATGCCTGAAATCCCAGCAACTGGGGAGGCCAGGGATGGAGGATCACTTGAGGCCAGGAGTTTGAGATCAGTCTGCGTAATATAGTGAGACCCTGTTTCTAAAAAAAATAAAAATAAACTAGCTGGGCTTGGTGGCAAAAGCCCACCCTAGCTACTCAAGAGGCTGAGGCAGAAGGGTTGCTTGAGCCAGGAGACGGAGGCTATAATGAGCTATGATCACGCCATTGCACTCCAGCCTGGGTGACAGAGAGAGACCCTGCTTAAAAAAAAATAAAGAGGATTTTATTCTAAGTATACAAATTGGAATTGAACCTGGAGATTTTTCTGGAATGAAGGCTGCTCAAGTGATTGATGCCAATTCCCAGCTCTATCACAGGTTTCTGTCTCTTTCTCTTCTTGCTACCCACTGACTTCTTTCTTTCTCACTCCATCTTTTCTCTATCTTAAAGCTTTTGCTTACTTATAACTTTGATTTGCCAAGACCCTTAATGGCTCTGTATTACCTTATGGTGCTCAATCACCTTCAGCTCCCACAGCTAACTGGCCTGTTCTATCAATATTTTCTAGTTAAATCTTGAAAGATGGAATGTCATCAGCTCAGCTCATCATTTTATACCAGGAAAATTGGTCATGTCCATCTCTGGTCCAATAATCTCTGGTCATGAGGAGATGGGGCTCTGTATAACCAAACATCACCATCTACGTAACAATAAACTGTGACAGACAGGCCCTGTGATTGCCATCAAGGTCTTTCCTTGAGACAGAGGAATGTACAGGAAGAATTGCAGAGTACCTTTCCTGCCAGAGTACTGTGATTAAACATCTTAATAAATTAAATCTGGACCCTCTGATAGGACTTTAGTAATGGCTTTTGTATTTATTTTGCATTAAAGCTTTATAGCTCCTAGATTATATTGCAGATACTAATAGTCTCCCAAGTAGTTAGGCAGGAACAAAATATCTCTAAAAATCAAGTCAGCGACTGCCCTCTGCAAATATATTTCTGGGTTCACAGTTACTTCCCTGCTACAGGGTGACTGGCCCAACTCAGATCCCAAGTGCAGACTTGGAAGACTTGCTCATGAGATGGAAATTTCTGCTAATAGCAGGAATCCATCAGTCAAATACCCCAAGGTACAGAGGTAATTTCTAGCAAAGGTTTTTGTGGCATTAATTTGTTTTACTCTGACAACTTGATTAATCAGTTTTATTGTGACAACTTGTTTTTCTGCAATGCTGCCTAATCAGAGAGCTGTCACCAAAATATTTTATGGCTTCCCTATTTTCCATCACAAATCAAAAACTCCAGCAACAGCTCACCAACATAAGAAGCAGCGATAATTAAAATGCATTCCGACAGAATTAGGAGGCATTCAGTTGGGTGATGTTATTAGGAGAGATTACACTTTTCAGAGAAAGGAACAATCAGATGGTACTCTTTCTAAGTAATTATGCAGCTTCCCTGGTGAATCTCAAATGCCACACCTGCATAAAAGTTTAGGGTGTGAGATGAGAGTTTTGCATGTACCTCTGCTGGATGCCCATGGTTTTCACTGTTGGATCTTGGAAAAGCAGCGTCTCTGCTCTTAGTTGACCCTCAGGAGCACACCCGTGAGGATCCACCCAATAGTCAGCAGGAAATAAAAGAAACTTGTCAGGAATAGACAGTGCCAGAAGAAGAGCTCAGGAACCCCACCTCCACCCTCTTTTTAGGAGCTGTGCAGCGAGTGAGGGGAGAGTATGTGAGAATGGTGAGGAGCTGAGAAAATGTAGAGAAGGGTATGAGGGTGTACATCTTTCAGAGGGGAATAGTAAGCGATTGTTTTCAAGAATTCATAAGGTTTACATTTCTGCTTTTTTGCTTACACACAGCAGAGATGGTGAAGTGATGCACTGAAAACATAGTCCTGCAACAATTCAACTCCACTAGATTGTTAATATCTGTAAAAAAAAACCCATAACAATAATGGCTACTATTTCTTAAGTGTTTACAATGTGTTAGGTACTGAGTAAGTAGCTTTATATACATGTCATTATTTAATCATCACAACAACCCTATAAAGTAGGCATTATCAGCTCCATTTTTCCAGGGAGGGAAACTGAGGCTGGCAGAGGTTAAGTAACTTGCTCAAGGTCTCACAACAAGTAAGTAAGTGACAGCGCTAAGATTCAAATGCAGGTCAGTCTCAAGTTATTCCACTGGGCTTCACCAGGGTTCCCCTTGTTATCTCCCTGCCTGGGGCAATCCTGTTGGGGGCCTGATTTCCTTCTTGCAGGGAATGGCACCGGCTGCATCGGATGATCTGCCATCTGTTCAGATGCAGATGGAGAGGCTTCCTGACTCATGGTCAGGTTGGGTGCATGCAGCAGATCCAGCCATGTGTGCAGAAGTGTGGAGGGCAGGAGAGACCAGTTCCCATTTCATCAGGCAGCCTGTCTCCTTGCCATCCTGAGTTATGAATGGGCCACGTATGCTCTCCAGGGAGGGGTCCTGATTTGCAAGAGCTATGAAGATGAGTATTATGATAAGCAAGACATTTATGGCCCCAGATGCCACAGGGCACAAAAGTCAATATGTTACATGCTCATTTAGCACGTTTGACTCTAATGAAACAGGTTGGAAATAATTGGCTTTTAAAGAAATGCTGCATTTCATTTCATTTCAGTCAGAAGGCACGTACCCACTGCATGGTTGTAACTCCAGCCTTCACAAATTTACCTCATTCTGAGATTGGCAAGTGGGTGATGGTGGGGGAAATAAATGCATATGTATAGGGGACAAAATGGCAAAGAAGGCATCCCTGTAAGGACTGTACGAAGCTAGATATTTTTCATAATTGTGTAAAGTTCCCAAAATACCAGGAGTTCCTTGGCAGTTGGGCTTTTTCAATCTGGTGGTATTTCCTTAGACATGTGCTCATTATTTCCCTACCAGCTGATCAAGGTCTAGCATCCCTGGCCTGGGATGGTTGGAAATAATTTCTCCTTTCCTCTTTCATTGATCTCCAGTTGAACTTTATGAAATAGTGAATGGTATGATGCTTGATAGTGGTAAGTTTTAGAATCAGCAAAAAGATGTACTTTTATGGCAACCAGGGTCTTGTTGGTAAAGTAAAAATTATACTAGTTATTTCTACAGGGAGAATTGGCTATAGGGAATTGATTCAACAGGTGTTAGAGAACTGAAAAAGCAACAAGGTAATACTGAGGTAACACAGAGACAGTAACTGCATGAAGCAGCTACCATCCTAGGGCTGGGGGAACACAGGGGAGAGACTGAGGTTATCAGAACCTAGGAGCTCTGAGGAGAATCCAGCATGGTTGGGACTCAGACCTTTGGAGGAGGGGGCTCTAGCTAGTTGGTGTTAATACCCCAGGAGCTCACAGGAGGATTCTCAGCCTCGTCGATCTGAGGCTCAGACTTTTGAGGGAGGGGCTACACCTGGATGGTTCTAGTATCTCTGAGGGCTACAATAAGGCTGATTCCAGGAGTGTGAAAAGAAACTGGAAAATGGAACTAACTTCTACTGGAACCAGCTGCAGCTGCATGTGTGAGGTACTGTTATGGGGGTGACACTGAAAGGAAATGGAAGTGGACAGGAAGGAGCGTGCCTTCTTCTTCTAACCTCCCAGAGTCTCCCTAGCTTCCCTCTATTGGCAGAGCCTAATAGGAGGCTGGCTGGCAAAGCAGAGATGTGGTTTGCAGGGTACCATCCCCATTGAAAAGTAGAGGATAAAAAGGCAGATATGAAACTGAGAGACAATAGCTTAATAACAGGCACAAACTGTAGAATACATCATCATAGCTGGGAGCATGCAAGAAAGGAGCTTCTCAGATCTGACAAGACCCCATGCCTTGTGTGCTTTTTGTCACTGCCCATTAAAGGATGTGGAGGGCAAAGACAACCAGGTTCAGATTTGCTGCATTTTCTCTGACCCTGTGTGGCTACTTCTGATAATATTCTCTATCCTTAGTTAAATATATTAATGCCTTAATCTGACCTTTGTGTGTGAGTGTATTTTCTTCGTGCCAATCTACAATCATCAAAAAGCTGAAGTTAGTGCAAGAAGTACAATTGTCATCAAATCCCCACCCATGGGGTTAATTTTGGAAGGAGTGTCAGGAAAGGAGTGGAGAAAAATGGGGTCTTGAGAGTGTTTTAGTCAAGGCTATTGCATGAGAACTGTAGGAATAGGCTTAAGATAGGGAGACTGACTTCAAAGGGAAATTTGAAGATCTAGTGTTACATTATTACTTTCACATCTGTGAGTTAATCTTTGTTTTTACGGAAAAGTCTTTTGAGAGCTACGACCTTGGCTTTCACTGTTTTGTTCAAGCCAAATGAGTTTTTAAAACTGTCTTTCAGAGGTTAGAGTCCCAGAAATAATTTTATACAAGAAAGGTGAGTTTTAAGAAGAATATTACAAATACCAAATTGAAATAGTCTCAAGATAGTTCAACTCAAGTGTCAAGTAACTAAATTTGGCCATAATTTGGTTTAGTAATTAGGATGACTGTTCTGAAATGTAGTTGACAAAGAAAAACAGGAGGACCTGGCCACAGGCTTGGACAATTAGGATTGAAAACTTTATCTCCAGGATTAGAGGTCTTGGGAAGGTCACACCCTCTTTCCCTTTATTTGGGTCACTTTAGAGTCTTGGTCTGAGGCCATGGCTTCTGCAACTTTGCACTTACTAAGGCTGACTGAGCTCTCTCTGGAATTTTCTGTCAGGCCTAGCACATTCATCCCATGCCTTAGCTGGGCCTCGCTGAACTGAAAGTGGCCAAGGACAGATGATGGAGGAATCAGATGGGGCATGGTGAGGAAACCACATTCTTCTGAAAGAGAAGTGGGAAAAAGGACATTGTTGGTTTAGATGAAGGGCTGTTCAGGAGGTTGAGCCCCACAAAGGAGGCTGACTGAGTCTTTCCAAAGGTATCTGAAATCAGTTTAGGTCATCTGGCCTCCTCTCTGAGGCGCTGGTGGCTCCTTGTGAAAGTGATGCTTACTAGTGTCTCCTTTGCTTCAATGCATAAAACAGATAACCAAGAAAATCTCTTTACCTAGATCTAACTTGGTTGTGCAAAATGGGAAACTCTATTGTTAGCCTTTAGGCAGACAGTTTATCCTAAATAACTAAGTTTCTAGGGATCACATGCGTAGAAATTTTCTTAAAAAATAAATAGTGGGCCTGTAATCCCAGCACTTTGGGAAGCTGAGGTGGGCGGATTACTTCAGGTCAGGAGTTTGACACCAGCCTGGCCAACGTGGTGAAACCCCGTCTCTACAAAAAATACAAAAAAATTAGCCAAGTGTGGTGGTGGGAACCTGTAATCCCAGCTACTCAGGAGGCTGAGGCAGAAAAATTGCTTGAACCCAGGAAGCAGAGCTTGTAATGAGCTGAGATTGTGCCACTGCACTCCCGCCTGGGTGACAAAGTGAAACTCCATCTCAAAAGAAAAACAAAAAGTGGACTCAGTCTCATCCAAGTCTAAGCAGGTAATTTAGTACATGATCAACTTGTTTGAACTTGATGAAACAATATCGGACTTTGTGGGTCCTACCCATGAAGTTGCCGTGAAGAAAGTGACTAAATTTCCTTTCTCTTGCGGTTGGACAGTCATGACAAAATGTAAACTACACTCATGGTACTTTTTCGTTGTTGTAAGGAATCAGGTTTCTTGCTGTAAAGGCAAATGACTAAACCTTATTTTGATTGTTACTGGAATTGACATTGAGTGTTAAGAATATGTAATGTGAATATAATGCTGAAACTGAAATGTGTTCTACCTTAAATGTCTTTTATGGTTTGAGGTTGTTCTTGAGAAGCCAAGTCAATATTGCATACATTTTAAGAGCCTTACAGACTTTGTTCCACTTGAACCTTTGGAAAGAGACAAAGTCACTTAGAATTCTTGATTTTGTTTTAATTGGATTTTCTGATACTCTTTTGTTATTAATATATCATAATTGTACATATTTTTTGGGTTCATGTGATTTTATATTTATTTTTTAATTATTAGGAATATTTCTGATATTGATCTTTTAAAAGAAACAATAGAAGATGGCCGAATAGGAACAGCTCCTGGCTGTAGCTCCCAGTGAGACCAATGCAGAAGGTGGGTGATTTCTGCATTTCCAACTGAGTACCTAGTTCATCTCATTGGGACTGGGTAGACAGTGGGTGCAGCCCACAGAGGGCAAGCAGAAGCAGGGTGGGAAGTCACCTCACCTGGGAAGTGCAAGGGGCCGGGACCTCCCTCCCCTAGCCAAGGGAAGCCGTGAGGGACTATGCTATACAGCCCAGATACTATGCTTTTCCCACGGTTTTTGCAACCTGCAGACCAGGAGATTCCTTCATGTGCCTACACCACCAGGGCCCTGGGTTTCAAGCACAAAACTGAGTGGCTGTTTGGGCAGACACAGGGCTAGCTGCAGGAGTTTATTTTTCATACCCCCGTGGCACCTGGAACCCCAGTGAGACAGAACCATTCACTCCCCTGGAAAGGGGACTGAAGCCAGGGGGCCAAGTGGTCTTACTCAGCAGGTCCCACTCCCACAAAGACCAGCAAGCTAAGAACTACTGGCTTAAAATTCTCGCTGCCAGCACAGCAGTCTGAAGTCGACCTGGGACGCTTGAGCTTGGTAGGGAGAGGGGCATCCACCATTACTGAGGCTCAAGTAGGCAGCTTTCCCCTCACAGTGTAAACAAAGTTACTGGGAAGTTCGGACTGGGTGGAGCTCACTGCAGAACAGCAAAGTCGCTGTGGCGAGACTGCCTCTCTAGATTCCTCCTCACTGGGTAGGGCATCTCTGAAAGGAAGGCAGTAGCCCCAGTCAGGGGCTTATAGATAAAACTCCCATCTCCCTGGGACAGAGTGCCTGGGGGAAGGGCAGGCTGTGGGCACAGCTGCAGCAGACTTAAATTGTCCTGCCTGCTGGCTCTGAAGAGAGCAGCAGATCTCCCAGCACAGTGCTCAAGCTCTGCTAAGGAAAAGACTGCCTCCTCAAGTGGGTCCCTGACCCCCGTGCCTCCTGGCTGGGAGAAAACTCCCAGCAGGGGTCAACAGACACCTCATACAGAAGAGCTCTGGCTTGCATCAGGCAGGTGCCCCTCCGAGATGAAGGGTATTCAAATAGAAAGAGAGGAAGTCAAATTGTCTCTGTTTGCAGATTATTGTATATTTCGAAAACCCCATCATCTCAGCCCAAAAACTCTTTAAGCTGATAAGCAACTTCAGCAAAATCTCAGGATACAAAATCAATGAGCAAAAATCACAAGCATTCCTATACACCAATAATAGAGAGACAAATCATGAGTGAACTTCCATTCACAATTGCTACAAAGGGAATAAAATACCTAGGAATATAACTTACAAGGGACATGAACAACCTCTTCAAGGAGAACTATAAACCACTCCTCAAGGAAATAAGAGAGGACACAAACAAATGGAAAAACATTCCATGTTCATGGATAGGAAGAAGCAATGTCGTGAATATGGCCATACTGCCCAAACTAATCTATAGATCCAATGCTATTCCCATCAAGCTACTATTGACTTTCTTCACAGAATTAGAAAAAACTGCTTTAAATTTCATATGGAGCCAAAATAGGGCCTGTTTAGCCAAGACAATCCTAAGCAAAAGAACAAAGCTGGTGGCATCATGCTACCCAACGTCAAACTGTACTACAAGCCTACAGTAACCAAAACAGCATGATACTGGTACCAAAACAGATATATAGCCCAATGGAACAGAACAGAGGCCTCAGAAATAAGACCACACATCTACAACCATTTGATCTTCGACAGACCTGACAAAAACAAGCAATGGGGAAAGGATTCCTTATTTAATAAGTGGTACTGGGAAAACTGGCTAACCATATGCAGAAAATGAAAACTGGACCCCTTCCTTACACCTTATACAAAAATTAACTCGAGATGGGTTAAAGAATTAAATGTAAAACCCAAAACCATAAAAACCCTAGAAGGAAACCTAGGCAATACCATTCAGGACATAGGCATGGACAAAGACTTCATGACTAAAATGCCAAAAGCAATGGCAACAAAAGCCAAAGTTGACTAATGGGATCTGATTAAACTAAAGAGCTTCTGCACAGCAAAAGAAACTATCATCAGAGTGAACAGGCAACCTACAGAATGGGGGAAAATTTTTGCAATCTATCCGTCTGACAAAGGGCTAATATCCAGAATTTAAAAGGAACTTACAAATTTACAAGAAAAAAACAACCAACCCTATCAAATAGTGGGCAAAGGATATGAACAGATACTTCTCAAAAGAAGACATTTATGCAGCCAACAAACGTACCAAAAAAAGCTCATCATCACTGGCCATTAGAGAAATGCAAATCAAAACCACAATGAGATACTATCTCACGCCAGTTAGAATGGCGATCATTAAAAAGTCAGGAAACAACAGATGCTGGACAGGATGTGGAGAAATAGGAACACTTTTACACTGTTGGTGGGAGTGTAAATTAGTTCAACCATTGTGGAAGACAGTGTGATGATTCCTCAAGCGTCTAGAACCAGAAATACCATTTGATCCATCAATCCCAGTACTGGGTATATACCCAAAGGATTATAAATCATTCCATTATAAAGACTCATGCACATGTGTGTTTATTGCAGCAGTATTTACAAGAGCAAAGACTTGGAACCAACCCAAATGTCCATCAATGATAGACTGGATAAAGAAAATGTGGCACATATACACCATGGAATACTATGTAGCCATAAAAATGGATGAATTCATGTTCTTTTCAGGGACATGGATGAAGCCGGAAACCATCATTCTCAGCTAACGAACACAGGAACAGAAAACCAAACACCACATGTTTTCACTCATAAGTGGGAGTTGAACAATGAGAACACATGGACACAGGAAGGGGAACATCACACACAGGGACCTGTTGGGGGTTGGGGGACAAGGAGAGGGAGAGCATTAGGACAAATATCTAATACATGTGGGGCTTAAAACCTAGATGACGGGTTGATGGGTGCAGCAAACCACCATGGCACACGTATACCTATGTAACAAACCTGCACATTCTGCACATGTATTCAACAACTTAAAGTGTAATAAAAAAGATAAAATTTTATTTTTTTATTTTTTAATTTAATTTTATTTTAAGTTCTGGGATACATGTGCAGGAAGTACAGCTTTGTTACATTAGTAAATGCGTGCCACAGTGCTTTGCTGCACCTATCAACCCATCACCTAGGTATTAAGCCCCACAGGAATTAGCTATTTATCCTGATGCTCTCTCTCCCACTGCACACCACCACCACCCTCACAGGCCCCAGTGTGTGTTGTTCCTTTCTTTGTGTCCATGTGTTCTCATTGTTCTGCTCCCACTTATAAGTAATAACACGCATTGTTTAGTTTTCTGTTCATGCATTAGTTTGCTGAGGATAATGGCTTCTAGCTTCATCCTTGTCTCTGAAAAGGACACAATCTCATTCCTTTTTATGGCTGCATAGTATTCCATGGTGTATGTGCACTACATTTTCTTCATCCAGTCTATCATTGATGGGCATTTGGGTTGATTCCATGCCTTTGTTATTGTGAATAGTGCTGCAATGACATATGCTTACATGTATCTTTATAGTAGAATGGTTTATATTCCTTTGGGTATATACCCAGTAATGGGATTGCTGGGTCAAATGGTATTTCTGGTTCTAAGTCTTTGAGGAATCACCACACTGTCTTCCATAATAGTTGAACTAATTTACATTCCCACCAACAGCGTAAAAGTGTTCCTCTTTCTCCACAGCCTCACCAGCATCTGTTGTTTCTTGACTTTAATAGTTGCCATTCTGACTGGTGTGAGATGGTATCTCATTGTGGTTTTGATTTGCATGTCTGTAATGATCAGTGATGTTGAGCTTTTTTTCATGTTTGTTGGCTGAATAAATGTCTTCTTTTGAGAAGTGTCTGTTCATGTCTTTTGCCCACTCTTTAATGGGGTTGTTTTTTTCTTGTAAGTTTGTTTACGTTTCTTGTGGATTCTGAGTATTAGCCCTTTGTCAGATGGATATATTGCAAAAATTTTCTCCCATTCTGTAGGCTGCCTGTTCACTCTGATGATAGTTTCTTTTGCTGTGCAGAAGCTCTTTAGTTTAATTAGATCCAATTTATCAATTTTTGCTTTTTTTGCAATTGCTTTTGATGTTTTTGTTATGAAATATTTGCCTGTGACTATGTCCTGAATGGTATTGCCTAGATTTTCTTCTGGGGTTTTTATAGTTTGGGGTTTTGTATTTAAGTCTTGGATCCATCTTGAGTTAATTTTTGTATAAGGTGTAAGGAAGGGGTCCAGTTTCAATTTTCTGCATATGGCTAGATATTTCTTCCAACCACCATTTATTAAATAGGGAACCCTTTCCTATAGCTTATTGCTATCAGGTTTGTTGAAGAGCAGATAGTGTAGATGTGTGGTCTTACTTCTGAGATTTCTATTCTGTTCCATCGGTCTATGTGTCTGTTTTTATACCAGTATCATAATGCTTTTGTTACTATAGCCTTACAGTATAGTTTGAAGTCAGGTAGTGTGATGCCTCCAGCTTTGTTCTTTTTGCTTAGGATTGTCTTGGCTATACAGGCTCTTTTTTGGTTTCACATGAATTTTAAAGTAGTTTTTTCTAATTCTGTGAAGAATGACAATGGTAGTTTAATGGGAATAGCATTGTATCTGTAAGTTACTTTGGGCAGTATGGCCATTTTCACAATATTGATTCTTCCTATCCATGGAATGTTTTTCCCTTTGTTTGTGTTCTCTCTTATTTCCTTGAGCAGTGGTTTGTAGTTCTCCTTGAAGAGGTCCTTCACATTCCTTGTTAACTGTCTTCCTAGGTATTTTATTTTCTTTGTAGCAATTGTGAATGGGTGTTCATTCATGATTTGGTTCTCTGCTTGTTTATTGTTGATGTATAGGAATGCTTGTGATTTTTGCACATTGGTTTTGTATCCTGAGACTTTGCTGAAGTTGCTTATCAGCTTAAGAAGCTTTTGGGCTGAGATAATGGAGTTTTCTAGATATAAGATCATGTCATCTGCAAGCAGAGATAGTTTGACTTCCTCTCTTCCTATTTGAATATGCTTTATTTCTTTCTCTTTCCTGATTGCTCTGGTCAGAACTTCCAATACTATGTCAAATAGGAACGGTGAGAGAGGGCATCCTTGTCTTGTGCCGGTTTACAAGAAGAATGCTTCCAGGTTTTGCCCGCTCGGTATATTGGCTGTAGGTTTGTTATAAATGACTCTTAGAATTATTTTGAGGTATCTTCCAACAATACCTAGTTTATTGAGAGTTTTTAACATGAAGGGATGTTGAATTTTATCAAAGGCCTTTTCTGTGTCTATTGAAATAATCATGTGGTTTTTGTCTTTAGTTCGGTGTATGTGATGAATTACATTTATTGATTTGCATATGTTGAACAAGCCTTGCATCCTGGGGATAAAGCCAACTTGATCATGGTGGATAGGCTTTATGGTGTGCTGCTGGATACAGTTTGCTAGTATTTTATTGAGGATTTTTGCATCAATGTTCATTAGGGATGTTGGCCTGAAGTTTTCTTTTTTTGTTGTACCTCTGCCAGGTTTTGGTATCAGGATGATTCTGGCCTCATAAAATTAGTTACGGAGAAGTCCCTCCTTTTCAATTGTTTGAAATAGTTTCAGAAGAAATGGTACAAGCTCCTCTTTGTACCTCTGGTAGAATTCAGATGTAAATCCATCTGATCCTGGGCTTTTTTTTTGGTTGGTAGGCTATTTATTACTGCATCAATTTCAGAACTTGTTATTGGTCTATTCAGTGTTTCAACTTCTTCCTGGTTTAGTCTTGGGAAGGTGTATGTGTCCAGGAATTCATCCATTTCTTCTAGATTTTCTAGTTTATATGCATAGAGGTGTTTATAGTATTCTCTGATGGTTGTATTTTTGTGGGGACAGTGGTGATATCCCCCTTATCATTTTTTATTGTGTCTATTTGATTCTTCTCTCTTTTCTCCTTTGTTAGGCTAGCTAGTGGCCTATCTAGTTTATCAGTTTTTTCAGAAAACCAGCTCCTGGATTTGTTGATTTTTTTTTTTTTTTTTTTGAGAGGGAGTCTCGCTCTATCACCCAGGCTGGAGTGCAGTGGCACGATCTTGGCTCACTGCAACTTCTGCCTCCCAGCTTCAAGTGATTCTCCTGCCTCAGCCTCCCGAGTAGCTGAGACTACAGGTGTGCACCACCACACCCAGCTAATTTTTGTATTTTTAGTAGAGATAGGATTTCACCATATTGGCCAGGATGGTCTCAAACTCCTGACTTCGTGATCCGCCCGCCTCAGCCTCCCAAAGTGCTAGGATTACAGGCTTAAGCCACTGCACATGGCTGATTTGTTGATTTTTTGAAGGGGTTTTCCTGTCTCTATCTCCTTCATTTCTGCCCTGATCTTAGTTATTTCTTGTCTTCTGCTAGCTTTGGGGTTTGTTTGCTCTTGGTTCTCTAGCTCTCTTAGCTGTGATGTTAGGGTGTTGATTTGAGATCTTTCTAACTTTTTGATGGGGGCATTTAGTGCTGTAAATTTCCCTGTTAACACTGCTTTAGTTGTGTCCCAGAGATTCTGGTACATTGTCTCTTTGTTCTCATTGGTTTTAAAGAACTTCTTGATTTTTGCTTTAATTTCATTATTCACACAGGAGTCATTCAGGAGCAGGTTGTTCAATTTCCATGTAGTTGTGTGGTTTTGGGTGAGTTTCTTAATCCTGAGTTCTGGCTTGATTGCTCTGTGGTCTGAGAGACTGTTATGGTTTCAGTTCTTTTGCATTTGCTAAGGAGTGTTTTACTTCCAATTATGTGATCGATTTTAGAGTAAGTGCCGTGTGGCACTGAGAAGAATGTATATTCTGTTGTTTTGAAGTGGCACGTTTTGTAGATATCTGTTGGATTCACTTGATCCAGAGCTGAGTACAAGTCCTGAATATCCTTGTTAATTTTCTGTCTTGATGATCCACTTAATATTGACAGTGGGGTGTTAAAGTCTCCCACTGTTATTGTGTGGTATTCAAAGTCTCTTTGAAGGTCTCTAAGGACTCATTTTATGAATCAGGGTGCTTCTGTATTGGGTGTATATATATTTAGGATAGTTAGCTCTTCTTGTTGAATTGAACCCTTTACCATTATATAATGTCCTTCTTTGTCTTTCTTGATTTGTGTTGGTTTAAAGTCTATTTTGTCAGAAACTAGGATTGCAACTGCTACTTTTTTTCTGCTTTCCATTTGTTTGGTAAATTTTCCTCCATCCCTTTATTTTGAGCCTATGTGTGTCTTTGCACGAGAGGTGGGTCTTTTGAATACATCATGCTGATGAGTCTTGACTCTTTATCCAGCTTGCCATTCTGTGTCTCTTACTTGGGGCATTTAGCCCATTTACATTTAAGGTTAATATTGTTATGTGTGAATTCGATCCTGTCATGATGATGCTAGCTGGTTATTTTATAGACTTGATATAGTTGCTTCATAGTCTTTGTACTTTGTACTTTCTTTATTGGTCTTTGTACTTTACTGTGTTTTTGTAGTGGCTGGTAATGTTTTTTCCTTTTCACATTTAGTGCTTCCTTCAGGAGCTCTTGAAAGGCAGGCCTGGGAGTGACAAATTCCCTTAGCATTTGCTTGTCTGAAAGGATTTTATTTCTTCTTTGCTTATGAAATTTAGTTTCTTCAAATTCTGAGCTGGAAATTCTTTTCTTTAAGAATGTTAAATATTGGCCCCCAATCTCTTTTGGCTTGTAGGGTTTCTGCTGAGAGATCCACTGTTAGTCTGATGGGCTTCCCTTTGTAGGTGACCCGGCCTTTCTCTCTGGCTGACCTTAACATTTTTTTCATTCTGATGTTGAAGAACCTGATGACTATATGTCTTGGGGTTGATCTTCTCATGGAGTGTCTTACTGGGGTTCTCTGTACTTCCTGAATTTGAATGTTGGCTTGTCTTTCTAGGTTGGGGAAGTCCTCCTGGATGATATCCTGAAGTATGTTTTTCAACTAGTTTCCATTCTTCCTGTCTCTTTCAGGTACCCCAATCAGTAGCAGGTTTGGTCTTTTTACATAATCCCATCATTCTTGGAGGTTTTGTTTATTCCTTTTCATTCTTTTTTTTCCTAATCTTGTCTGGCTGTTTTATTTCAGCAGGGTAGTCTTCAAGCTCTGAAATTCTTTCCTCTACTTGGTCTATTCAGTTGTTGATACTTATGGTTGCATTGTGAAGTTCTCGTGTTGTGTTTTTCAGCTCCATCAAGTCATTTATATTCCTCTCTAAACTGGTGAACAGCTCCTGTAACGTTTTATCATGGTCCTTAGCTTCTTTGCATTGGGTTAGAACATGTTCCTTTAGCTCATCGAAGTTTGTTATTATCTACCTTCTGAAGTCTGCTTCTGTCAATTCATCCATCTCAGTCTCTTCCCAGTTCTGTGCCCTTGCTGGAGAGGTGTTGCAATCATTTGGAGGAGAAGAGGCACTCTGGCTTTTTGAGTTTTCAGGGTTTTTTGTTAATTCTTTCTCATCTTCATGAGTTTATGTAGTTTCAATCTTTGAGGCTGCTGTCCTTTGGATGGGGTTTTGGTGGGAACTTTTGGAGCTGTTGTGGTTGTTGCTTTCTGCTTGTTTGTTTTTCTTTCAACAGTCAGGCCCCTCTTCTGTAGGGCTGCTACAATTTGCTGGGGGTCCACTCTGACCCTATTTGCCTGGGTCCTTCTCGCACCTGGAAGTGTTACCAGTGGAGGCTGCAGAACAGTAAAGATGGCTGCCTGCTCCTTCCTCTGGGATCTCCATCCCAGAGGGGCACTGACCTGATGCCAGCAGTGGGAATGTGAAGTGTATAAGCATTCCCTTTTCTCTGAATCCTTGCCAACATCTGTTGTTTTTAGACTTTTTAGTAATAGCTGTTCTTCCTGGTATAAGATGGTGTTGCTTATGGTTTTAATTTGCATTTCTGTGATAATTAGTGATGTTGAGCACTTTTTCATGTGTTTCTTGGCTACTTGTATGTTTTCTTTTGAAAACAGGCAAAGATTTCTTGGATAAGACCTCAAAAACACAGGCAACTAAAGCAAAATATACAAATGGGATTACAAAATAAAATAGAACTACCATAAGATTCAGCAATCCCACTGCTGGGTATATAGGTATATATCTAACAGATAGGAAATCAGTATATCAAAGTATATCTGCACTCCCATGTTTATTGCAGTACTATTCATTCATAATAACCAAGATGTAACATCAACCTAAGTCTTCATCAACCTAAGTGTTACATTCCCACTGTTGGTGGGAATATAAATTAGTACAACCTTTATGGAAAACAGTATGGAGATTTCCCAAAGAACTCAAAATAGAACTACCATATGATCCAGCAATCTCCCTGCTGGGTATATACCCAAAGGGAAGGAAATCACTATATCAAGAATATACCTGCACTCATATGTTTACTCACAATAGCAAGGATATGGAATCAACCTAAGTGTCCTTAAGTGGAGGACTGGATAAAGACAATGTGGTATATACATATACTCCATGGAATACTACTCAGCCACAAGAAAGAATAAAATCATGTCTTTTGCACCAACATAGATAGAACCGGGTGACATTATCCTAAATGAAATAATTCAAAAACAGAAAGTCAAATACTGCATGTTCTCACTTATAAATGGGAGCTAAACATTGGTACATATGAACATACAGAGTGGAATAATAGACATTGGAGACTCCAAAGGTGAGAAGTGGGAAGCGGGAGTGAAGGTTGAAAGGGTTGAAAAATTACCTACTGGGTACAATGATCAGTATTTGGGTGATAGGTAAACTAAAAGCTTGGATTTTACTACTGTGCAATATATGCATGTTAAGAAACAGGTACTTGTACCCCTCAAATATACAAAAATTTAAAAAAGGGAAAATATTCTTAGGACTAAGTGTAAGTACTTAAAAACTTAAAGTACTGTGAAGAAAGTATAAGAGTAAATGTTTGTGATCTTGCATTCGAAATTACTTTTAGATATGACACCAATCACAAGCAACAAACGATAAAATTATTTTTAGATATGACACCAAAATTTCAAGCAACAGAAGAAAAAAACTTCATAAATTGGACTTCATCAAAATAAAAATCTTCTGTGTTTCATCTACAAACTCGGTTCAGTGTATACTGTTCAGGTGATGGGTACACCAAAAACAAACAAACAAAAAAACTCACAAATCACCACTAAAGAACTTTCTCATATAACCAAATGTCACCTGTTCCCCAAAAACCTATGGAAATAAAACATTTAAAAAAGTAAAAAGGCAAATCAAATGCAAACAAAAATCACAATGAGATACCACTTCAAGCCCACTATGAAGGCTACAACTAAAATAATAAAAGTTTTGGTGAGGATTAGAAGAAATTGGGACCTTTCTCCATTACTGGAATGTAAGAAGGAGCAGCAATTTTTGAAACCAGTTTAATAGTTGTAAAAATGTTGAATAGAATTACTCTGTGACTCCGGAATTGCACATACATGTATACACACACACACACACATATATATAGCACATGTGCATATATATTTTGTATATGTATGAAATAAAAAATACGTTCACAAAAATATTCATAGAAGCATTATTTATTCACAAGAGCCAAAATATGTAAACAATCCAATTTCCGGGAGCTGATGAATGAATTCAAAATGTGGCAGATTATCAGAAGACTGACGCTACAAAACTTCAACACTTACCATAAAGCTGCAGTCATCAAGACAGTGTGGCGTTGGTGAAAGAATGGACAAATACATTAACAGAACAGAATAGACATCACAGAAATAGACTCACAAATATAGCTAATTGATATTTGACAAAGGAGCAATGGCAATTTAATGGGAAAGGATATACTTTTCAACAAGGGGTGCTGGAACAGTTGGACATCCACATTAAAAAAAAAAAAAGAAATGCATGCACAGACTTTACACCTTTTAGAAAAATTAACTGATAGCTCTAAGACTCCTAGAAGATAATATAGAAGAAACTCTAGGTGACTTTTAGTTTGGTGATGACTTTTTAGATACAACACTAAAAGCATGATCCATGGAAAAAAGTAATATATTGGACTTCATTAAAAATAATAACATCTGCTCTGCAAAAAGTATTGTTAAAGGAATGAAAAGATAAACCACAGAGTAGCAGAAAATATTTGTAAAATGCCTATCTGATAAAGGACTGATATCCAAAGTACACAAAGAACTCTTAAAACTTATTAATAACAATAAGAAAGCAAACAATAAAATTGAAAAATGGGCAAAAGATCTGAACTCACCTCACAGAAGAAGATAGATAGAAGTCAAATAAGCATATGAAAAGAGGCTTAACATTATGTATCATTAGAGAATTGATTGCAAATTAAAAGGAGATACTACTACACATCTATTAGATTGTTAAAAGCCAAGGCACTGAAATCACCAAATGCTGGTGAGAATGTGGAACAACAGGAACTCTCATTCATTGTTGGTGGGAATGCGTAATGGTGCAGCCATTTTGAAAGCTGGTTTGGCAGGTTCCTACAAAATAAACGTACTCAAACCATATGATTCAGCAATCTTCTTCTCCAAATGTTTTGAAAATGTCTGTGGATATAAAAATTTGCATATGAATGTGTATGTCAGCTTTACTGATAATTATTCAAAATGTGGAAGCAATCAAGATGTCCTTTAGTAGGTGAATGTATAAACAAACTTTAGTGCATCCATACAATCGAATACTATTCAGTAATAAAAAGAAATGAGCTATCAAGCCACAAAAAAGTATAGAGTAACCATAAATGTATATTGATAAGATACAAAGGCCAATCTGAAAAGGCACATTCTTTATTAGCCCAACTGTACATCCTTCTGTAAAACGCACAACTACAGAGATAGTAAAAAGCTGAGTGAATGCCAGGGAGTTGGGTGGAGGGAGGAGGAATAAATAGAGCATAAGGGACTTTTAAGATAGTGCTCTATGATACTGCAACACTAGATACATTTGTCAAAACACAGATTATACAACACAAAGAGAGAACCTTAATGTAAACTATGGATTTTAGTTAATAATAATGTCAATATTGGCTCATCAAATGCAAGAAATATACCATATTAATGCAAGATGTTAATAATAGGAGAAACTGGCAGGGATTGGGTGCATATGGGAACTCTCTGAACTTTATGTTCAATTTTTCTGTTAATCTAAAACTGCTGAAAAAATAAAGTCTATTAATTGTTTTTTAAAAAGAAAAAAAAGCCTTGCCCAGTGTCCTGTTGCATTTTGCGATTTTTTTTTCTAGTAGTTTCATAGTTTCAGGTCTTACAGTTAAGGCTTTAATCCCTTATAAGGTAGAGACTGTCCTTCCCCCAATGTAAGTTCTTGGTGCCTTTGTCAAAAATGAGTTGGCTGTAAGTATGTATATTTATTTCTGGACTCTCTATTCTATTCCATTGCTCTATAGTTTTGTTTTTATGCCAGTAGTATAAAACATACTACTGGCATAAAAACAGTAGTTTTTATGGAATTTGGATTACCATACCCTTGTAGTAAAATTTGAAATCAGAGCGGTGATTCCAGCTTTGTGCTTTTTGCTCAAGATTGCTTTAGTTATTACAAATCTTCTGTGGTTCCATACAAATTTTTAAATTGTGTTTTCTATTTCTGTGAAGAATGTCATTAGTATTTTGATAGGGAGTACATTGAATCTGTAGATTGCTTTGGGTAATATGGACATTTTATGTATTATTTCTTCCAATCCATAAGCATGGGATATCCTTCCTTTTTTTGGTGACCTCTTTAATTTGTTTCATCAGTGTTTTATAGTTTTCTTTGTAGAGATCTTCCACTTTTTTGGTTAAATTTATTCCTAGGCATTTTATTTCATTTTTGGTAGCTATTGCAAATGGGATTCCTTTATTGACTTCTATTTTAGATTGATTGCTGTTAGTGTACAGAAACACTACTGATTTTGTATGTTGATTTGTATACTGTGACTTTAATGAATTTGTTTATCCATTCTAATAATTTTCTAGTGGAGTCTTAAGGTTTTACTTAGTCTATTTTATCAGATATAAGTACAGCTACTCTGCTCTTTTTTGGTTTCCATTTGCATGGAATATTTTTTCTATCCTTTCACTTTCAGCCTGTGTGTATCTTTATAGGTGAAGTGAGTTTCTTGTAGGCAGCATATGGTTGGATCTTATTTTTAATCCACTCAGCCACCTCTGTCTTTTAAATAGAGAATTTAGTTCGTTTATATTCGAGTTATTATTGACAGGTAAGAACTTACTACTCCCATTTGTTGCTTATTTTCTAGTTGTTTTGTAATTTCTTCCTTTTTTTCTTTCTTCCTTTCTTTTGTTCTGGCTAGGCGTTTTTCTCTAGTAGTACATTTTAATTTACTGCTTTTTATTGTTAGTGTATCTGTTATAGGTTTTTGCTTAGTGATTACCATGAGCTTACAAAAACATTCTATAGTTATAACAAATACTTAAAACTAATACCAACTTAACTATAATTGCAAAAAAGGAAAACAAACAAACCAAGAAAAAACTCTGCACACATTAGCGCTTTTCTGCCCCTAGATTTTAAAATTTTGGTATCACAATTTGCATTTTTTATATTGCCTAACCCTTAACAAATTGTTGTAATTATCATTCTTAATAGTTTCATCTTTTAGTCTTCTTACTAAAGATATAAGTGGTTTAAACAGCAAAGTACAATATCTGTATAACAATCACATTGGCATCCTTTTCTTTTGGTTTGAAGAAACTCTAACTCTTAACAAATTGTTGTAATTAAAATTTTATTAGTTTCATCTTTTAGTCTTCTTACTAACGATATAAGTGGTTTAAACACCACAAGTACAATAACAATCACATTGATATCCTTTTCTTTTGGTTTGAAGAACTCCATTTATCATTACTTGTAGGACAGATCTGGTAGTGATAAATTCCCTCAACTTTTGTTTATGTGGGAAATTCTTTATCTTTCCTTCATTTTCGCAGGATAATCTTGCTGAATGCAGTATTCTTGGTTGGCATTTTTTTTCCTTCAGTACTCTGAATATATCATCTCACTTCCTCCTGGACTGTAGGATTTCTGCTGAGAAGTTTGCTGCCAGTCATATTAGATCTCCATTACATGTTATTTGCTTCTTTTCTCTTGTTGCTTTCAGGATCCTTTTTTCGTCTGTGGCTTTTGTGAATTTGTTATTCTTCTTTGGGTTGAATCTGATCAGTGACTTTTGGCTTTCATGTATCTTGATATTTATATCTTTCTCCATTCGGAACATTTTATTATATGTTTGAATCAGATTTCTACACCTTTTTTTTTTCTCAGTTCTCTCTTGAATTCCAATAACATGAATATTTACTCTTTAGATGTTGTCCCATAGATCTTGTAAGCTTTGCTCATTCTTTTTCAGTTTTTCCTGTTTTTGTCTTCTGTGTATTTTCAAATAGTCTGTCTTTGAGCTCACTGATTCTTTCTTCTACTTGATCAATTCTGCTTTTGATGATCTCTAGTGCATTTTCCGTTCTATTCGTTGTATTTTTCAGCTGCAGGATTGCTGCTTGACTTTCAAAAATTATTTCAATCTCTCTGTTAAATTGCTTTGATAAGTTTTTGCATTGATTTTCTGTGATTTTTGAAGTTTGTTGAGCTTCCTTAAAACAGTTATTTTGATTCTTTGAGAGATCACACATCTCCATTACTTTACGGTTAGGCACCTTATTTTGTCTGCTTGTTGAGATCATATTTCTCTCAATGTTCTTGATGCTTGTGGAAGTATGACAATGTCTGTGCATTGAGAGATGAGGTATGTACTTCAGTCTTCTCAGTCTGTTTTACCTGTCCTACTTCAGAGAGACTTTCAGAGATTCTAAGCAGACTAATTGTTGTGTTCCTTGAGTCTGTGACCACTGCAGCCATCTCACCAGTAGGGGACCCTCTAAGCCTAGGCTTGCCTTAAGTCTCTCAAGAGCTCCAAGATTGCCACAGATTTCCACCCCAGATGGATCTGGGGAAGATCCAAGGAGGATATGGGGGCTGTGTGGGGATTCTGGCCAAGAACCTCCAGAAGACAGTCTAGAAGACTGTCCCAGTGTCCCAGCTGATCATGCCTCCCAGCAGACCGTTCCATGACTCCCAGCAGCAGTAACTGGGGTTGGAGTGGAGACTTGGTGTCTTTGGGATCTGCTGTGGAGAGAAGGCTGGTGGGCCCATCTTCTTGGCTCATATGGGCATGTGTCACCCAGCAGGTCACTCACAAGTGGGGTAAATTCTTGACTGCAATAGGAGAAGCTGAAGATAGGACTGGGTATCTTGGGATCTGCTCTGGGATGGAGGCTGGTGTGCCTGTCACACTCGCTCAGACAGACCATTTTCTGATATTCTTCATTGGATATTTTAAAGTTGGAATTCATTTGGATAAATGAATACCTATTTATCCAAAGGAAATAATAGTTCAAAACTAAAACTACCTATGATACAAATTAAATAATGACTCTGGTGATCGTGAAAATACAGAGTTAGAGGAGATTTTTATATAAAACCTGTGAAGCTTGTATTTTCTGTATTGTATTTGTTGCTACAATAGTTACTTATTGCCTGAGATTTCTTCTGAGATGCCAGTTATCTTAAGCCTGTGTATCTTTCTGGTGGTTCTCTGGAGAGAGGTTGAGATTGCTTTTTCCTTTTAAATAGTCAGTACTTGAGTGGTATGGAGGAGCTGCACACAGACATGTACACTTTGGAGCCAATTCAAATATTAGAGCCAAAAGTCAAAAGAGAAAAGGTAAACAAACTTTAAAATGTGAGGGCAAGAGTGTAAATCAGACAAATGATTTGGTATGAAGAATATATAGCATGGTGCATCAAATTTAGAGAAGATAAACATAATTAGTAGAACTAGAGGTAAACTGGAAGTGTTGACATGAACTCTCACTGTCTGAAAAAAAGAGATAATTTCTTTACTGCTGTCACTAAACTACCTCATATGATCATGTGAAATAATGAAATATACATCTTTAGTAAACATATTCAGGCCTCTGCTACCATTTTCCAAAAAATGTTCTTTGCAGAAAAGCTGTTATAAGAACTCAAGATGAGCTAAGCTATAACAAGAACTCAAGATGAGCTAAGCTATAACAAGATGAGCTTAAAAAAGTAAATAATGACTGTGATCAATTACAAGTTATGAAAGACCATATGTCCATGGTAATGCTCAAATGAGACAAATAATATGAATTGTTCTGATATGAGTCAATTGATTGATATAAGCTTATAGAAATTATAAATATCCAAGCCATGGTGGTGGAAGTGTGTTCACATCCGGGGTGGGAGTGTGGGCTATGAAGGCATAAATTGGTCTTGATGGTTCTCAGTTCATACCATCGAAATTACCCAGATAAAGGGATACTAAATCAGTGCCAGGAGTTCTCTGGGAGAAATTGCTTTTTTGGATGTTGAAAAGCAGTAGGCAGAGATAATGTTAAGGAACACATGGACAATGCCTCAGATTTTTCCTCCATATGGAACTGTGTCCTCGCTGACAATGAGTTTGGTTTGAGAGGAAGGAAGGTCCTGTACATCTTAAATGTTTCCTTTAGGAGTGTAGATTATAAGTTCTTCCTGAATAGTATACTTAGAAGTTTTCCTTCTGTATTCTATATCTTTTCTATATTTCCAATCTCTTCCTTTCCACTGGTTATTTCTCCTTAGCCTGTAAGCATATTAAAACCTCTACTCTCCTATAAACAAAAAGCAAGCAAACAAAACCAAAACAAACAACAAAAATACCACATGCCAACCAGAAGCAATGTCCACAGATCAAAACTCCTAATCCCCCTCAACTGCACATGTTCATATTTCCTCTCATCTGAACGTTTTGCCTCATAAAATTTGGGTGGTGCCACTTTATCAAAAATTTAATTCTAACTTTGGGGAATGTCATTTTATGAAAATTTTAATTCTAACTTAGAAAAACCTCATAAACTTGTAACAATGTTTTATAAAGACAGTATACTTATTCACGTATTTATCTTTTTTTGCCTTCTTGGTCTCAGACCATCTTTCTAGGGTTATTTTTCTTTTTCTTTTTCTTACTTATAATTGTGGTAAAATACATATAACATAAAATTTACTACCTTAACCATTTTTAAGTATGCAGTCGGCTAAAATTTGTTGTAATGTCCCTTCTTTAACTTCTAGTTTTGAGTCCACTCTCTTTTTTTGGTCGATGTAGCTAAAGTTTTTCCAATTTAAAAAAATCTTTCCAAAGAACCAGCTCTTGATTTCATTGATTTTTTCTATTTTTTTTCTATTTTCTATTTTGTCTATCTGCCCTAATCTTTATTATTTCCTTCCTTCTGCTAACTTTGGATTTAGTTTGCTCTTTTTCTCTTTCCTTAATGTGTAAAGTTAAGTTGTTGATTTGAAGTCTTTTTTCTTTTTTAATATTCACTTTTACAGCTATAATTTTCCCCCTTAGCATTGATTTTGCTGCATCCTACATATTTTCATATGTTGTGTTTTCAGTGTCATTTGCCTCAAGATATTTTCTAATTTTCCTTGTGATTTCTTTTTTGACCCACTGTTGTTTAAGAGTGTGCTATTTAATTTCCACAAGTTTGTGCATTTCCAGTATTCTTTCTGCTACTGATTTTATTCAATTGTGATCAGAAAAGATACTTTGTATGACCTCAATATTTTAAAATTTATTAAAGTTTGTTTTGTGGCCTAACATATGGTCTATCCTGGGAAATAATCCATGTGCTCTTGAGAAAAGTGTGTATTCTGCTATTGGTGGGTGGAGTGTTCTGTATATGTTTGTTAGGCCCACCTGGTCTATGGTGTTGTTCAAGTCCTCTATTTCCTTATTGATCTTCTGTCTTATTGTTCCCTTTCCACTGTTTTAAGAGTGCAATTCACTGGCATTTAGTACATTTCCAATGCCATGCAACTAGCACCACTATCTAGTTCCAGAATGCTTTTTTTCATCCCAAACAGAAACTCTGTGTCTATAAAGCCATCTTTATCATTCTCCCTAGACCTTGGTGACTACTATTCTACCTCTGTCTTTATAAATTTGCCTATTCTATGTATATAATATAAGTGAAATCATACTTCATCTGTCCTTTTGGGTCTGGCTTATTTCACTTAGTATAATATTTTAAAGGTTTACATACACTGTAGCATATATTAGAATTTCACTTTTTTTAAGGTTACAGTATTATTCCATTGTATGAATATACTGCTTTTGTTTATCCATTCATCTCTTGATAGACATTTGGGTTGTTCACATCTTTTGATTATTGTGAATAATGCTGCTATGAACATTGGTGTGCAAGTATCTGTTTGAGTCCTGATTTTAATTCTTTAGGGCATATGCCTGGGAGTGAAATTGCTGGATCATATAATGATTCTATGTCTAACTTTATGAGGAACTACCACACCGTTTTCTATAGTGTCTGCACCATAGTGCTTGCATTCCCACTAATAGTGCATAAATGTTCCAATTTCTTCATATGCTTGCTTGCCGACTCCTGTTATTTTCTGTTTTTGGTTTGTTTGTTTGTTTCTAACAACTATCCTAATGTGTTGAAGTGGTATCTCATTGTGGTTTTGATTTGCATTTCTTTAAAAGGGAGTGATGTTGAGTGTCTTTTCATGTTTAGTCCCCTTTTAAATTGTTGTCATTTGTTTTTCTTTTACATATGTTATGAACATCATAATACATTGTTAATGTTTTTCTTTAAGCAGTCAGTTATCCTTTAAGGGGATTAGGAAATAAAAAGAAAAAAGTTAGATTTACTGTATCTGGCATTCTTTGTTCCTTTGTGTAGATAAAATTTCCGTCTGATGTCATTGTCCTCCTGTCTGAAGATGTACCTCTAACATTTCTTGTGGTGAAAGTCTCTCAGCTTTTTGTTTCTCTGAAAAAGTCTTTATTTGCCTTCATTTTTGATATTGTTGCTGGGTATAAAAATGTAGATTGGCAGTTTTTTTTCTTTTTATGTTTAAATACTATTATTCACTTTTCTTAGGGCTTGGGTGGTTTTAATGAGGAATCTATTTTTTCCATTTTTCCTTCTCTGTATGTAACATCTCCTCCTGCCTCCCTGGCCACTTTTAAGCTTTTCTCCTTATCCTTGGCTCTCAGATGTTTAACTATGCTGTTCATTGGTGTGGTTCTTGGCATATTTATTCTTCTTAGGCTTTTAAAAACTTCTTGAGTGTGTAGATTTATTATTCTCATCAATTGTAGAAATATTTTGGCTATTATTTTCTCAAGTAGTTTTTTTGTGGGGGAGTTCTTTCCCTCTTCTTTCTTTCTCAGACTTAAATTACACAAATTTTAGTCTGCTTGGTATTTTTCCATTGGCTACTTGCTCTGTTATTTTTCCCTTTTGCCTTCCATGCTTCATTTTGGCTGTTTTTCCTATATTATCTAATCTGCTGTTAATCTGATTCAGTGCGTTTTTTATTTCAGCTACTGATTTTTTAAATCACTAGAGGTTAAATTCAGGTCTTCTTTTATGTTTTAGAAAGTGTTGGACTCTTTTTTTTCTGTCATATAGTTAGGTTACTTGGGGGTTCAATTATTTTGAAGCTTAGTTTTAAGTTTTATTAGTTTGAGTTCAGAGTAGTCTTTAGTCTAGAATTAGCTTCACAACAAAGGCTACCTTTGAATTCCCTGTTGTACACTTTTTCTGATGCTCCATGTATTATGAGGCATCATGTTTTTCTCCACTCTGACAGGTGAGAACATGAACTAGTTAAAATTCACTGTGAGCTCCAGAAATTGTTTGGCCAACTGCTTTACACATAGAGTTTCAGACCATGCATGTGCATATCCCTATTCAGCTAAATATTTGAGGACTCCCATGTGTGGATCCCTGGTGCTCTCTTTCTGTGCAGTCGTCCTCTTTCTAGTGTTCTTTCACATATGTTCTAGCTACTTCACCTCCCTGAACTCCAGTCTTACTCTCCTCAATTCAGAGAGAATGTTGGGCTTTGTTTAGGTCTCCTTCTCTGCTCTGTGGCCTGGAAACTTCCACAAAGCAATGATCTGAGATAATTATAGGACTCATTTCATTTGTTTTTATTTTCTCAAGGATCACTGCCCTGTGCTGCATATTGTCAAATGTCTGCAAACCATTGTTTCATGTACTTTGTCCAATTTTCTAGTTGTTTAAGGATGAATCTAGACTCAGCTATTACATCTTAAATGGAAGTGGAAGTTCTCATCTAAACTTTTAGAACAATATTTTATTGCTATTTTGGGGGTAAAATATTTATATTTTCTTTTTTAAACTAAATTTTCCTCAGCTCTTAAAAAAATAAACTTTATTATTTAGAGAAGTTTAAGGTTCCCAGCAAACATGAGAGGAAGGTAGAGAGATTT
The DNA here is from genome assembly GCF_000001405.40 of Homo sapiens. Taxonomy (NCBI): domain Eukaryota; kingdom Metazoa; phylum Chordata; class Mammalia; order Primates; family Hominidae; genus Homo; species Homo sapiens. The sequence goes on from NC_000011.10 coordinate 112,446,180, forward strand.
CTCATATGCCCCCTACCCGTACAACACATGCATAGCCTCCCCCTATTATCAGCATCCCCACTAGCCCTCACCAGAGTGGTACATTTGTTACAGTTTATGAACGTACATTGACACATCATTATCACCCAAAGTCCATAGTTTATATTAGGGCTCACTCTTGGTGTTGTACATGCTATGGGTTTTGGCAAATGTACAATGACATGTATTATTATAGTATTGTATGAAGTATTTCCTCTGTCTTAAAAATACTTGCTCTGCCTATTCATTTCTCTTTCCCCATAACCCTTGGCAATTACTGATCTTTTTATTGTCTCCATAGTTTTGCCTTTTCCAGAATGTGATATAGTTGGAATCATACAATATGCAGCCTTTTCAGATTGGCTTCCTTCATTTAGTAATATGCATTTAAGTTTCTTCCATGTGTTTTCATGGAAAAAATAGATAAGGAATGGATAATTCATTTCTTTTTAGCACTGAATAATATTCCATTATTTGGATGTGCCACAGTTTACCCATTTATCTACTGAAGGACATCTTGGTTGACTCCAAATTTTGGCAATTATGAATAAAGCTGCTATTAACATCCATGTATAGGTTTTTGTATGGATATAAGTTTTCAACTTCTCTGGGTAAATACCCAGGATTATTATTGCTGGATTGTATGGTAAGAGTATGCTTAGTTTTCTAAGAAACTGTCAAACTGTCTCCCAAAGTGGCTATACCATTTTGGATACCTACCAGCAATGAATGAGAATTCCTGTTGCTCCACATCCTCACTGGCATTTGATATTGTCAATGTTCTCAATTTTGGCTATTCAAGTAGGTATATAGTGGTATCTCAGTGTTGTTTTCAAGTCTTAAACAATTTTTTTTAGTAAATATTAAAAACCCAGAAATATAGAAACCAATGTTACAAATCCCTATATATACTATAATTGAGTATTGTTAATTTGTTTCACATCTTTTTTAAAATAATAATGATATTAAATATATAATAAATAGATTTTCTATGTATCAGGCATTATTCTAGATGTTTTACATATATGGGCTTACTTAATCTTCCCAAAAATGTATCATTTCAGTGTAAGGAATGATACTGTTGTACAAATGAGGCAAATGAATAATACAGTAGTTAAGTAGTATGCCCAAGTGTACAGGATCTCTGGGGTGTCAGTTTTCTGGTGGGAAACCTCTACGTGGCCCTTTGTCCGAGTTCTTTTCCTGCATCCAAGAAGAATGAGGTATGCAGACAAATGAAGGGTGAACAAGATGAAGATGAGCTTTACTGAGTGTTAGAACAGCTCAGAGGAGACCCGCAGTGGGTAGCTCCTCTGTAGGCAGGTCATCCATTGAGTGTTAGTTATAAGCAGAGAGTAAGCCCTGGAGAGGGTAGCTCCACTCTGCTACTGCTCTTCCTGATGTCAGCTCCCTGTGGAAAGGAGGCCCTGGAGAGGGTGGCTCCTCTCTGCCACAAGTCTGCAGCTCTCAGCAGAGACAGTAGCTCCTCTCTGCAGTTGGTTGTCCCATCATCTCCAGCTATCAGCAGAGAGGTTACTCTCAGCAGAGAGGGTACTCCTCTCTGCAGCTGGTCATTAGGTGGTCTCTCTGTCCTCTCCATCCTCTGGTCATCGTCTGCCTTGCTCTGGCTGAGCCCAGGCCTTTTATGGATGTCAGAGGGGAGGAAGTGCCTGCTGATTGGTCCATGGGCAGCCATGGCAGGTCTGGAAAAGGCAACACAAGTCCCCATTCCAGTCGGAGGGACTGGCAGCCTGGCCTCCAGCCTTCAAGCCCTCCTTGGTCTGAAGGTGGGGGCCTTACTGGGGACCCACCCCCTTCCACCCCAGACTGTGTCTAGCAGAGAGAGGCCAGGCAGTGGGAGCAGACACCCCTGAGCCTGCAGGGACAGGCAGGGGGCCTTCCCCACCCCCAAGGGTGCAGGCTGCAGAGACGCCTGGGTCCTGCACCTGGGAAGGCAGCTGCAGCTGCACCCAGGAAGCTTCTGCCCCACCAACTAGGAAGGAATGGGGTTCCTGCTTGTCCCCAGCTCCTGCCCACTCCCTCATGGAGTGGAAGGCCCAGGTCTGCAGCAGCAGGTCAGGCAGTTGCAACTGCACCCAGGCAGACAGATCCTGCCTGCTCCTGGCCCCCTTCAAGAGCACAGGGAGACCTGGATCCACAGCTGCAGCTTGGGTGGCCGTAGCCCCGCGCAGGAGGGCAGGGCTCCCACCAGCTCCATGGAGTGTGCAGCCCCAGCCGCCCCTCCCTGCTGCAGCTAGCATAATGGCAGCAGCCACTGCCATCACAATGTAATGCAACTAGTAAATGGAGGAGGGATATGAATCCAGGGAGTCTGGCTGCAGAATTGAGCTAATAACCACTACACTATACTGTTTCTCATAATTATTGAGACAGATCAAGTAGGAATTCTCTGTTCTTGATCCCAGTCCTTTTTTCCTTATTCCTAGGCACATAAAATGATGAAACTTTTTTATCCTTTTAGTTCATTTTAACACTTTTATCTTCATTTACAACATATTAATAAATAATGGGTAGGATTTTTGTGTTTTAAAACTTACATAAAAGGTATCACATCCTACATATAATTCTATGGCTGGCTTTTAAACCATATTTTATTTTTGAAGATATAATTCATGTTGAGACATATATAATTGTATTTTTGTTTGCTTAGTTGTCTGTTACATATTGCTAATTCTAGCTAAACACTCTAAAAAATTGCAAAATCCATTTCCGGTAGTCAAGCACATCAGGGAATCTCCCCCTGTTTGTTCCCCCTTTCCCAGGGCTGTGCCTTCTCCTGCTCCCTTTTGTACTAGTTGCTCTCCAGCTAGTCTTTCCCTTTGACTCCCTCCTGTGCAGGATTCTCTGTTTCTTTGATCTTGTGGATTTCCTTTTTTTTGGTTTGCTTTCTCTTTTTGATGGATATTTTCTCTGGTTACTTCCTAAGAAAGGGTGCATGGAAAGTAAATTTTTTGAAACTGAGCTTTCTGTAATTATCTTTATTCTACTCTTTATTTCACACTTGCTTGATAATTTGTCTGAGTATAGGTTCTAGACTGAGATCATTTTCTCCCTGACTTGTGAAGACATTGTTCTGATGTGTTCTAGCTGACAGTGGAGCTGATTGTAGATAGGTTATATGTGAGCTATTTTTGTTTTCCCTCCATGTAGGCTTTTGACGGTTTTTCTTTAGCCTTGGTGTTCTAAAATTTCAAAATGAATGTGCGTTGATATAGGTTTTTTTTTTTTTAATTTTTAACCTTGCTAGACACAGGTTGCAACATTTAATTCTGGAAACTCCTTTCCTTCATTTTTCGAAATTTAAAAATGTTATTTTTAAAAAATCATTTTCTCCCCTCTGCCTTTCTGTTCTTTCTTTCTGATTATTTCATTGTTGAACTTCCTAGACTGATCTTACCTCTTTTCTCCTATTTTTTATTTCTCTATCTTTTTGTTCAGTTTTCTGTGACATGCCCTCAACTTTATCTTTCACCCTTTCTATTGACTTTCTCTTATTTCAGTTACTACAGTTTTTAAAAATTTCAAGACCTTTTAATTATTCTCTGAATGTTCCTTTTTATAACAACCTATTTTTGTCTGTTCTTCTGTCATGAATATAATCTTCTCTTATTTCTCAGAGAATATTACAGTTAAAAAAATTTTCTCCTCCTCTTTCGATTGTCTCTATTTTCATTTTCTGGTTGGTTTGGTCTCCTTTTTTATTCTGCGGATTTTCTTAAAAGGTTTTGGTGTCCTTGGTTGACCTTTCCTATTTAAGAGCAAGGCACTTGGATCTCCATTATGGGTGGTGCTTCACTGTGAGGTGGTCGAGCAGGGAACTTGCTGGTTTATTTAGAAACCCACAAATATCCATGTCTGTAGGTCTGTTCTCTTGGGACATTCAGCTTCCCCGGAGAATAATCTACCAATTTGGAATCTATTCACATAGGATTATAACTTGGAGCTAAGAAATGAAAGGAGGCTGCGAGTCTCACTTTCCTCAAATCCTGATTTTCATTAGGCATCTGTCTGTCACTCTTTTGTTGGCCTGGTCTCCTTCAATATGGAGCCTTTTTGGTTAGTGTAACCACAGAATGAACCACCTATCTCCTGCTGGATTGAGAAAGGGTTGTTGCTCAGCTTTGCAAGAGGTACTCCGGGATCTACTTTTTCACTTTTAGTTCATCTTTTCCATCCCCCAGGTCCACCCCTGCCCTCTGTAGCTCATGGTGCTATAGAGCATGGAGACATCCAGTGTCCTGTCCCATGGTTTGGCACTGGCACACACTTGCTACTCAGCGTTCTCAGGTCTGTGAATACCACCCCTTCTCCTTATCATCCATCAGCTAGTGTTATCACTCACCTTCCATTCTCTTTGTCCATGTGGGTTTATAGCACTTGTAATTCTTTATTCTCATTTCAGTGGTGTACTGGGAGCGAGAAGAGATCTATTTACACGTTTAAACAGCTGTGTTTAACTGATAGTTGGCATGACTGTTTCTATCCTTTTAGTTTTTAAACTTTTTTCCCCTCATTACCTACTTTATATGAAAAATGTAACTCATTTCAACCACAATACAAGCGTCCACCATTAGATGAGGAACTCAGTCCTAGTTCTTAGCTTTATGCAGGAAGGCAGTCAGCCTCTAGTTCTCTGCTGCCTTTTAGGTGTGTTTGGTTTCTATTCTTCCATAGGATTAAAATCTCAGCAGCCACATTTATGGTCCTGTTGCCCTGTTGACCTCATGACTCTAGTCCACTGCAGTTCAACTCCATTTTCACAGAAAAATGTAATCTTGTTTTTTGAAACATACACACATTTCCCCCTCTAGTTTAGAGTTTATAAAGGAGGAGGTCTCTTAAGATACTGGTTCTGCTACTTTGATCATTAGCCCTTCCTGTGACATTTTGGAAGCCCTGAACTTGCTGCAATTTATTTCAATCTTCCATCCTTACCTCTTAATTGAAAGTACTTTTTCTATAGTTTCTTGATTTCCAAACACAGGGGACTCTCTTTAGTTTTTGCCTCATGAACTTCCCTATTGCATTTGATACTTTGTATTGTGTCCTCCTGGAAACTATCGATTCTTTTGGCCTCTGTATGCTGTGTTTTCCCAGTGCCCCCTGTATACCTCTATATCTCCAAACAATCCTTCTGTGACTCATTTGGGACTCCCCTTTTCCATCTGCCACTGAAATATTGGTGTTCCCCTAGGGTTTCAACCTGAGACCTCTGCATTTCTCACTGTACACACTTGTGGTTGACCTCATCCGCAATCACCATTTTAGTTACTAACCAAATGCTGATGTGAATGAAATCTCCATCCTCCATCCATTGCCTTTGGGCAATCTCCAGACCTCTTGCCCAAATTTCAACTCTAAAGCAAACTCTGCTTGCCGTCGCTAACTGAAAGGCCTACAGTCATCTCAAATTCAAGATGCCCAAGGATAAACATGTCATCCGTCTTTCTAATCTTGGTGCTGCTCTTGGATTTTCTGTTGCAATTGATGAATTGTATTTGCCTGTTCATCCAAGCTAGAAACCTGGGAGTCATCCATTATTGAATCCTCTTTCTTCTCACCCTCCATAATCTAGTTATATTTTTAGATTGCCCAGGAACAGAGGCATGGTCAATTTAGCCCAAGTAACAGGAGCCTATTTGGGCAGAAAGGAAGACAGAGGTCTAATGGCAGTGAATCAGGCCTCATAAAAAGTACAAGTAGACCCAAGACAGCTCAAGAAACCTCAGGACTTGCAGTTTGTGGAGCTTCCTGGCCATTGATGTGACTCCAACATCTCTGCCATATTCACCCCTGACATTATTTTTCTTATTATTTTCCCACATCCTGTATCTTTCCCTACATCATAGATTATCTTCATAACTTTGGCTTGGTATGGCCTCTCATGATTCCAACCCTACTTCCTCCTTCACATAGCCTCAACTTGATCTCATTTGGGCCTCTTCTCCTCCTCTTCATAGACTGTTTTCTGTATGTTCAATCTTTTGGGTCTCTGGGATCTAGGTCACATTGCAGGGTACTTGTCAGCTTCCCTTACATCAGGTTCCCATTCCACTCCAAGCACCTGTAACAGGAGGAGAGGTTAACGTGAGATGAAATATGACCACTCCAGTTTGCCCCTGAATGGTCTAGACTGGACATTTATCTGTCACAGGGGAAGCTAGCATAGCAGGTACTATGATTGACAGGTTAGTATATTCCTTACTCAATATATCATCAAGTCCTATCAAATTTATCTTCTGAACAGTTTTCAAGCCTACATCCTTCTCTCCATTCTTAATCTCAATGTTTTGGTTCAAATTCTCATCTTCTTTTATCTGCCCGTGGTGCTAGCGTGGTGCTATCCCTACCTCTGGTCTTGTTCCTTCAAATATATCTTCTGCATAAGCAACAGACTGATGGAACCAAAACACAGCCCATGTCATTTCTCTGCTTAAAAACTTTTAATACCTTACTCCCTTATTACTCCTAGGAACAATTCCAATTTCTATGATTTGACTTTTCCTCTTTGTGATCTTCTTTTAGCAGCTTACTTCCTTTTTATCTGTTTCCTATCCTCTGTCTTATTCCTCCTCCGCTTCCTGCTCCTTCTTCCTGAATTGATCATATTTTCAGTTTTAAGTATACTTAAAATATCTCTGTATTTATTGAATACAATTTGTTACTTGTTTTTAACTAAAATATCTGATGAATTTAATTTCCATTTGTCCCTTAAAAGGAATCCAGAAAAGCTAATCACATTAAGTTGTTTTTCATTTCCACATGATTAATTTTTCTTCCCTGAGGGTCAGTGCTTCATCAACTGTTTTGGCTGATTGCAAAAGCATCATAATCATCTTCTGGAATTCAGTCTCACCCCAATCCAATCCATCTTCTCCATTTATTTTTCAGGAACATCTATCTGATCATGCGTCTCTCCTGTGTAAATACACAAGGCTTCTCTCAGGCCTACTCTCTGCAGCTTCCTCTCTCTCACATCAAATGCCCTCCATGTACTTTCTTCTATAGTCTCCCTGTGAAGGGGCCTCTTCATACCCCCAGCCCCAACCAGGCAGTGGGCTTTAGTCTGCAGGATGATATTATAGTTTCATTTAATCTTTTTTTTTTTTTTTGACATAGAATCTCTGTCACCCAGGCTAGAGTGCAATCATGGCTCACCGCAGCCTCATCCTCCCAGGCTCAAGTGATCCTCCCATCTCGGCCTCCAGAGTAGCTGGGACTATAGGCATGTGGCTAATTTTTTTTTATTTTTAGTAGAGATGAGGTTTCCCTATATTGCTCAGGCTGGTCTTGAACTCCTGGGCTTAAGCAATCCTCCTGCCTTGGCCTCCCAATGTGTTGGGATTATGGGCGTGAGCCACTGCACCCAGCCTACTATTCTATTTATTCTCCTAGAGAATATCACACTAATTTAGGTTTTGGGGCCAATTTCTGTGTGTCCATTTGATACAATCTAACTATTTGAAAAGTGAAAAATTCAGTTCTTTAATGTGCCGTTTTTCTTACTGCCACCAAGATACTGATTTAGCTGTTGGAATGCTGAGCCCAAACTCCTAGCCATTATGATACATGACCTCTGGGGGCAGAGTTGTGCTATTATCACTTTTACTTAGTCTCCTTCCCCTTGGCCCCTCTACTCCAGCAAACCTAGCCCTGTGCTCTCCCTGTAGGTGGTTAATAAATGCTGTGGGTGCAAGAGATTATTTTCTCCAAAGTACTTGGTTACCAGCTACCTATGTCAAGGAGTTAAAAGAGAAAGCCAAAATCAGGCCAGGTGCAGCGGCTCATGCCTATAATCCCAGTGCTTTGAGAGGCCTACATGGGCAGATCACTTGAACCCAGGAGTTCAAGAGTAGCCTGGGCAACATAGCAAGACCCTGTCTCTACCAAAGAAACATAAAAACTAACCTGGCATGGTGGCACCTGCCTGTAGTCCCAGCTACTCTGGAGGCTGGGGCAGGAGGATAGCTTGAGCCCAGGAGGTCAAGGCTACAGTGAACCATGATTGTTCCACTGCGCTCCAGCCTGGGCACACAGCAAGATCCTATCTCAAAATATATATATAGTGTAAATTTATTTTTAAGTCTATGTTTGTTTTAAATCTTTGTCTAAATAGCTAATTCAAGGGTCACTTGAGGCCAACCATGGTGGAGCTTAAAGCACACAACTGGGATTGGTGCCACCTGGAGGGAGATGGGGGTGGTGCATGAGGTGATGCATGGTGGATGACTTCAGTCCAGTGGCTTCTCATTAAGATCAGGCCAACGCCTCCCTGGCAGGCCATTTAGATCTTTAAAAATTGATATATAATAAACTGCACATATTTAAAATATGTGGAATTTGATATGTTTTGACATAGATATATACCTGGGAAACTGTCACCACCATCAAGATAATGAACTCACCTGTCACCCACCAAAGTTTCACTGTTCCCCTTTGTTATCTCTCCCCCCGCTGCTCCGTACTGCCCCACTCTCTCCCCAGGCAACAAATGATCTGCTTTTTGTCACTACTGGTTAAGTTTGCATTTTCTCGAGTTTCATATAAACTATAATATATAGTTGTTTGTGGGGAGGAATCTGGCTTCTTTTAGTCAGCATAATTATTTTGAGATTCATCCATGCTGTTACATGTTCATTCGTTCTTATTGCTGAGTTGTATCGAGTCCATTGTATGGCTCTGTCTCTATTCGATTAATCATTCACCTGTTGTTGGATATTTGGGTTGTTTGCAGTTTTGGACCACTACAAGTAAAGCTGCCATGAACATTCATGTACAACTTTTTGTGCTTTCATTTTCATTTCTCTTGTGTAAATACCTGGGCGTGACATGGATAGGTCATATAGTAGCTGTATGTTTAACTTTTACATTCCTGTCAGCAATGTGTGCTGGTTCCAGTTGCTCTACATCCCCACAACACTTGGTATGGTCAGTCTTACTGATTTTAGCCATTCTAATAGGTATGTAGTGGGCCATTTAGATTTTGAACTTAAAGAAAAATTCAGGTCCCATTCCAGGCCTACTGATTCATAACTTAGGGGGAGAGAGCTTGGGGTGTTGTATTTTTAGAAACAGAGATGGCTGATGGTCAGTCAGTTTGGGATGCCCCAACACTACATCACACTGGTTCCAACTTCTCTGAAGGGGCTCAGATAGGACCCTGACAGAAGTTGGGTGGGAAGGCAGGGAATGGAGACAGAAACCTTTTTCTTCAGGATGAAATGTGTCTAATTAGCTGAGCTTGTGTTGGATCAGCTATCATCGACCAGAGTCAAACCTGTCAGCTTAAAAAAGTCCCTAATTAGAGGAGAAAAACCTTGATTCACCTCCTCTGGAAGATCTGCTCCTATGTCATCGGAGGGAGTGATATTGTGCTGGGTCAGGCAGCACGGCTCAGTGGGGCCAACATCAGAGTCTGCAGAAGAGTCAAAATGGCACCGCAAATCCATTGCAGGAGTCTAGCCACAGTCAAACTCCTTTCCATTCTAAGGTGATAGATACAAGTAGAAAAGAGACAATGTAGAAGAAGTAGCCATGCTCAAAAACAAAGTACAACTTCTGTGGCTAGAAATGGTACAGAAACACACACAAAACAGTCACATGGCTGCTGCTGGAGGTCCACTGGGCTCCAGGACTAGTAGCAGGTTTAGGCAGCCAAGAGTTCATTTCTTGGCGGGTAAAGGGAGACACAGTGCTCCCACAAAAGAGAGTAGACTAGAGTTTGGTTTGCTGCTTATAGGAAGGGGCTAGGGTAGGGTTTTCCTGTCTGGGAAAGGGGCCAAAAGGAGTTGTTGCCAGGGCCAGCTTGTTGGAATTTGATCTAATACATATTGAGCATTTGCTATGTGTCATGCAGTATTCTAAGCTTCTTGTTTGGATTAATGTTCTTAATTCTCACAGTGCTATGAGGTAGATTCAATTACTATCATCATTTTAGAGATAAGACAAAGAAAGATTGTTATGTTTATTGCCTTAAACCAGACAGCGAGTAAGTACAGAGCAAGGGTTAACACCAAGGTGTATGGCTCCCCAGTCTGTGGGCTGGACCACCACCCCAGGGCCTCACAGTGAGTTGCAAGACAAGTGAAGTTGAAGGAAGCAGATACAGTCTTGCAGCTAGACTCTGAAAGAAGCCACATACTAGGGCAGTGCCAGGACCTGTGATCCCAGTAACATGGCAGGTCAAGAATGATCGATAGATGATGGATTCTGTTCTAGGGGCCCTACAGTCTGGCTGGAGGGCACCTGAAATATTTCAAGAGTGGGAGGAAGTTATAGAGCAAGAATAAGAGTGAGCAAGTGAGTACAAGGGAAAGAAAGAAAAAGCTTCCTCTGAAAATGAGCCTGCAAACAAAAATTCTAAAACACACAAGGGAGAGCGATATGGAGACACAGCCAACAACAAAAACACATGGTCAGTGAGATCACTTTAGATAAAATGAGACTATTAGAGCAATGTGAAAATGATTTTAAAATAAGTCTACTTATGATCTTTAAAGAAATAAAGAATGATATACTAACCACTAAAAGTACAAGGATATTTAAAACAGAAAGGCAGAAATGAAATACAAACCACTATAAAAAAGAATTAAATAGAAAGCCCATGAATAAAAAATATTTTGAATAAGTTGAAGAGAGAATTAGTGAATCAAAAGATTATACTGAGGGATTCACCTAGAATGCAGAACAGTAAGCTAATGAGATAAAAAATATGAAGGAGCAGATAATAGTGATAGCCAGCTATTTTTAAATTTGCCAGTGGACAAAATGCTTTACATTGCTATTTCATGTAAACTTTATGACTAACCTTTGAAATGAGTGTCTTCATTTCCCCCCACCAATGTTATGCACAAGTAATAACATCGGCAGATTCACCCTTTTCTTGGTCCAGTCTCTTTTATTTCTTTTGTTTTATCACAATCATACCCCCTACATATAAAATACATCCTATATAAAATAATTACACAATCATTTTATATAATTATAAAAGTTATACATATTTATAATAGAAAATGGAGCAAGTATACAAGCAGAAATCATCTGTAATTCTCAAACCCAGGGATCCCCAGTCCTCGGGCCATGGCGGCACAGCAGGAGATGAATGGCTGTCCAGTGAGCATTACCACCTGAGCTCCACCTGTCAGATCAACGGTGGCATTAGATTCTCATAGGAGCAAGAACCCTATTATGAACTGCACGTATGAGGGATCTAGGTTGTGTGCTCCTTATGAGAGTCAAACTAATGCCTGATGATCTGAGGTGGAACAGTTCCACCCTGAAACCATCCCCCGCACCCTTGGTCTGTGGAAAAATTGTCTTCATGTAACCGGTCCCTGGTGCCAAAAAGGTTGGGGATGGCTGCTCTAACCCACCAATATCTACTGGATCAGGATCTTACTGTGTTTCCTTCTAGGCTCTATTCTGTGTCACACATATATGTACATATATTTGATGTTATCTATAATAATTATTATGGTATTTTAAATATATTATTTTTAAACCATTAAATATTTAACATTAAAATTAAATATTTAACCAATTAATATTATTTAATATTATAGCATGAGTTTTTCTCATATTAAAATTCTTAGAAAAACTTCCTATCAACTGCCTAATAGACGCACTATAATATTTTTTGACCATATCTCTGCTGTCAAGTTTTAAGCAAGTTCAAATTTTCCACTGATACAAATAACACTTTATACATAAATCTGTGTATCTCTATTTACTTTGGATTTTTTCTCTTTGGGATATTTAATTTAGGAAGTGTTTAAATTTCCATATTTTCCACCTAAAAACTTTTGTTATGAATTACTAGTTTTGTTATGTTGTCAGGGAATGTTGCTTATACAATGTATGCATTTAGGAACTTATGAAGCTTTCTTTGTAGCTCAGTATCAACTTTTGTAAATGTTTCATGAGCACATGAAAAGAAGGTGTATTTAGTGATTGTAGGGTACATTGTTTGATGTATTTTTATTAATTCAATTCCATTAATTTTATTCTTCAAATCCTCTATATCTTTACTTATTTTTCTTTTCTTAATCTATCAAGAAAGAGTGGGTGGCTTAGTGTTCCATGACAATTATATATATCAATTTTCCCATGTGTTTCCAACAATTTTTGCTTTTATTTGCTGAGTTATTTGACATATAAAAATTTGTGAATAGTATATTTTCATTGTGGATTATAACTTTTATAAATGTAAAGTGACATTTTATGTTTCGTTGAATGCATTTTGCTTGAATAAAACCTTTCCAGAATTTAACATTGCCACTCTGTGCTGTACTATTTCGCATTTGCCTGAAAAATCGTTATTCATTCTTTTATTTCACACCATTTTTTGCTATTTTGCTTTATGTCTATTTCTCACAGTCAAGCTATTGTAAGATTTGAGTTTGTTGCACAATTGGAGAATAGTTTTATTAGGGTAGTTAAACTCTTTATATTTATTTAGTGATTGATTTATTTTTTTATTTGCCACCTATTTTATGCTTCTCATTTTTATGCTTCTTTGCTTTTTCTTTGTTTTCTATCTAAAGCTATATGGAATGTGTTTTATGTCTTTTGATATTATTCAGTGACTTGGAAGACATATTCTATTTTAAATTATGTTACCAATTACTTTTAAGTATTAGAAACATTGAAACGTGTACTTTAAAAAGTTTTCATTGTGATATAAAACATGTAAAAATGTATTGTATACCAGAAAATTACTAAGAGAGTAGATTTTTAAATGTTTTCATCACAAAAGTGAGATTATATATGTGTTAATTAGTCTGATGTAGACATTCCAAAATGTATATACACATCAAAACATCATGTTGTACACCATAAATACAATTTTCATTTGTCAATTAAAAAAACACAAATAATTAAAAATGCATAAAATACATATGTTCAGTTTATTGAATAATTATTAAGCAAATACCTATATAAATACGAACTTTTACTTTCACTTTCTGTATCCTTATGGTTTTGACGTGCTTCCTATTGGAATGATATGACATGGTTTTTATTTAATCCAGCATGACGATCTTTGTTTTTTTATTTGAGTGTTCAGTTCATTTAGATTTAAGGCAGTTGCCCATATGTTTTCATTTTAAATCTACCACCTTATTTTGTGGTTTCCATTTGTTCAACCTTTTCTGTTTCTTTTACATTACTTTATTGCGTTTATTTGGACTTAAGGAGTATTTTAGATAATCATTTCAATTTTTTTTGGCCAGTTTGGAAATATTTATTCTGTTTCTATTCATTTGGTGGTTACCTGAAAAATTACTATGTGTGTACTTAACTTATCAAAGTCTGAAGGAAATTGATTTTTTAAGTCTCCCTCTGGTAAATACAAGCACCTTAGATTATTTTAAGTTTTCCTGGCTTATACATTACTGTTGTCATACATTTTAGTTCTTTGCTTCTTATGCCTTGAAGCATTTAATAAAACTGTTTTATATAGCCAATATTTAGATTTATCCAAATATTCACTATGTTCTTAGTTCCTTATTTCTTCTTTTATCTCAGACTTATATAGGATTACTTTCTACCTGAAGTACATCCTTTAGAATTCCCATTGGCTAGGGTCTGCTGATAGTGAATTGTCAGATATTGTTGGTCTGAAAATGTCTTTATTTCACTCTCATTTTTGAAAAAATTATATATATATAATTTTAGTATATATTAATTATATATAACAGGACTTATATGATTAATATGTAACATGTTATTAATATATGGTATATAAAATTATATTTTATATAATTATATATAAATTACATATTATATATATAAAATATCCCCTATATATATCTATAGATAGATATAGATATAGATATAGATATAGATATAGATATAGATATAGATATAGATATAGAGGCCAGGAATAGAATTTCTGATTGGCAGTTGTTTCCTTTCAGTACATTGGAACGTTGGAGATACTGTTTTGGCTCCTGGCTGTTGTCGTTGCTGCTAAGAAGTTGGCTATTAGTGCAACTACTGCTATGTTGAAGTAATCTATCTTTTAGAATTAAAACAATTTTTTTCTCTGTGTTCTTCAATTTATATATGTTGGGGTTGGGTGTACATTATTTTTATTCACTCTTTTTGGGATTCGTTTGGCTTCTTGAATCTGTGCATTGATGCCTTTCATTAATTCTGGAAAATTGTCCACCATGATCATTTCATATATTATCACTCCCTTATTTTCTCTTCCTCCTCCTTCTGGAACTCTGTTTTATACTGTATTTTGAATAATTTCTTCTGCTCCATTTTGTTCACTAATTCTGCATTTGCCGTGTTCGTTGGCTGTTACACTCATCCATTTTTTATTCCAAGGAGTAACAGAGAAGATATTCTAATTATTAAAAAAAGCATACTATAACTTTTTATAGCTTCTGTCCAGAGATTTATTGCTGATATTTTAAAATGGTGTTTTATTGCATTAAACAAAGTAAGGGTAGTTGAAGTTTAATCTAGCCTGATAATACTAATAGTTGAAGTCTTTGTGGCTATTGTTTCTGTTGGTTCTCGTTCCTTTTGCTTTATCTGTTTTATTATTGTTGACTATATGAATGTCATTGCCCTCATAAATATTATTTTTGAGATCGTTCGAGGCATATATGAAGGTGCATTCTTCAGAGAGGATTTGTGTTTACTTTTCTGCATCCCTAGGGGAACTACAAATCTAGAACCACATTACATTAAATTCATGCCAAAGGATTTTATTCCCCACCCCCAACCAAGAGATGTAAATTTCAGCTATGATCTGCTCCAGGGCTGCTTATGTTTGCAACTTCTCAGGTAAGGTTTTGTTTTCACCCTTTTCCTATTTTTCTGGTTAGTGCGAAAGCAGCTTTCCTATTAGTATCCTGGGGTGGTGGTGAGAGATGGGGGTGAGGATGAAGGCTTCCTTCTAGTTCACTCTTATCTTGAAGATGCAGTCTTTTGTGGCCCCAGATTCAAGTGGGGAGCATATTCAGATAAATGTTGAAGTTATATCTGCCCCTTCTGCCCAGTTCAGGCACTAGAATTCAATGTCAAAAGGGAAGCTCAAGTTTGCAGAGATAGACAGATACACCCTCAGGACAAAGACTACTTTACTGCTCTGTTTCCCTGGCTGAGTTTACAATCCCACCTACACTTTGGCCCTGGTATGCTGTCAGGTCTTCTCTGATTTTATGTTTTTTTTTTTTACTTTTTAAAATATGGTGAAAAGATACATATTTAGAACTTAGCCAGCTGGACTTGGTTTAGATGGTCTCAATTTTTGTTGGCAACATCCAAAGCATCACAGTTAGGAGCGCCAGTGGAACATATGCCCTCTTTTCTCCATCAGGCCTAATCAGGGTGTTGACCTGGACTACACCAACGTCGTAGAGTTTCTTCAAGCCTGTTTGATCTGCTGCTTGTTGGGTTTAACAACGACAGCAAACACAAGCGTGTTGTTGTCCTCTACCTTCTTTGTGGCCGACTCAGTGGTCAGGGGGAATGTGCTGATGGCACAGTGGTCAAGGTTGTTTCCCCTGGGGGCGCTCTTCTGAGCATATTTGGGCTGCCTTTGGAGCCGTGGTGTCTCGAGCCCGGAAGGTGGGTGATGGGCAGATTTATTTTTATTTTTTATTTTTATTTTTTATAGCTGTTGATGGCTTTCAGCACTGCCTTCTTGGTCTTCAAAGCCTTTGCTTTGGCTTCAGCTTTGGGAGGGTGATGTAGTTTGGCTGTGTCCCCACCCAAATCTCATCTCAAACAGTAGCTCCCATAATTCTCACGTGTTGTGGGAGGGACCCAGTGGGAGATACTTGAATCATGGGGGCAGTTTCCCCCATAGTGTTCTCATGGTAGTGAGGAAATCTCACGAGATCTGGTGGTTTTATAAGGGGAAATCCCTTTTGCTTGGTTCCCTCTTTCTCTCTTGTCTGCCTCGTGTAAGAGTTGACTTTTGCCTTCCGCCATGATTGTGAGGCTTCCCGAGCAATGTGGAACTGAGTCCATTAAACCTCTTTTTCTTTGTAAATTACTCAGTCTCGGGTATGTCTTTAACAGCAACGTGAAAACAGGAGCTTCCTTCTTCGCTTTTAGTGCTATCTTCCTTCCCTGCTTTTAAAAAGATTTAATAGACATCTTTCTGGAATTTTTAGTTGTTTGCAGCAAGTGCGTTGGTCTGAATTACTAGCCTACCATAATCTCACAAATAGAAGTCAATACAGTCTTCCATGGTTGGTTCCAGGATCCCTCACAGATACCAAAATCCTCAGAAGCTCAAACCCCTTATATAAAATGGCATAGTATTTGCATATTAACCTCTACACTTTTAAATAATCTCTAGATTACTTGTAATACCTAATACAGTATAAATGCTATATAAATAGTTGTTTAGGGAATAATGACAAGAAAAAATGTCTGTACATGTTCAGTACAGACACAGCCATCCATATTTAAAAATTTTTTCCCTGTAGTTAGTTGAGTCTGTGGTGGTAGAGCCTGCAGATATGGAGGGCTAACTCTATATATACTTTGAGGACAAAAACAGCAAGTAAGATAATACTTTTGACACTGAGCATATAAGAAACTTGACGTGCACTTTACTTTCTTCCATCATCACCATTTACTTCTCCCCTTCTCTCTACACTTTTCCATCTAGTTTAATATAAACCGCAGTTGTATTAGTCCAGAATATTAATTTTATAATATTGTAATATTATGTGGCTTCTTTTTCGCATTTTTTTCTGGCATTTGCACTTAATTTTCAATCATATTTATAGCAATTATTTAGATTTATACTTAGTAGACCTCAGTAGTTAGCAAATAACTCTTCCCATTTTTAACTCAATTATCTATCCTTAAGTACTTTAAAACACCTTTTTTTTTTTTTTTTTTTTTTTTTAGGAAAGGGAAATTAGGGAGTATATTTTCTGAATTCCTTTATATTCCATATCATCCTTGTTTCTTTTACATATCAAAGAAGATTTGGCTGGGTATAGAATTATATAGAATCTTTCCTTTTTAAAGCCCTATTTTTGGCCAGCAATGGTGGCATGTACCTATAGCCCCGGTTATGCTAGGGAGGTGGGAGGATTACTTGAGTCCAGGAGTTTGAGTGAGCTATGGTTGCGCCACTGCACCCTAGCCTGGTCAACAGAGTGAGAACCTTCCTCTAAAAATAAAATACAATATTCATTAAAAAAACACCCGTATTTTCTTTATTATTTTTAAGTTTTCTCTTTTTAAATTGACAAATAATAATTGTACATACTCATGAGGTACATAGCAATGCTTTGATACATATAATGTGTAGTGATCAGGTTAGGGTAATTAGCATATCCATCATCTCCAACAAACATTTGTCATTTCTTTGTGTTGAGAAAGTTTAATATCCTACTTCTAGCTATTTGAAACTACTAATATATTACTAATTGTAGTCATCCTACAGTAGTGCAGAATACTAGAACTTATTCCTCCTATCTCCCTGTAATTTTGTATCCTTTAACAAATCTCTCCCTATATCTTCCTTCCTTCTACCTTCCCAGACTCCAGTGTTCTCTGTTATATTATACTTTTTACTTCTACGAGATCAACTTTTTTAGCTCCCACATAAGAGTGAGAACATGTGGTGTTTAACTTTCCGTTCTTGGCTGATTTCACTTATAACCTCCTCCAGTCTCGTCCATATTGCTGTGAATGGCAGGATTTCATTCTTTTTGTGGCTCAGTAGTATTCCATTATGTATATATACCACATTTTCTTTATCCATTCATCTGTTGTTGGACATCTGGGTTGAGTCCATATCTTGGCTATTGTGAGTAGTGCTGCAGTAAACTTGGAGGTGCAGAAGTCTCTTTGATATATTGATTTCCCTTTCTTTTAAAACCCTCATTTCTCCTGCCGGTTCGTGTTAGAATGAAGTCTGAAGTCAGCTTGGTTGTTTCTATTGCTTTGTTGGCAGCCTTTTTGTTTTTTTACTATAAAATTACTATAAAATCTGATTTTTAAAATTCATTCTTTTTTTTTTTTTTTTTGAGACAGAGCCTCGCTGTCCTGACCAGGCTGGAGTGCAGTGGTACGATCTCGGCTCACTGCAAACTCTGTCTCCTGGGCTCAAGCAATTCTCCTGCCTCAGTCTCCTGAATAGCTGGGATTACAGACGTGTGTCACCACATGGCTAATTTTTGTATTTTTAGTAGAGATGGGGTTTCACCATGTTGGCCAGGCTGGTCTCGAACTCCTGACCTCAGGTAATCCACCTGCCTCAGCCTCCCAAAGTGCTGGGATTACAGGCGTGAGCCACCACGCCCGGCCAAAAAATTCATTCTTAAGTAATCAGTATGTCCTAGGCTTTACCCATTACTCACTGGGGAGTTTTGATATCTTGTATTCACAAGAGTATCCCAAATTTTCAATGTACAATGCCCCAACATACTTAGTGGTAGGAATCTCGGATTTTCTCAAGAGTCCTCCTGTGACAGCTACTGTATTCCTGGGAATCTCCAGGGACCCTTTCATGTCCAGCCTCAGTATCCCCCAGCCCCCACCAGTTTCTGAGTCCAAAGGCAGAAACTCTATGGCTCCCAGATGTTGGTTTCATGTTTAACCAGAGCCAGTTCACATGGTTCCAATTGCCCCTTTGTCCCATTCACTGTGGGTGTGCCTCCCGGTGCTGCAGACGGCCTCAAGCTGCTTTTGCCCATGCTGCCCATGGGTGCAGCATCACTGACCTCCTCTGGATTGTCAACTTCCATGGCTCCTTGTCTCTCTGGCCAGTGTGCAGTCACCTTCCTCTGTTTTTGCCCAACTCTGCCAGCTGGAGTTTCCAAAGCAGAACTATCTGACCCTTAATGCCTTTGTCTCTCCCACAGGACTCCTGAGCTCTAAGAAAGTCAAAGGATATACCTAGGCACCTGTTTCCAGTGTACTTGAACATTTTGCAACAGTTTAGAAGCTCTTAGAGTATACTGTGACCAGCAGTTAGGAGGCTGATTTGCTTGGAAGTGAGGAAATAAAGCAAACACAATAAGTACTCATGCTCTCACTTGCATTTTCAGGCAAAAAAGAAGGGAATGACAGGCAAGTGTGTACCCCCTTCTTATGTGAAGCTGTGGCCTGGGCTGTGGCCTGACCTGCGGCCCCTGGAAATCAGACCTTCAGCTCAGAAGTGAGACCCAAGAGGAGCCAACGTCTGTGTTTTGCACAAGATACAGAATGGTTGTTTGTCCACATTTTGGGGAATGAGTGGGCGGGAGCATCAAGGAACAGTTCAGTGCATTGAATCCTTGGGAGCAGCAGAATGCAAGAAAGGGATTTGAAGCAAATATCAGCAGCTGAGAACAGGGAGGTGGAAATCGGAAACCTGAGAGAATCCTTGAGACAAGAGTATGCATGAAGAGCAGGCTTCACAGGGAGACTTCAGAAGGGCTGTGCGCTAGAGGGGACCTCAGTGTGCCAAGCTGACTTGGAGTGGAATGACAGCAAGACAAGCCCTTGAAAAAATGTAGGGGTGGGAAGACAGTACCAGTATGAGGAAGCACAGGGGAAAAAAATGTGCATGATGATTTAAACTGCATTTGCACGGTGGCAGCGTCTGCCTGAGGGCAGAGGGGGCTGTAATTGAAGTTCCAGAAGCATGGAGACATTTAGTGGATGATTAACTCAGGAGATCCTTGTGTTTGTAGATGGAGCAAGGCAACTGACCTGGAGTGGGGGACAGCGAGGGATGCTTCTGGCTTCCCACTGCTCACTGGGAACCAGGTGGCAGCTCTTTGCTTTCTCCTTGTAGGGAGATGCTGGGCTTTGTGTTTACCCCAAAGACAAACACATTCCTCACAGTACTACCAATGCCTTGACTCAAGGGTCACACGGAATATGTCCAGTTGGGGGATGGATGTGTCCCACTCCTCTTGGAAGTCCTCGGTTGTGTCCTGGAGCAGGGCTGCCTGCAGTTTCTTCTAGCTAAGGAGTAGTGGATAACTGCATGAACAGATGAATGAATGGGTGAGAGTGTATGGAGGCCACAGAAGTCACTGTGAGCCTTGGAGGACACTGTCATTGTGACCAACCCCTGGCCTGCTTCTCAAAGGGTAAGTGTATTTGGGTCTCTGTCAGGGTCTGTAGGCTGTCTTGGGCAGTAATCCTCTTTGCCCTGACATCTGCTTTCTCTGGAGCAGTGGGGTTAGCCTCTCTCCATTTTGGGATGTGTGGGCAGGCAGTTAGTGCCTGGAAAAACGGAAGGGTAGGTTTTGTCTCATTCACACACCAAGGAAAGCTGAGAGAAGTGGGGGTGCAGGGGAGCTATTGTTTGTGTCTACCGTCTTTGCCTCAGGCTTTGGGATCCTTACGACAAACGTTGACATCACCAAGGTTAATTCCCTGATTGTATTAGTCCATTTTCACGCTGTTGATAAAGACATATCTGAGTCTGGGTAACTTACAAAGAAAAAGCAGTTTAATGGACTCACAGTTCCATGGGGCTGGGGAGGCCTCACATCATGGCGGAAGGTGAAACACACATCTTACATCACAGCGGCAAAGAGAGAATGAGAGCCAAGCAAAAGGGGTTTCCCCTTATAAAACGATCAGCTCTCGTGAGAGTTATTCACTGCCATGAGAACAGTATGGGGGAAACAACCCCCACGATTCAACTATCTCCCACCGAGTTCCTCCCACAACACATGGGAATTATGGGAGCTTCAATTCAAGATGAGATTTGGGTGGGGACATAGCCAAACCATATCACTGATGCACAGGCTCACATAACCCCAGAAAACACTGGCGAGGTGGGGGTTATGTGGTACAGAATTGCTTTCTATAGCCAGGTCCTCAGGGAGCCTGGGTCTCCCTTCTGCTTCTCCCAGAAGTAGAGGCAGCTGGAGCAGACCTCACCTGATACCTTCCTGCCTGCCACCCAGACCTACACAGAAGGCCCTGGAGCAGCCTCGGCAGCAGGCTGCTGTTTCCACTGGCTAAAGAATAGTCCCAGTCAGAGGACTCCTGGGCTGATGATGGGTGGATGCCTCCTCTTCTGTCTTTTTCTGTCCTCCAGGAACTCATATTTCCT
Source organism: Homo sapiens (assembly GCF_000001405.40). Classification (NCBI taxonomy): domain Eukaryota; kingdom Metazoa; phylum Chordata; class Mammalia; order Primates; family Hominidae; genus Homo; species Homo sapiens. The sequence goes on from NC_000011.10 coordinate 112,467,265, forward strand.
GGTGCAGAAGGGGAAATTAAGCAAACCACTATCATAGATTTACTTTGATTGCACAGAAGTATCTCATCTGCATATATTAGAGTCATATAGGCAATAGCCAAGTACATTAAAAGCATGTTTTCTCAAAATAGAAATCTTCTGGTTTCAGAGAAAAGTTTGACATTGGTGTCTCTTGGCCCATAGATACCTGATAATCACAATGAGCAGATGGAACCTTTCTCATCTGACCTCAGAGGGGCCCAGAGAGGTGCTACTACTGTTTCCCGTAGTCTCCATAACTGCCTGCCACAAGGCTTGACATTCCCACGATATCCATTCATTTAGATTTAAGGAACTGAAGCTCCTTTTAAAAATGTAAATGTTGTCTGGGAAGGGTAACATATTAAACCATAATTTGCATTAGCTTGAATTAATTTATCAGGTTAGCATTAGTCTCCAATGAGTGCTCAGAAGAAGTGGAAATTGGTTTTGATTGGGGCTGAGGAGGGGAGCTGAGGGACACAGCAGGGAAGGCAGGGCAGGTAAAGCCCTCACAGGGAAGGGAGGCCTGAGCCCACACACCAGCTGTCTGGCTGGGGATGCAGAGCTATGAGCCAGGGCACTGGAGCCAACCTTGTATGCAGTTGCTTTTTCTAGGGACCAGCCTATCAATCATACACATGCCACCAATGCTTTACTTGGTAGTGTCATGATTGCCACATCTGTTTCATCTCCTCTGCCAAAGCCAAGCCTTAGCTTCCTTTGCACCAGTTCTTCTGACTGTTCTCTGCACATGCACGGCGATATCCTTAAGCCAAGGACTAAGTCATCTGATGAAATTGCAGAGCGGCTGGTTTGTTTTGTTGAATACTATTAAAATGAAGAGTGCAACCCAAGTATCCATGGCTTCTATCAGATAGGGGAACAAATGGGGCATCTTTTTTTTACTAGCTCATACTTCTACCTGCTAATGCAGGGCCTCTAGACCATTTCAAAGTCTCGGCCAGTGCGGGCGGGACTGAGACAGAATACGTGGAGCTGCTCTTGTTTATTCAGGGGCAATTCCTCATGAGGGGCCCCCTTTTGCCTGGGGGCTTGGGGATAACTCAGTCCTTGTGACCTTTACCTATTCTCTGTGGTGGGCAGAGCTGGTTCCTGGGGAAGAGGTGAGTGCACAAAGGGCTGAGGAGCTTCTTGGGAAAAGAGACCTAGACCAACCCCTTCTCTTTTGAAGTTCAATGGTATTAGAACTTCTCTGACAGGTTGCAATGGCCTTGAATTGAGGTTCCCGGACATGAGAGAAAGGAGGTCCTGAGGGGACTCACCATAAGGGCAGAAGAAGTGAGGGCCTGTGCTCAACCCTGAGGCCTAGGCACATCCTTAATTCCATTAACCTCACCCTACCTTTACACATGTGGCAAAAAGTCAATGCTGGTTAAGCCCAAGTCTGCTCCTTCACCCCTGCCCTTGAGTGGTGCACAGTGGCTGGGGAAAAACCCAAAATAAGATCCAGATCCTACTGTGGCTCATGTGATGTGATGTGATTTGTATTCTGCCTATGTCTCTGGCCTCATTTCATAATGTGTCCCTGGACTCACTTTGCTCCGGCCACCCTGGCCCTAAACCATGCACACATGGTTCCCACCTCAGGGTCTTTGCACATTTGCACATTCCCACCTCAGCGTCTTTGCTCTTTCCATGTGAAATGTTTCCTCCTCAGATTTTGCATACCTCATTCCTCACTCCATTCAAGTTTCTGTGCCTTCCTTTCTCAGAGAGCCTCCCCTAGCCTCTCTGTAACCCTGATCCCCACCCCATCACTCTCTATCCCTTGCCCTTCATTGACATTTCTGTACCTATGTTTATCTGTTTATTTTCTGTTACTCCTATATCTATGAATGTAAACTCCAAGTGCCTAAAAGAATGCCTAGCATGTTAGTAGATGCTCAACAAATACTGTTTGAATGAATAATAAATGCAAGAAAGTGAAAAATTCCAAAATTCTGACTATAATCACAAAATGGCAGTATAAAGTGTTCTGAGATAAAGTGGATAGCGGGATGCCATTTCATGACATTGACCACAAGGTAAAAAAAATAGATGGTAGGAAGCCCAATAGGTAACAATGATTACAGAGGCGCCACCATAGGAATGAGAAGGAAAGGGAATGGAAGTTGAGCTAAGGAGCAGTGTCAGATACTGTAGATGTCTCTCCCTTAAACTGGACTTCTGCAACAGCTCTTATCAATTCCCCTGCTATTCTTTCCCAGGCGACTTCTAATACCCTCATGGAGAAGTGCTCTTGCAGGTTGCCACTCAGAGTTACCAGGCATTCCCAGATAAACTGAAGCCAGAAGCAGGCTCAGCATTGGCTCAAGCTCGAAGCTCCCACTGTGGAACAATCTTAGGACCCTGTAGGAAAAAGCCGTTCCATCCTGTGGTGGTCATGGAAGAATATAAGGGGAAGGGGCCTTTAAAAGTTACAGCAAGGGTATTCTGACCTCTTGAAGGACATTGGCACTTTTGTTTTCATTTTAAGTGAGTGCATTTGGCTTTTTCCCTCTACGTCCTTTTAGAGTCCCAGGCTAAGCAGAGAACAGAAAGGCAACTCATAACCCCGGGACAGAGCACTGGATACGTTGTGGAAAAAGCTCCTCTATACAGTGACAAACAATAGGATGTTGCACGATGCTTTCTTCCAACTAATAGGTTCTGAGCAGATCAGGCCCAGGGTGGGAGATAATCTGAGGCAACTACAGATTCTTGGGGAAAGACCTGGGTGAAATGTGAATTCTTCTTGGCTTCAATAGCCTATAATAAAAATAATGACAACAATCATAGAACCAGAGGTCATAAGCTTTGTCAAAACAGGCTTGTTGGTCTTTTTCAAAAATTTTTTTTTACCATTATAACAAGCAGTAGTGCTCAATAAATATTTGTTGAATAGACAAATGAAAAAAATTTATAATACTGACTTGACAGATATAGAGTAGGTGTGTAAGGAAAATGTGAGACATTCTTACTTTCTGCGCAGATGAAACTGACCTTGGTAAAAAATCTGCCCCTCTGGGATCTCTAGAATACATTGATGGGTGGTAGGAGAAGCATTCCTGGAGTGTTTTATACCTGTTGTCACCTGGGATTCGGGATTGGGGCAGAAGTAGGGAGATATAAGTAAGTACTTAGAAAAGAGATTCTTAAACCCTTTCTGTACAACAAAACTCCCTTGAGGTTCTGGGCAAAGTATGATCCCTATGCCCTGGAATATTAACATGCACACAGAGGAAGCGTGGGGTGAGTAGTAAAAGAATGTCACCTATGACCTATATTAATCACTGATTCCCTTTTTCTCTTTCTCTTTCCCTTTCTCTACAACAAGGTTTCTCTACCCTGCCACTATTGACATTTTCGGCCAGGTAATTCTTTGTTATGATAGGGAAGATGCTTGCCCGTGTACTGTAGGATTTTTCACATCATCCCTGGCCTCTATCTACTGGGTACCTGTAGCACTTCCCTAGTCATGAGACTCAAAAACGTCTTTACACGTTGGGGGCAGACTCACCCAAGTTGAGAACCACTGCTCTACTGTTTTATGTGAGAACTGTTGGTCCTCATATGACTTACCAGCCAGGTAAGGCTGGGACCCTGGACCTAAAGGGTTACAGTGACCTTTGTTTGTGTCTCTGGCAACAGCCTCTTCTCATCTGTGGCTCCAGCTCCTGCTGGGCAGGACCACTGTGATTCTAGCTTTTTTGTTTTTTTTTTTTTTTTTGAGACGGAGTTTTGGTCTGTTGCACAGGCTGGAGTGCAGTGGCACAATCTTGGCTCACTGCAAGCTCCGTCTCCTGGGTTCAAGCAATTCTCCTTCCTCAGCCTCCCGAGTAGCTGGGATTACAGGTGTCTGCCACCATGCCAAGCTAGTTTTTGCAATTTTAGTGGAGACGGGATTTCACCACATTGGCCAGGCTGGTCTCAAACTCCTGACCTCAGGCGATCTGCCCGCCTCGGCCTCCCAAAGCTCTAGGATTACAGGTGTGAGCTACCACGCCCTGCCGATTCCAGCTTTTTAAATGTGCTTCTTCCTTTAAGTGTCGAATGCTGTCATACACATTTGACTTTATTGCTTCAGAGGATTGGATAGCACCCAGTTCATGATGGGCAACTCAGGTCCCGTGGGCACTTGGTATCTCATGGTTAGGCATTTAGTCTCTGCCATGGCCCTGTAGCAAGCCAGGAACAGCTTCTCAGAAGAAGAATAAATGTTAACAAAGAGGGCTGCTGGAGGGCTGCACTGTGATTCTCCTCCTGGGGCTTCCAGAGGTCCCATACTGCCTCCTTGACCACAGACACTTAGGGCAAGGTTGGCTGGCTTTACTGAGTCAAAGTCCCCAATGGCAGGGCTGCTTGCTCCTTGCCACTTATTTTCTGGGTCCCATTCCCAGCTCACTGCCTTACAGTTCCTTGGTAAATGGGTCAGAGCAGCATGCCTGTTGTGATGTGAGCTGCCTGCAAAACCCAGAGAGGCTCAGGGCTATCCCATGAGGAGAATTAGAGCAACTGAGAAATACATCCTCAACTGCTTCCTGCTCCACAGGTCCAGGGTATGCATCTACCTTGAGCTACAACGATTTCCGCTAAAGTTTCTTTTGGGAGCTGTGGAACGCTAATCACTGCCTCAGAGGGAGAACTGGCTGGCAGCCCTCTGCCGGGTTATTTTCCTGATGCCTTGTTCTCCTGCATCAATCAATTATTCACATTTGTTTTCTCCAGCTTGTTAATTAAACACAGATACTGTGTCTGTGTGTTTCAGTGCCTGAGTTGTCACAGCACCTAATTTGCAAGAAAACATAGTTAGGCTGGATTCCCTTTTCCCGGCTCTCTGTGTGTGGCGGGTGACTCTGAAACTTCTCACTGGGTTGCACCTCTCCAAGCACCGGCAGTAACTGAATGTGTAGACGAGGACCCTGCAGTCAACCTTCCTGGGGTTCCGGGAATCCTCGCCTATGGTGTTCCAAAAGATCCTGGAGGAGACACAGAAAATCCAGTTTGTGGGGAAAGAATGCGTTCCATTGTCGAGGAACTTCAGTTGCTAGAAAGCTGCTTCTCAGATTGAACTTTGCAGAGTCAGGCTTGCCAGTCAGCACTCAAGTGCCAGTCTATTCCCTCTTGGGTATTTTGATTTCAATTAGGAGACCTTGTTTATTGTGTTAAGGTCTCAAGTGTTTAGCTTCCCAAAGACATGTTTAGTCGTAAGGAAAAAATCTTTCTTTAAAATATCGAGCTCTCTATTAAAAACAAATGAAAAACACAGAAAGAAAAAAACGGAACAAAAAATATCAAATAAAACCCAACCATTATTCCTTGAATAAAATGGATCTTTCCCCCTAAATTTTCAATATTAAGTTTAAATCTTTTTGGATTATGGGCATAGCTTTGGGGATTCAGTCATCTTTTTCATTTACAGGTGAGAAACTTTCGGTCCAGGAAGTTACTTACTGTGTACTTACATAATAATAAGTACACTTACTGTGTACTTATCTAAGTGTACACAGTAAGTATTAGGGCTAGGATTTGAATTCTGTTCTGCTCTGAGACAGAGCCCATGTATTTTCTACCATTCCACACACAGCGTGGAGCCTCTGACAGGTAGAAATTCAATATATGGGCCGGACGTGATGGCTCATGTAACCCCAGCACTTTGGGAGGCCAAGGCGGGCGGATCACGAGGTCAGGAGTTCGAGACCAGCCTGGCCAACATTGTGAAACCCCGTCTCTACTAAAAATACAAAAAATTAGCTGGGCGTGGTGGCAGGTGCCTGTAATCCCAGCTACTGGGGAAGCTGAGGCAGGATAATGGCTTGAACCTGGGAGGTGGAGGTTGCAGTGAGCCGAGATCGCACCATTGCACTCCAGCCTGGGCAACAGAGCGAGACTCTGTCTGGTAAAAAAAAAATTCAATATATGACTGCTTTCTGAAAACCAAAGAGGCAGCCTTAGTTTGTTGAGCAGTTTTTCTTCTCTACTCCTGAAACAGAACTACACGGGTCACCTGCCTTTGCCAGAATGAAGAAACCCTCACTTCCGACTGGTACAGTAAGTTTTCTCTCTACTTGACTTTCTCTTTCTCACGACTGTCTTTTTTAATTTTTGGTAAAAACTTACTCTAAGCTTAATCTTTTCCAAAGTTACTTATTTGAGTTTGTCCACTAGAGTCCTCATAAGAACCAGCCCTACAGGTTGGTAATAAAGCCTCAGTTTACTCTGGACACCACTGTTTTCTCAAAGGGCTAGGACTCCTTGCAGAACGGCATGTGGACAGCACATTCAGACAAGACCTAATAAGGGCATTGAACGTCACTCAATAGTAAGCACTGGCCGTGTACGTACCAAACACTGAGTTAGCAGGTGGATTTCATATCCATACAGAGTTGCGTTGAATAGTTTTTTGAACGTATGTGGAGGCATATGTAATATATTGCAAGTAAATGAAAAACAAGAAGAGATATTTAAGAAGTAGTTTTGCCAGTGGGTCAAGGATCTCAGGCCGCAGAACTGTCCATTAGTCCTGAAGCTTTCATCAGTCTCTGAAGACAACACAGCCACTATCTGGGAACATCATTAGCCTCAAAGAGGTCTCCTCCTGCCTTTTGGAGTTTTATGAATGTCCATCCTCCTGCAAGGTGACTTTGAGAGCTTGGCCAGGGACCTGTGCTCTTTTGTCAGTGTGCATGAACTTGATATGTCCTTAAAAATATGTATATGTAATGTTGCCTGTTGAGTACCTCCTCACAGCCAGGAACTTGTGATCAATTACATCTCATTTTCCTAACCCCCTGTGAGCAATAGTATGCCTCTTTTTCAGATGAAGAAAGTGAGGCAGTGCAGAGGTTAAGTAACTTGCTAAGGTCATATAATAAGTGGCAGAACTGGATTCAACCCTGGGTTGGCTTAACTCTCTTTGTTCTTCTCCTTCCTTCTTTTGTGCTCCAGAATGATCAACTTAAAGAACCCTAGGGTTGTCTGTTGTAGAAATCAACTCTTTAATCATCAGCAGCTGCATTTCTCCTGGGATGCTCTGGTGGAAATGGCTGCACAGCACACTCTCTTCTGGTCCACTGGTCTACATGGGAGAGATGGAGGTCAGGGCATTGCCTCCTATGGATAGAGATCCCCAGGGCTGACACGGGGGCAGTTCTACTGGGGTTGGATATGTGCTTCATGATGACTGCCGTGACATAGCTACAAGATATCTACAGCCACCCTAAGGCCAACAACGTCAGTTAAGTGCCTGGCCTAACTGCTTTCCAGAGGGTCAGGGTTTGGGGGGTTGGGGAGGGGTGGCTGGTGGGAGTAGGAGAGGATCACGTTATTTTCTGCAGATCCCACTGCTCTCTCTTGCTTCCTATTGTCTCCGCTGAGTGACATTTGCACCAGCTGCTTCCAAAGGGAGTAGCTTTGGTGAAATGTCACCGGCTTCAGCGGGGATGGCCCTTCTCCATCCTTCATTTCTTCCCCTAATCCTCCCTTCCACCCCTCAAGTGCCTTTTTTATTTTGAAAGGACACTGCCTGGAAATTCAATTGCAGGAAAAAGTAATTACATTTTCTCTTCAGGTGTGCCTCTCAAAAAGCCTTCAAATCATCTCCGGCCAAAGCACTGGGATTATTCCAAAGGGAAACAGGTATTAGTGGCAGCTTTGACGGCTTCCCTCTCTGGGTCTCACTGCTGCTTTTCTCCATGCTTAGGGCCACAATGACAGAGTGGTCGATTGCTTTGCCTCCCTCCCTTCTGCCACCCTCTCCCAGCAGAGGTCAAGGTCTCATTCAATGTCACACAAATAGTAAGTGGTGGGGCTCACCTGGCTTTGCAGCTGGGTCTGTTCAACTCCACAGCTATGCTTTTAATAACTTTGCTATGCAATTGCAGTGACTATATTTGCAGAACCAAAAATTGAGAGGCATGATCTGACAAATATTTTCAATTCCTGATTTATTGCTTTTTTTTTCCAAATTTTTAACATGAAAAGCCACACAAAGGTACAAAAATGAAATCACGTTTTGTTACGCACACATCTAAGTAACATGATCATTATTGGAAAGAAGAAATTACATAAGATTGAAATTGTCCCAATCGTATATTGGGAAATCCAGCTCATAGAGTTGCTATTTGGTGAGAATTGCACTTGACCAGGAGCTAAGAGTCTTAGGTTCTGGTCCAGGTTTGACTTTTAACCAGTTGTGTTTTCTTGATTAATTTACTTCACCCCTCTGGGCCTTATTTTCTCAGTTGGTGAAGTGAGAGAGAATTGGCTCAGATGATGTCTCAGGGCCTTCCCAGGGCCTTCCTAGCACTGATGTTCAATGGCCTTGTAATTCTAGGTATAGACTTCATCGGGGCTGTCAGCGACACACAGATGAGATCCTTCCTTTGGAAATGAGTTTTGTTCCTCTCCTGCTTTAGATTAATCCTGGCAACATCTGAATCCAGCCCTTTGTTGTCTGGAACCCTCTCATGTTCCCTGGGAGCCTACTATTTTTTATAGGCTGAACCCTGGGAACATATTTTTCTGATTTTTCCAGGAAAATGATCTCTGTTTGGACTCAGCTCATTGCTTGCTTCTTTCCCTTTCTTCAACCTAGACCCCCACCTTCTTCTGTCTACCCTCCCCTGCACATCTCAGCCCCTCCCTTCCTGCTGCTTCTAATCGATGCCTCCCCAGTATCTCCTGCTCTCTTTTGCATTTCAGTCATTCTCTGCACATAAATCGAGGTTCAGCATTCCCTGTATGGAAAGGGACAAGAAAACAAGGCCAGCCATGCTTGGCTCGACTGTCGCTGCACAGCCATCTCTCTTCCCCTCCCATCTTTTCCTTTCCTCCCCATTGCATTTAAGTTTTTCTGCACTTTCCACACATCTGAGACTGTGCTATTGAAGATAACCAGAGAGTCTATTCTTGAAGCCCAATAGCAGTTTCTCCTGGCTTTCCTTGACCTTTCTGCAGCTTCTGGCACTGGCACCTTTACCCTTTGAAACACTCATAACTGGCTTCAATTCTCACTACACTGTCCGACTCTGTCTCCTTCATTTTGTACTCATCCTTTATAAGTGGACATGTCAGAGGTCCTGACTCTGACTCATTTTCTACGCTTTCTCTGAGATTTCACCTATCCTTGTTGCTTCTACTAAATCTCTTTGAGGTTTGACATCAAGTTTCTATCAGCCCCATGCACATCTTCATTTGGGTGTTCCATTATCACCTTACTCAACATGTTTGCAAGAAACTTACCATCCTCAATCAAAACCCGCTTCTCCTCTAGATTTCCCACTGCTGTCGATTTTCTGTCAGTTAAGTGGGTTTGAAATCTAGTCAATGTCCCTCAATCCACTTTCTTCCTCACCCACTCCTCCAACCAGTCACTGCAACTGATCTATTTGTTATCCATACGTCTCTTACATACGTCTGCATACGTCCCTCCTATTTCCACTGCTACCTTCCCGATTCTGATTCACACAAAGAATCTCTTTACTAGTCTTTAATTTCTTGATTCTCCAACCCATCCTATTTTCCTCTATGCCAATACCCTTCCGAAAATATCACTTTGCACATTTCTCTGTATCCTTCTGCTTCCTGTGTTCTCAATCACTAAACAAACTTTCAGAAGTTCCCAGAATAACACCCCAAACTCTCAGGCTGACATTGAAAGGCATCCAAAAAGTGGCCCTAATCTATTCTATTCTCACTTCTCATTAGTTCCCACATAAATACAATTTCCTGTAGATAAAAACATATACTTTGTCTGCCCTTTTGTTTATCTAGAGCTTGCTCCTCCTCAGTCCCATGTGCTTGGGCAAGAAAATGGGCCTCCATGAGTGTGATTCTGCACCTATAAAATGGTCATGATCCCTTCTCTGATTTCCTTTGGGGGGTTGTGAGGATGAAATTTACTTATTCAAGAAGCATTTACTGGAGAGGTCCTGGGGACTGGCAAAGATAAATAAGTTACCATCTCTCCCCACTAGGTTGCCCAGGTAATTTGAGGAAGCATACACTTAAAAAACCCACATTGTCAGTAGGATGGGGTGAGCAAGAGTTCGCTGGCACGCACACTGTGCCCCAGCTTGGCCCCACTCCACCAGCCTGAGTCCTGCTCAGCTCCTTTCTAAGCCACCCTCCATCAAGGACTACCTGTCCTCCTCCCTTTCCTCAGGGCCCAGCTCTCCCTAATGTGAAAATGAGTGATAATGGATGCTAATTTAATGTGTTACTTCTTCCAGGTGACATATTTACATTTTAATAGCAGAAAATTCAAAGGAGGATATTTTAAGCACTGTGGCAGTGGGTGGGGACATATTTTGAGTTAGGGAGGATTTGGGGGACCTTAAATCACACTGGATAGGCACCCACTGATTCTACCTCCTAGGATTGGCTGCCCTCGGGAGTCCAGAGATGAGGATCGCCTCCCTGGGCTGTGCCCCCTCCGTATCTGATGGGAGTACTACAGAGTGTCGGACTCCCGGGGCAATGATGGATGAGACATCTGCTCCATGATGGGCTATTACCAACAATTCATTACTGCAAAATGGATTTACCCTAATTAGCCCAGGAGCTCTGAGTTTAATGTGGCATTCTGCAATCTCACAGATTCTGCTGCACACATTGAAGGGGTGCATCACATTTTACAGAGCCAAGAAACCTGAACTACAGAAAACAATGGAGATTTAGCATGCCTCTTGAATTAGTTGACATATTTACTCTTCATGAATAAGCCTGTTTTGTAGACAAACACTGTAGCTCACAGTCTCATTATTAGAAATTAATTCGCTCCACTGCTCTGCCCAAGGGCACAGTTCTCCTTGGGGAACAGTTTTGCCCTTATCATGCTAGTGCTTGCAGTAGGTGACTGGGTTTCTGAAGTTCTGGCCTGGGAATGTTTCTCTAGGGGCAGTTCTGGGAAATGGGCTGAGTCTGTAGGTCTCTGCAGGCCCTTCATCATGAGTCACCTGTGTGAAATTTGCACCTTCTGCATGGGAGCATTTGGGAAGATTTCTTTTTCCCTTTGTAATATGTCCCAGCAAAACCATCATCATATATCCACAGTTTGGGGAAGAGTGAATTATCCAGAACAGTATTCACTTCAAATAATGTGTGACAGACACAGTGTCAATTTCCTAAACTTCTGATATTATAGGTACTGCTGTTGATGCATGAACTCCCTGCCCGGGTTTAGCTTATCCTTGGGAAATTACCCAGCCATTTGTCACATCCTCACAAATGACAGTTCTTCTGGGCTTCTTTTTCTCCAATAGCTCCGGGATCTCTGAGGTCTCTTCTAGATAGAAGATTCTATGTTGCCATCTCCCAAATCAGCAACTGGGGGATTTTTTTTAAAACCCAGGCCCCAAATTGCAGATGTCCCACCTCAATGCTGGTGGTAATGGTGGATGAGGGAGATAACATTTTGGGGGCCAAAGCGCAGTCATTACTTTCTTTTTTCCCTTAGGAGTTAAACTTGCTAATTCATTTCTCTCACTCTGTTAGGTCTCACAAATACAGGCAGTAACCTGTCTTCAGGCTTAAAAGTGCTTATTCATTTAGCCATTTATTCCTTTCACAAATATTTATTGAATGCTCATTAAGTGCAAAGCACTCTGTTAGGTGCTGGGGTTGTACTGGACATGGGGTTTCCCCTAAACAGCAAGAGACTGTTTAGCTCCAGCACAGACACAATCCAATTAGATTTTTTTATCAAGTACTTGTTATGTATTTGTAGTGGATCAGGCCCTGGGGTACAGGAAACCCAGACACTCCCTGAAAGGTACTCACGCCAGGCACACATGCTGTTCTCTGAGGTCAGATTAAGACGAAAGCTTTTGTGCGTAGTATTTTTTCTTCTCTCACACAGCCGGCTTCTTTCCTGCTTAGTGAAGGGGACTCCCAGCCCACCTTTCCAGACCACATTTCCATTAGGATGCTCATTCTAGATTTTGGTGATTTCCCATCTGGATTACATGGAACTATTGGGAAAATGTCCTTACTTTTCAGCAGAAATTTTTATCAGCTGTCTCACCAGCTTAAGCGTTCTTTCTCACCACCAACTTTCTATTCATTTTTATATTCCCATCCTTATCCTGATAGAAAAATCAAGGATCCTGTATAATTTCCACTTAGAACAGGCTGTGTGACTTGGGGCAAGTTTTTATCGTTCTCCTCCCTTTCCTCAGAGAAAGGGAGGATCCTGTATAATTTCCAAGGATCCTCCTGTATAATTTTCATGGACATTTGGGTTGTTTCTACTTTTTGTCTATTATGAATAAGGCTGCTATGAACAGTCATATAGAAATTTAGGTTTTCACTTCTCTCGGGAGGAGTAGAATTGCTGGGTCACAGGGTGATTCTATGTTTACCATTTGGTGGAAATGCCAGACTGCGTCATTTCACATTTCTACCAGCAATTGGTCATTAATTCTCCATCAAGGCAGTGACCAGCCACTCTCTCTGAAGAGTATAAGGAAAAGAAGCTACAGTTCCCACTCCTGTTGCTGGTTTTAGGCCGTAACGAATATTCATTGCTCAACCACCTCCATGACTGATTCTAGATTTCTCTCACCTCTAGCTAGGTTGCTTTTCCAGTGGGTTGCTGAGTATGCTTTTCAACTTTAAAGTGCATTGAATCACCTGAGAATTGTGTTAAAATGCAGAATCTGATTCAGTGGTCTGGGGAGGGACCTGGGCTTCTGCATTTCTAGAAGCTCTCAGGTGGTGTTGATGCTGCTTGTCCGTGGGCATGTTTGGGTAGCAAAGAACTAGGCTATGTTTACCCTTGCTTGCCATTCCCTTGCTAAACCATGGTTGCTGCAATTGCCCCTTTATAGTTTTTGCTGGGTTTCAAGCACCTAGAAAAGCCCCACTGAAACCCCTGGGTTCTAGAAAGAATCTTTCCTCCTCCTGTTGTGCAGCCACAACTCTAGCTTCTTCTGGTAATCAGGGTTATTAATCCCACCAGTATGATAACTCCTGTGTTGTCCATTAGCATGAGGTGTGCCAAGTGACTAAGTGGTAGTCAGCTTTAAGTTCAGTGGAACCTCACTGGCAGAAGAGTTTCTTCCCTGACAACCAGACCTCTTATCCAGCAGGGTCCAGGCTATAGACTGCACAAATTCTGAGTGAGTGGGAAGGATGATGAGAGAGACAAGTCCTACATCCACTCCTTGGTTCCCAGACTGTGTATCCCTGCTGTTTGGGACACAGCACCATATACAATGCCAACATCATTCATTGCTCAGTGCACATACCACATCACCAGTGATTGTGTCCTAACCCTTTGGTGTGTTGTTACAGGGCAGGTGCCTTTGCTCATTCTGCCATTCCTTCAGGATGCTGCTTCTGGATGATGGGGGCCTTAGTAAGACTGGTGAATTCCATGATCACACATGCATTGTGTGGTAAAGTGGCCCTAGGAGCCAGCATTGGTGACTGGGTGGCTGTTGGGTGAAGCTGGTTACCATAGAACTGCTGTCTGGTCACAGCAGTGCAGAGCTGGTCACTGGTGACAATAGAGGTGGAACAGTGGTAAAGGGCCCAAGACAGATGAGGCTGAGGGGATCTGAGAAGATGCATAAGAAGAGTCTCATACAGAGGGCTTGTGGCTTAGAAAGCAAAATACAAACACAAGGCAGAAGAGACACTGACCTCCATGGGAGTTTCAACCTAGTTAGGGTGGAGGGGTGAGCATGGCGTGGAGTAGGTGAGGGGCTTTCAAGCACAGGTACGACAGAACCTGGTCTTGCAGGTCATGCGGACACGAGACTGGTGGAAACGGGAAAGTATTCCAGATGGTCATGGGCAGTGTCAAGAAGAACCCAGATGTGGGAGTGCATGAGTTTATTTAGGGGCTTGAACACAGACAAGTTTGGAGCTGGTTTGTGGGAAGGAATAATAAAATAATTTTAGTAGTGATAGGTAACTTTTATTGAGCCTGTATTGTATGCCTGACACCATTCTGAACTCTTACATGGATTACCTTATTTAAACCTCACAACTACTCCTTAAGGAGACAAGGTCAGTATTTGGGGGTATTTTGAAGAACCATCCAAAGAGTTGGGTCTTTACCATTGCCAAACTAGCACTGGAATAGCTGTGGGCCCCATGAAGACAGGGCCAATTTCTTGCTAACTTTTATATGCTTCGTTCTTTATATAGAGCCTGGCAAATGGGAAAGTATCCATGATATCACTGAATGTTACTAACAGCTATCCCTAACAATGCCCTCAGTGTATACCAGGCACTGTTGAAAGTGCTTGACATGGAAGAAGTTATTTAATCCTCACATAATCCTGTAAGGTAGGCACTAGTATTATACCCATTTTACAGATGAGAAAGTTGAGGCACAGAGATATTAAGTGACTTGTCCAAAGTAACAAAGAAAGAGGGGGCCAATGCCGGGCTTTGGACTCACATAGTCTGGCTTTAGAGTCCACACATTTAGTTAGTATGCCACATGGCCTCTCAAAAACCATTTAGGAGAAAGATTTGGAAATTCTATTGGAAATTAAATGATGGGGAAGGTTTTAAGCCTGGGTTGGTGGGAAGACAGGTGAACAGTTGTTTTAGGGGGTAAGAGGATGTACTTCATTGGGTCATCTATGGTCTCTCTGTTTCCTCCAGAGAGAAGGCATATGCTTCAGGCCTCAAGTATCAGCAGACGTGCAGCTCTGAACATCAGTAGGTGGTTTGTGTGTACATGTTTTCTCTTTTTTTCCCTACAGTGTATTTACACTCAAGATTGAGATAAACATCCATTTGCTTTAACACATGTGAAAATACCTTAGCAACTTCCTGCAGCTCTGGTCTGTTGCTAAGCAGTGACCCTACTGCTACCATGGCAACATCAGAGACTCCGGAGTGCTGCTGGTACCAGCCTCCTGTTCCTGACAAGACTTTGGGAAACTGTTAGCAGGGCCTTAGGAGCACTTTTGCTCTTGGGGGGCAGCCTTGCTCTATTGCTCGTTGGCACTGAGGGAAGCTCTCTGGGGAGAGGAGCCCACCAATGCTTGGCTGACAAGACCTCAGTCATGTCTGATGTGGCTTCACCTTTGCTGCCGTCTTCGTATCACTAGGGGAGCCCTGTGGAGTGGGGTGGAGTTCAAGATGGATTCTCAAGAAGTTATAGGAAGCTCTTTATCAATTCAATTCCTGAGAAGGGCCCACTTCAGGTACCTCCACCCAGCAGAGAGGAGCTATGGTACACCTTGGGGTGTGATCAGGCGAGACGACTATGTCCCTCAAGGGTTCTCAGTAGAAACAGAATCTTGCTCAGAGGTTTAGGAGACTTCACTGAAGGAACTGCTTACAGCAGTGTAGGCAGGACCAGGGGAACAGGTGATGGGTAGTGATGCCCCTGAAATAACAGCAGGAAGCCATTACCACCCCGAGCACTGAAGGGACAAGAGGAGGAAATGGCTTTATAGAAATGATATTCCAGTTTTAAAGCTGGTACCATGGAGCAGGGGCCACTCAGCAGAAGAGACAGTATGGGATGCAAATATTGCGAGAGATACAGCTCTGAGGAGGAAGGAGGAGAGTGAACAGCTGAAACTCATCTGTCATCCTTTGATCTTTGCCAGTGTGTCCCTTTAGCCAGATGGAACTGGAAACAGGCCACAAGGTAGCCCAGGTATTGTAGTCTGTGAGGGTATCAGCCTCTTGAGTACAGAGCAGAGATGGGAGAATAATGAATTTGGCGGGTGTGTATGATCTATAAATGTGGGGAAGGGAAACAGGCTAACTAACATGGCTGGGTTAGCTTGACTGGGAGCAGGCGGGCTGGGAGGAACAGAAACTCCAACAAGGTCTACCTGTGGGGTAGGATGAGACCCTAAGAGCAGAGCCAGCCACAGACACTGGAAGGAGCCATGTTTAACAGGGGGCATAGCATCTGGGATAACGAGTAGTCAACATGATGGAAGCCCAACATCCCACTGCCCTAAATGACCCTATAATAGCACTCTCCCTGACCCACAGGCAAGGCTGAGGGAGCTTTATAGGAAGTGTCTGGCCTCTGGGTTGCACAGCTGAATCATATCCCTTCAGGTTCTTCTAAACCTTCCTGTTACCTCCTCCACTTGGCCTTCCATTGGTCTCAATCTGACTGTTATTTCTCAGCCCAGTTACCTTGGATGGACAAAGTTTAGACCAGAACAGCATCAGCACTACCTGGGAACTTATTAGAAGTGCATATTTGCAAGGCCCCAGCTCAGACCTGCTTAATCAGAGGCATTTGGGTTAGGGCCCAACAATCTGTGTTTTAGCACTCTCTCCAAGTGATTCTGCTACACTCTGAAGTTGTGAAATAACTTCAACACCAAAACACTGAAGTTTGAGAACTAGTGATTTGGATTGTGTGATTAGCTTGCAACCCTCCATTTAACCTGAATGATGCTCCTACTGTCTTCTCTGGCTCATTGTTCTGCAGCCTCTGGCTAGCTCCACACATTCTTATGTTCTGTTCTAGCTTGGAGAGTTCCCACCAGGGATCAGAGACTTGGGCACCCATTTGCCTGAGAAGAAAGTTTGGAGAGAAGTAATCTAGGGAATTATGAGCAATTCAGGTGCTTGGACATAGGTAGTTAGCTGTTAGGTCCCAGCTGCAGAATTGGGATTCAGAGGTAGGACACTCTGAACTAGCAGGGGCAAGCTGATGAGCAAGTCAGGGGCTCCAGCATAGGGTGTGATGAGAGGCAGTCCTTCACAGATCTCTCCCATTTCTGCACATTCTGGAGACAAGCACCAACTTCCCTTTGCTCTGAACTATCTTTTCAAGGGTGTTTGTGTAGTGAACAGCCTGGAAAATAGAGATTGTATTTCTTTCTGGAGCAAAGAGCAGTCATAGCTATTGACCCTTATAAAGATTTAAGTTTCCTAAGTTCAGGGTTTCTATCTTATAATACAACCCACTGTGTGTGCAAGTGCCATCTGGCCTTCTTTATGTTGCCTTGTAGACACTGGGGCCTAGGGAACTGGTGCAAAAAATAATGATACACTGGCTGCTGCAATTACTGTAAGTAGTAAACTGCCTCTTGTCTCTGACCCTGGAGTCTCATATCTTCTATAAGTAATCATGAAAATATGGCAGGCTAACTTGTTACCTTGTAAGTATTATAAAATATCAGGCTCTTCACAGTTCTTGAGAGGCACAAAGTAGGCCTGAGCCTCAAGAAAGAAGGGGATGGACAAGCAGCAAATATGACCGAGAGCAGCAAAGCTAACCTGGGTCAGGGTTAGTGCTAGGGGTAGGGCAGAGCTGTGTGGGGTCACAGGGCTCTACCTGGTGGAAAAGGAGGGAAGAAGAGACCAGGATTCAAGATACCCTTTTAGGTAACAGTACCAATAAAGATAATAGACTTAATAGGCTGTGCTACTCCATTTGTGCTGCTATAATAGAATACCATGATCTAGGTAATTTATAAAGAATATAAATTTATTTTCTCGCAGTTCTGGAGGCTGGGAACTCCAAGATCAAGGTGCCAGCAGGCTTGATTGTCTGGTGAGGGAGGGCTGTGTCCTCTGGTGGGGAGAAATGCTGTGTCCCAACACAACATAGGGGCAAGAAGGGACAAGCCCCCTCTGTCAAGCCCCTTTATAAGGATACCTAATCTCATTCATGAGGGAGGAGCCCTCATGGCCTAATTGCTTCTTAAAGGCCCCACCTCTTTATACTATCACCTTGGCAACACCTGAATATTGGAAGGACACATGCAAACCTGCCTGCACATTTGAAACATCTGAAGAGCTTTAAAAAAAAAACAACTATAACCGATGCCTGGGTCCTGCCTCCACAGATTCTGATCTCATTGGTAGCAGAATATGGTTGGCTACCAGCTCATCAGGTAGTCCTAAAATTCAGCTATATATGAGAACCATGGATCTATACTAGCTGTCTCTTTTTACCCATGAGGGAACTGAGGCTCAGAGAGTTGAAGTGACTTGATAAAAGGTCTGTTTGCTTTGAATTTTTCTAGGCTGAATTTCTAGATCCCAGGCTTTGTGTCTGGCTCAAGCCCTCAGAGCCATGGATGCTGCTTTCTGTGGTTCAGAACCTAGACTTGACTCTGGCCAGAGTCTCACCTAAAACTTGACCAACAGAGGCATTCTCAGTGTAGTGCATCAATACTGTGACCCAGAGGGAAATCTTTTGCTTTATCTAGTCAAGTAGGAGTCTGGGTTGCTAAGCAACCAGACACTCTTAGGCAGTTGTGCTGCTCTGTGGTGGTGCTTTGCATGTTAAGGCTTCTGGGGTGGTTTCTAGAGGCCCACAAGAGTTCTAAGGGGCAGCACATGGGAGCTTAGCGTGCTCCCATGTGATCCCTATGTGTGTGCTCCCCAAAAATGGGGGTGCGAGTTCACTTCCATTTTTGCCTTACTTTCAGGGATGTTACAGTGCAGACAAAGATTCTGGTGCCTCACAAGATTTGACACAAGCCAGCGCTTTGTTGTTTTTCTCACCTGTTGGCCAGAAGATTATCTTGGAGCAGGAAAAGGTTTGTTTTAGTTTTGGCCTGAAGGCCTCTTATAATTTTTTAAATTTAGAAAGAATTTCAAACTCACTGAAAATTACAAGAATAAGAACAGTACAAAGTGTGCCCTGATTCCTCTATTTTTAACATTTAATCCATTCGCTTTATGATTTGTCATCTCTTTTTCTCTTTCTCTGTCTCTCTCTGTATTGTATGTGTGTGATATATATTCTTTTTTTTTTTTTGAGATGAAGTCTTGTTCTGTTGCCCAGGCTGGAGTACAGTAGCATGATCTCAGCTCACTGCAACCTCAACCTCCAGGGTTCAAATGATTGTTATGCCTCAGCCTCCCCAGAAGCTAGGATTACAGGGGCAAGCCACTAAGCTCGGCTAATTTTTGTATTTTTAGTAGAGACGGTGTTTCACCATGCTGGCCAGGCTGGTCTCGAACTCCTGACCTTAAGTGATCCGCCTGCTTCGGCCTCCCAAAGTGCTGGATTACAGGTGTGAGCCACCGTGCCCAGTCGGCTCAAACTATATATTCTTTAACCGCATGAAAATAAGTTGTATATATTGTGATCCTTTACCCTGAAATATTTCAGTGTAAAGTGTCTTAAAAGAGGGGGTATTCTTTTTCTCATTCTCTTACAGAACCACCTGTGTAACCACAGGTTCGTTATCAACCTCAATAAGCTTAGTATTAATATATGTTTATCTAATCCATTTTCTGTATTCCAATTTTGTCAGTTAACCCTATAATGACCTTTGGAACACTTTTTCCCACCAAGGCAGGATCCAAACTTGGGATAATGTATTAAATTTTATCGTCTTGTTTCTTTAGTCTCCTTTAATCTGAAATATTCTCATAGCCTTTCATGTTGGGTTTATCCTTTGCTTTGTCATCGTGGATTTGGGCTATTCGTTCCAGGTCAGAATGCTACCTAAGTGATGCTGTGCTGCTCTCAGGGTATTACAACTAGAGTCACACAATGTCAATATGCTCCTTCTTAATTTTGATCAACTGGTCAAGGTGTTGTTCAATTTCCCCACCATATAGTTACTATTTTATCCTTTGCAACTAATAAGCAATTTAAGA
Organism: Homo sapiens; assembly: GCF_000001405.40. Lineage (NCBI taxonomy): Eukaryota > Metazoa > Chordata > Mammalia > Primates > Hominidae > Homo > Homo sapiens. The sequence goes on from NC_000011.10 coordinate 112,486,852, forward strand.
CCATACAAGCATCAAAACTCCCCGCTGGATTTAGCATCCTATTGATAATTCTTGCCTGAACCAATCTTTACTCTGAAGGTTTCATAATGATTTCCCAACTCCAACATCCTGAGAGCTCTTATTAATAAACTATGAAAGAGGCTTCCTGGCAAGATTCATTTTTGACTTTGGGAGGCAATTTGAGGCTGCCGAAAAGGCACCCCTGTTTCTTTGTCTCTAGGCAGGGGCTGCACATAGTGTCTGCCCATGAAGTTCACTCCCTCCAAGCATGCTGCACCTGCCTGATTTGGGTTTTAAATCTCTGCTTGGATACATGTTTTAATCTCTATGTTATACAGGGTTCTGAATAGTGAATTCATCTTATAATCATTGGCATTAGCAAAGCGTTTCTGAGTTTTGGGGTAATGCATTCATTTGTTTATTCATTTAGGTTAGGTGGTTAAGAAGGATTTGAGAGTCTGTAATTACCATGCAGGGCACTAGGTGCTGGGCAGAGTGGTGAATAAAACAGGCATGGAGCCTATCATCAAGAGGCTTAAAGTCTAGTGGGGAAGACAGACATTGTGCAGGTAATTGATAGTACACTAAATTTTACAACAGGGCAAGTAGATTGCCTTCTGAGCATTTATCAGCAGAAGCTAACCTAATCTGGGGGCAGGGCAAGCCCTTCCTGAGGAAATGAAATGATGAGTTATAATGATCTTGGCAGAAGTGGGTGAGGTGGGAGCAGCAAGTGCAAACTCCCAGAAGCGACAGAGCATGGTGTGTGCTCCCATCTAGATGGCTGGGTGTGGGGGCAAGGGCTGGGTGGCTCATGAGAAGACTGAGAAATGGGTCAGATCCAAATTATGGATCTTTTGGATCCAAGCCTTTTGAGTCTTGATAAAGATTTTGGTTTTTATTCTAGGAGCCAAGAGAAGCCTCTGAAGGATTGTAAACAGAAGAATGATCCAATTGTGTTTGTAAATTAAAAGGTCACCCTGGCTGCTTTGTGGGAAATGGATCTGAATGGGTGGGAAAAGAATGAAGCCAGGTAGAAGTTGGGAAATCAGTTAGGAGGCTGTAAAGAAGTCCAAGTGGAAGATGATGATGGCCCAGCTAGGACGGCAGCCGAATGAATGGGAGAAGGTTTATCAATTCCTCTGATTTTCCATCTCTCAATAGGGATCGTGGATGCTGTATGAAGCTTAAATTCCTAAGAACCATAGACACTGTTCAAACACAAGACAGTGCCCCATTAGAGGAATGAAGCTCTCAATCTAGGTGGGAAACACATAGAATCCTTAAGAAAGAAGCTTACTCGTATTTACAAAGAATAGCCAAGCATGGACCGTGGTCTTCCTTGTAGTTAATGAGTTAGGTTTGCTGGGTAATAGCTCACTTGCTCCTTTCTATTTTTACAAAAGCAGATGATTCTGTTACTAAGTATTCCACAGTTTAATTTGATCTGCGTGTCCATTTGCACTTCAGAAGTATTATGGACATGGCCAATTTTGGCTCCCAGACAATACAAAATTATCATGGAATCTTCTCCCCCAGCCCAGCATTCTTTGCTTTGTCTGCAGTTTTTATGGCACATGATATTTTCCCATTAACTTTTATTAGATCCATAATTTTTTTATTAGCATTGAGTAATAACTGTTTTCAGTGGCCCCACTCTTCCGAGGAGTCCTTGATTAGTAGTCCATGATAACAGTTGCTAAATTGAAGTTTCTTCTGCCAGCATTTCACCCGCAATAAATCCAACTATTCTACCTCATCTTGCTTAAAAAGCCATGAAATTCCCAGACATTATCAGAAAAATGACCACAGTCAAAGTGCTCTAAATGGAGATGGAAATTAAGCTCTTGCCTATTTGAATCAAGATGTTTCATAGTTATGGGCTGAGAGTGAGAACTTTCAACTCAAGTGAAAACTCTCCTCACTTCTCCTCTCTGCAGGATTTCTCTTATTAGGGAGATTGTTTATTGATCCACAGTTCCAGATTGGGACTGTGTCTGATGGACAAAAAGGAATTGTTTTAATATTAGCAATAGTAGTTGTTTTTCTTCCCTCATATTAAGGATGAAATGAGCATCAGGTGGGAACTTGCCCAGAGCAGAGTAGGATATGGGGCTAGCTGCTCTTGGAGATATGTTGTCCGGTTCAAAAATCTCTCATCTTGTGCTTCCAGTGAAGTTTCTGTTACCTAAATTTAGTGTATCTAATATTTAGTGTGCCTAGTATCAGTTCAGTTCAATTCAATTTGATAGGAGATTTTTGATATTTCTTACGTTGTGGCCAGCCAAGATCCCTATATTCATTAGGATTGGTTAAACTACAAGTGACAGAAACCCCCAAATTTCTCTCATGTAAAAGAAGTGTAGAGATTGAGAATCCAGGATTTACTGGACAAGTTACAAAGTGGTCAGGACCTAGGCTGATATCTTGCTGCTGGGACATCCTCAACATGTAGCTTTCAGCTCATGATTCAAGATGGCTGCCTGAGATCTAGCCATCTGTATTCTAACAGTAGAAAGGAAGAAGGGAAAAACAAAGTCATGCCGCCTTCCTTTAAGGACACTTCCAGGGAGTTCCACGTGACCCTTCCACCTAAATCCATTGGCCAGAATTGACTCATATGGGCATATCTATCTGTAAAGGAGGCTAGAAAATAAATATTATTATTCCAGGCACCTTGTGCTGAGCCAAAATGTTGGGGATTCTATTACTAAGGAAGAATAGGAGAATCCATTTTGGGGGACATCTAATAGGATCTAACAACAGATATTCAAGCTATCTTCTCTAGATTTTTTAAGAGCTCCCCATTTGTTCTTGAGTATTCAGGAAACCAATTTTAAAACAGATGCTTCCTGTCTTTGGAAAAATGAGGTTCAAATTTCACAATCCAAAGACTGGAAACTGAGCAAAGAAATGCTTCTGGTATATATATAGCTGATGACTTTGAGAAATACTAGGATACACAGCAGCTTCAAACAATTATCCATCATCCATCTATCCATCCATCCATCCTTTTGACACATTTATTGAGTACCTGCTATATGCCAGACCCACGCTCATGGCTTAGAAAAAGCATATGATGAATAAGTTATTTCTCACACTCAAGAAACTCATGATTTGGTGTAGGAAAATGGTAGGTAAATTAATAATTTCAGGTGATAAATGCTATAATAGAGATAATCATTCATTTACTTTCCCATTCAACAAATACTTTTTGAATACCTACTATGTACTAGGTGCTCTGCTAGACACTGAAGATACAGAAATAAAAAGTCAAGTTCTCTACCAAAAAAAAGTAAAATGCAGAGTGATAAAAGGATCTAGTGGAGGCATGGCTGGGAACAATGGGAACTTGTGGAGGGTAAGCTTACTTCTGCCTGGTTGAGTCAGAAAATGCTCCAGGAGGAGGTAACTGCTGAACTAAAGCATGAAGGAGGAGTAGAGCTTTGCCAATACAAACTTGAGCCTTTTCCTTCTGCCCATTAAGCATTGATAGAATTACCCACCTTTACTTTCCTGCTTATATGTAATTCAATATGTCATGGGTGGGTGGTATTTGGTACCAATCTATACTAGAGACTTTGAATGATTCTGCTACCCAACTGGGTACAAAAAGGTATTTACTTGGTAAGGTTTCTTGTGTGAATGGGTAATAGGAGATATTTCCAATTTTGCTTGGTTTTAAGCAGAGTTGTGATGGCAATATTTTAAATCCGTCTTGGGTCTAGAGGGCCTGACAAATGCATTTCCACCATGGCAAGGAACTGGAAACCAAAAATGATTGTGTCTCAAATGAAATGAAGAGTCTGACAAAATATGTCCTATCAATAGAATGAAATTAGTTATCTGTCAAAATGCATTTGTCCTCTAAATAACCATCCATATGTTTTATGTTTTGGTATTAAATAGACATTCATCAGTTTATCACACTAGCGCTGTCAGAGACCCAGCAATTTGGAACAGAATTTTAAAGATCCTTCTAAAGCAATAACCTAGGAAGAATTTTGGAGGGTTTGTTTTTCTTATTTCTCATTTCTTTTCCATTTCTTCTTTTGATTCCTTTGGCTCCCTTCGGAGCCTGCCGTTTATTACTAAAGAGAGGAGGATCATCTATTTAAATCAATCCAATAATACTATGTTCCAAGGCATTAATTCCTGCCTGCAATCCGCTCCTTGCAGAGAGTGTTGTTTGCCTCCTCAGCTTTCCGTCTTCAGGTGTGGCCTGTGAAGGGGAATGCTGGGTTTGTGACCACTGAGTGCATGAGGTGTGGGCTCCCTTTGGCTCTGTAGCTTCCTTACTGAGAAGTGTGGCCCTGAATCAGGCAGAAGAGGGGGAATGGGTAGGGGGGGTTTGCTGGGAACTCTCCCTCTCTAGTCTGGGCCACTGTCCTTTCTGATTTGTCTGGGAAGTGGGTTATAGGCAGTAAAAATATAGTTCCAAGGGGGCAAGCCAGAGGGCTAGTGAGTCTGCAAGCCTCAATGGTGGGTATTTCAGTCTGTTTCTGGGTAGGGAACTGGCTGCTAAAATGATTACTATCTTGTCAAGCATTTTGTCCATTGAAGAAAACTCATGTAACTTTGCAGACAGAAGCACATTTTGACCAAAGCCCAAAACTATCCATTTAGATAAACCCTAGAATTAATGCTGTGGTTATTAGCGTTAGTATTTGCCCAGGACAGAAATTCATTATAAATAAATGGTTTAGGAGTCAAGCCAGCTGAAGCTCCCCTGGAAGAAGGAAGAACCATGTGGAATTTAAATGACATTTTCACGATGGACACACTGCATTTCCTGAAGCAGGGAGGAACATCGGCCTCCTCTGTTGGTCCCTTCTCCTCTCAGGAGTTACACTCCCAGAGCCTCTGTTACTTGTGCTCTGGAGTGGTGTTTTCAAACCCCGATGGAGGCAGGGTGGGAGGACAGAAAGCAGGCATGAAAGGAGACAGTAGGAAAACCAGGTCCAGACTCTTTGGGAATTCAGGTTTTAGATCTACATTCCTAGGGGAGAAAAAGAGAGAAGAATGGCCAGAGAAGAAATAGATGAATGGAAACATAACATTAATTGCCTACATCGGACTCTCTGGATCTTGGCTTCAAACTCTTCATTTCATCTCTGCTCTCTGTATTTACCTGTCCCCATCCCAGCACACCTGGTCACATTGGTCAAAGCAAAGTTCCCAGCAGGACAGACCTTAGTGCTTCAAGCTCCACCTGCTTACTGTGAAAAATTTATTTCTATTCTAAGGGTCCCAAACATATAAAATTCCTAACGATGTTTGCAGCAATATTGTAATTAGCACTTACTCATTACAGTATCATTATTTGTTAGGGATTTGGATTATCCATAAGACAATACTTTGTTTTTTTTTTGAAGAAAAGTAGTTGACATTTTCATCTTTACAACCCAATCCCCTAGCACAGTGCCTACTCCGATGCTTTGATCCTACTATTTTGACCCCACAGTTATGGCACTTTGTTAAGTGTCAAACAATGCATTTTGACACCACCAATCAAAATGAGAGCTGTTGATACCACTACGTGATCAGAGGTTTGTTCTTGGCTTTTTTAGTGACTTGGAGAAGTAATATACATCTCGCCAAGTTTTCAGAAGGACACCAAAATTTGGCTTCAAAATATGATAGACCACTCTTGGACCACAGAGTGAGCCTGAAATATCTCAGGAAGAATGTTTATAATTTTTTCATGGGTTAACTCTAAAACACTGTAGCCAAATCATAATAAACATCCATGATTGAAATAACACGAAATAAAACTGACAGCAACTAAAACCACACATGGTTTATTGGTAAGGATCCACATGATACAATTGAGATATACAAAACCAGATTAAAGAAGACTGGAATTGTTCAAAATGGTGGCAAAGGAAGCTTCCTAATGGTAGAAATAATAACTAGTCATGTGATATGGACAAAACTTAATCAAATATTTATTTAAAATGTTATATAGAAAATGATTTTGATAAAGATTGATTTTGTTAAATGAAAATATGTAAAGAAAAATGGAAATGGTTTAATAGTGACAGTATGTAAAACTGAGGATTTAAATGAACTCAAGAGCATGCATAACTGAAAAGACTTGCTCTCTGGAAGTTTAGCAATGTTTGTATAATTATGAATTAAATGTATGAATTGATAAACATGAAGAAAAATGTCTCCAGAGTCAGGGGTAAAACTGTAGGTGAAAAGGTAGGGTAAAAACAGTAGAGCCCCCAAATTCTATATTTTCCCTGGCATGCACTCAATAGAAATATAAGTAAGCACTCTCCTTACTATAAAAAGCATAATTTAAAAAAACCTTTTTGCTTTTTATCTCATTCCCTTTTTTTCTTCAAAAAAAAAAAAAGTGAATAGGCAATACAAATAGTACAAAGATATGTGGACAAAGTCAATCTCCTTCTACTTCTGACGCAGTCCCTTATTTCAGTCCCTAAAGGCCATTTACCAATTTGTTGTTTGTCTTTCCAAAGACAGTCAATACCAGCGTTCTTCAAACTTTTTTGTCTATAACCCAGAATAAAAAATACGCTTCCCATTTGTCTTAGTCTGTTTTGTGTTGCTATAGCAGAATAGCAGAGACTAAGTAATTTATAAAGAAAGAAACTTATTTGGCTTATAGTTCTGGAGGGTGAGAAGTCTAAGGTTGAGGGACAACATCTGGTGAAGGCCTTTCTCCCTCATCCAATGTTAGAAGGTGGACAGTGGAAGGACAAGAGAGTGTGAGAATAAGGGAACAAGAGGGGGCCACACTTGCTTTTATAACGAGTCCACTCTTGAGATAATTAACCCACTCTTGTGATAATGACATTTATCCATTCATGAGGGCAGATCCCCCATGACCTAATCAACTCTTAACCTTCGCTCCTCTCAACACTGTTGCATTGGGCATTAAGTTTCCAACACAGGAACTTTGGAGGACACATTCAAACCATTAAAAACCCACTAGCAATTATATAACTAACAAAAGTTGCACCAAACAATACTTACCTTTACTATATATGATAAAGAAAAACATAATAAAATTAATATCAAATGATCTAATCAGTATTTAAATAAAACATATAAAAATCTCCAAATAAAATATACAGGCACTAAGGAATCTTGGTTGCAATTTACTAAATTGATTTTGCCAACTATAAATGGATTGCTACCTAACTAGAAAATCGCTGATCTTCTCCATTTAAAAATATGTATTTATATACTCCACTTAAAAAAAGAGATATTATAGAATATTATACACACTGTTCTGCATTTTTCCTTTTGCATTTAACATTTTGGAGATTGTTCCATATTAATATATATAGGTCTACTTTCTTTTTCTTTTTGTTTTTTTTTTTTGAGACAGTCTCGCTCTATCGCCCAGGCTGGAGTGCAGCAGCTCAATCTGGCTCACTGCAGCCTTCGCCTCCTGGGTTCAAGTGATTCTCCTGCCTCAGCCTCCCGAGTAGCTGGGGCTACAGGTGTGTGCCACACCACGCCTGGCTAATTTTTGTATTTTTAGTAGAGACAGTTTCACTATGTTGGCAAGGCTGGTCTTGAACTCCTGGCCTCAAGTGATCCACTGGCCTTGGCCTCCCAAAGTGCTGGGATTACAGGCAAGAGCCAGGGTGCCTGGCCTGCTTGATTTTGTTAATGGCTACATTAGATTCCATTTTATTAATGTATCGGAATGTATATAGATTCCTATTAATATGCATTCTGATTTTTTTCTTTTGCTACTGTAAATAATATGACAGTAAACATCATTGTATACACTATCTGATAAATTTTTAGATGTGGAATTTTAAGTTTTATCTTATTTTTTCATAAATTATTGGGGTACAGGTGGTATTTGGTTACATAAGTAAGTTCTTTAGTGGTGATTTGTGAGATTTTGGTGCACCCATCACCAGAGCAGTATACACTGCACCATATTTGTAGTCTTTTGTCACTCAACCTCTTCCCACTCTTCTCCCAAAGTCCATTGTATCATTCTTATGCCTTTGCATCCTCATGGCTTAGCTACCACATATCAGTGAGAACATACAACGTTTGATTTTCCATTCCTGAGTTACTGTACTTAGAATAATAGTCTCCAATCTCATCCAGGTCTGGAATTTAAAATTTTGACAGATATTGCCAAGCTGTCATCCAAAGAGGTTGTACTGTTTAGAACTCCTAAGAGCAGTGCATTAGAGTGCCTGTTTCCCTAGTATATTATCAAATGTATTGTTCTATGCCAATTTAGTAGGCAAAAAATGAAATCTCATTGTGATTTTTACTTTGCATTTCCTTTAATGTGAGTGAAATTGAGCATCCTTTCACATGGTTAAAAGTTGGTTGCATTTTTTTTCCTGTAATAATGTTTTTCATTATTTTTTTCCATTTGGCATTTTCACTTTTTTTCAATTGACTTGTTTAGAACTCTACTTTTATGATGAATATTAATCCTTTGTTATATTTTTTCCTTCCTTACTGCTTGCTTATTTTTACTTGGTTTATGGTATTTTTGTTATGAAGACATTTAACGTTTTATGTTAACAAAGTTTATCCACTTTTTTCATGTGTTCTGGGCTTAGTGTTATGCTTAAAGAAGTCTTTGCTATTAAATTATGTTAAAAAATTCTCTTGTGTTTTCTTCTGGTACTCTTATGATTTAGGTTTTTCATTTAAATATTATATCCATCTGAAATTTATTTTGGTATAAATAAATGAAGAAGGGATTCCTTTTTTTTTTCTTTAAGATGGCCTAGCTAGTTAGCCCAAACCATATATTGAGTAATTAATCTTTTTCACACTGCATTGAAAAACTACCTCTACGTACAGCAAATTCTTATGTATATTTGGGCCTACTTCTAATTTTTTGATTCACTTCCATTCCTTTGGCTATTAATTGTTATGCCAGTGGAAGACAATGTTAACTATGACTTTGCAGCATATTTTAATATCTGGTAGGGCTAATACCCCATGTTGTGCTGAACTCCAGTCAACTCCAATGGGGACAGGACCAGATTCAAGAGGCCCAAGAAGAGACCCAGAGTCAGCGAGCTAGACATGGGATTTTACTGGGGACATACCTACAGGGGATTGAGTCCAGTAGCAGTGGGGTGGGCAGGAGAACCGCAATCACTTGCAAAAGTCATGTAGTTTACATTAAAAGTCTTCATAACAAAAATACCATAAACCAAGTTTTCACTCAGTGCCCTCCCCCTAACAACCTCCACCTGTCAACCTTCACTCAAAGCCCAAAACAAATGGACTCATTTCCACAGGAGCGTGCTGGAGCTCAGATGTTCCTCATAGATAGGAAATGCATCTGGGGATTGGCCACTGCCTGATTCCTTAGCTGGGAACTGTGAACTGTATTCAGGTGTGTCTGCCTTACAGGGTCGTTCTCAGAGTATGCTTAAGTTATTGCTATCAGGTGCGTTTACCGTATACCACCCCTCCCCTCCACTCTACCAGGCTGCTACTCTACCAGGAATATTGTGGCCCTTCTTGCATTTTATTTTTTTATTTGAAATTCACAGTCTGATATGGTTTGGCTGTGTCCCCACCCACAATCTTATCTTGAATTATAATCCCTATAATCCCCATAGTCCCTATGGGTCTAAGGAGAGACCAGGTGGAGGTAATTGAATCATGGGGGCAGGTTCCCTCTTTCTGTTCTCATGATAGTCAGTGAGTTCTCACGAGATCTGATGGTTTTGTAAGTGTGTGGTAGTTCCTCCTTTGTTCCTTTTCCTTCCTGCCACCTTGAGAAGAAGGTGCTTTTCTTCCCTTTCACCTTCGGCCATTATTGTAAGTTTCCCGAGGCCTCCCCAGCCATGCTGAGTGGTGAGTCAATTAAACCTCTTTCCTTTATAAATTACTCAGTCTTGGGTAGTATCTTTATAGCAGTATGAAAACTGACTAATACGCAGTCCACCTGAGGACTCTACCCTCCCTTTTACTCCTTCCCCTGTTGTTTTGGTATTGACCATGTTGAGTTTATAGATTAATGCAGGAAATGAACATTTTTGTAAGGAGTCTTTCTCTCCAAGAAGAGGGACTGTATTTATGTTTATTTAAACCTTTTCTTTTCCTTTACATGGTTAAAGTTCACTTCATATAGAGCTTACATATTGCTTGTTAAGTTTTTTTTGAAATATATTTTCTTTGGATTATAATTCTAAATGGGATCTTTTCTTCCATTATATTTTCTGATTGGTATTTATTTCTGGAAAAGCTATTGAATTTTGTATATTAATTTTGTAAGCAGTTATCACAGTCTTATTGTTTGGGTACTCTTTAAGTTGATTCTCTTTGGTTTTCTAAATAAACAATTATAATATTGGAAAGTAACAATAATTTCTCTCCTATCCAATTTTAATCTTTGGTTTCTTGTGGTTTCAAAAAGGCACTGAAATTATGGGGTTTTATTGTAAGATGTTTTTCCAGCCTGACTTGAAGAATGGTCAGGCATCTGTATCAGGAGTCTTGACTGCTGAACCCCTAGTGAGACATGGTAGAAAGATGTTATAAGAAAGGCCTTTGGCTCCGAACTGCTGGGTTCAAATACTAGCTCCACCATTTATGAGCTATGTGATCTTAGGCAAGTTATGTAACCTTTCTGTGGCTCAGTTTGTTAATTTATAAAATAATAGGATCTATCTCACAGGATGTTAGGAGGATTAAACAAGTCAATATACATAAAAGTACTTAGTAATGTCATTAGCATATGGAAAGCTGCAAAGCATTCAAGTGTTGGTTAATATTGTCAATAGAACCAATAGTCATAGATACTCTGGCAAAGCTTAACTCTACAAAAATATATAAAATATTTACTAGATCCTTAAACCATAAAGAATCCCCAAACTCTTCAGCATTTTTCCATAATTAAAACTGGTTCTCTATAAAGAATCTGATAAGTCTGATAAACTTATTTACATTAAGGCATATATGACCTCTAGATATTAAAATAGTGTCCTCCTTTTCATGGGGACTTGTCTTGGACTGGAGGCAAAGCCTGAAGAAACAAGGCATTCCAGAGGGACCAGCTCCCCCTGAGAAGCCAGTTGACATCAGAGATTTGGTGATCATTCTGTAATTCAACAGCTGTTAATGACCGGGTGCACCAAATGACACAAAGATAGTAAGACTGTTTCCTCCACTGAGGAAAACACAGTCCAATACCTGAGATAGATGCTCATACAGCTAACATTTGCTTTGCAGGTGTCTCAGTTTGTTTTAGACACTTTGGGAGGACCAGCTCAACAAACCATTAGGGATCTCTTGTATGAGGCAACAAACTGTCTGAGGGTTTCACCCTATGGCAAGAGTTTGAGGTATGAGAACATGATCCCAGGGAAGAGGTGAGGAATAATTTCAGTGTCTACCGCTCAACAATCACAGATACCATTTATTGAGCTCTTGTTATGGACTAGATCCTTTAGATATGTGGTTATTACCTCCTTTAATCCTCTCTATACCCCCCAGAAGAATGCATTAGGGGCTTCAGTTAGCAGTTAAGAAAACAAAGGTCCAATGGGCTGAAATCCTTGCCAAGGCTAACCGAGTGGTAAATGGCAGAACTGGGATTTGAACTGGTGACTGTCTATCATGTCACCATGCTTCATTCTGATTGTCTTCTAACTTAGTTCACATGGGCTTATGTCAGATTTCTAAGTGAGGGGGCTGGCTGTACTAGTGGGGGAGTAAGAACTGGAAATGGTCGTTGGCTCAAATCTCTGAGACATCAGTGCTTAACTCTACTTTGTAGCTCATGTTGAGTTAGCCTAGTAAGGTTATGTAGGTTGTTCACTGCATAAGGGCACCTAGCTGAAGGGGCTGAAATCCAGCCTGAGCTGCACTCGACAAGGGCAATTTGGTGGGAGCTGCATGCATTAGAAGGGGCAAACCTCTTTCCAGTTCATACCATGGCAATGTCTGGAATAACTGCAGCCCTGACTCAGAACGCAGCACACATGGGGGTTATTACTACTTTCCTCACTTGGGGTGGCCACTGGAGCACATAAATAACACATTGCCGTGGGCAGTGGACCAAATAGCTTTCAGGTATGTCTAGGGATGACTGTTCTGCCCCAGGCTCTGTAAATGAATTCGTTGGTTCATGATGCCCTGCTTCTGGCATTCTCACTCAAACTCCCCCCTCTCCCCTCCCCGCAACAGGTTGGGAGTAAATTCAAGGCTCTGATCTTACCCAGGAGACAGGGGAAATAAACCAGAGAAAGCTGCTGAGTGATTTTGTTGGGTGGTTGTGGGGGACACGCAGGTTATATACCCATCCTTAGAATAAACCCAAAGATGTGGGAGTGCAGAGGAGGGGAGCTTGCCCAGAGGAGGTGACAGGAGAGCTTGGCCTTGAAGGGTAGGGAGGTGTCTCCTAGGCAGAAAAGGAGTGGCTGGCATGGGCACCTTCAGCGGCAGGAGGGGAGGTGGTGAAATGGACCAGCAAACCACCTTATTTTTTCAGAGAAAGTCCAGTGGTAGGTAGCCTGGCCTCAAACAAATGTCTTGCTTCCACCCGCCCTGGGGCAGAGGCTGGGAGATGTGGGAGAGCAGCCCACTTGGCTCAGAGGGCAGCCTGCCCTGCAGACAGAGCCCTGGTGACTGGCTTTCAAGCCCAGCGTGGGAAGGCCCCAAGGAAGCACACGAGGAAGTGGGTACATCAGCATGAGAGCAGGAAACGTTTTCATTCACAGACGCTGTGGATAAATCCCAAAGAGAGAGCTAGCAAAAGAGGGAGCTTTTTTAAGTTTAAAGAAAAAAAAATAATAAAAGGTCCGTAAATCAGAAGGCTCTGACAAGCTACCCAGGAAATACGCAATTACAGAGCAATCAGCCAGTGCAGGGATCTCAACATAGCCATTGTGTGTGCCTCTGCTGTTCCAGAGGACAAAAGGAGCCAGCACGGCTGGGGATCAAGGCGAGGCGGGCGCGCCCACACCTTGTGGGAAGCGGAGGCGGCCACCGCGTGCAGGAAGGGTCTCCCAGGTGGCCGGAGAACCCACAGGCGTGTACGGACAAGGTGCCCTGGGTGCCCTGGCTGACCCCTGGTCAGCCCGGCCAGGGGTAGAGACCTTCCCGGAAGGCGAAGATCGCATAGGTAACTGGGAAAGTGTGTTTTTTGAGGTGGGGGAACCCCATGCAGCCAGGTCAGGGCTGCAGGGTAGGCCGCCTGCCCCACAATCAGAGCACTGCCTCGTTACCCGCTCAGGGTTGGGATTTTTCGGTGTGACTTTGAAAGCCCAGTGCACCGGCTTTTAATGTGACCTGCAACTTTACTGTTCCCCTCTGTTTGAATCCTGATCCCCACTTACGGTTACATAAGAAAACTAAACTCATGGTACCCCAAGGAAAAAGAAAACCATGGAAGCTAGAGTCCAACAGATGTGGCTTATATTAGATTTAGATACACAGAAAAGTTGCTGAGATAGCAGAGTTCCCATATAGCCCACACCATTTATATTAATATCTTTATACGGTACATTTGTCACAATTAATGAACGAATACTAATATGTTATTTTTAACCAAAACCCATACTTGAGATTTTTTTTAAAGTTTTAACCTAAAGTCCTTTTTCTGTTCCCATATTTCTGATCACATATTTCATTTAGTCATCACGTCTCCTTAGGTTCTTCTTGACTGTGCCAGTTTCTCAGACTTTCCTTGTTTTCAATGACCTTGACAGTTTTGAGGAGTAAGGGCCAGGTATTTTGTAGGTTGTCCCCCAACTGGGGTTTGTCTGTTTGTCTTGTGATTAGATTGGGGATATGGGTCTTTAGGAGGAAGACCTCAGAGGTAAAGCACCATTTTCATCACATCATACCAAGGGTGCATACTGCCAACATGACTTATCACTGTTGACGTTGATCTCGATTGCCTGTGTGAGATAATGTTTGTTAGGTTTCTTTTATAGAAAGAGTTACTTCAAGCCCTCCTCCTCTTTCTAAACTACTCTTTGAAAGGAAGTCGCTGTGTGGAGCCCACACTTAAGGATGAAGGAGTTATGTTCTGCTTTCTTGAGTGTGGAGTATCTACATAAACTATTTGGAATTCTTCTTATCCTCCATTTATTTATATCACCATGGACTTGTGGATATTTATTTTATGCGCTAGGTTATAATTCAATACTACCTTATTTTCTTGCTCAAATTGTTCCAGCTTTGGTCATTGGGTTTTACTTTATTTTTAATTGGTAGTTTGTTTTCTTACTGAGTTTGAAGAGTTCTTTGTATATTTTGAATACAAATAATTTATCAGATATGTTTTACAAATATTTTCTCCAAATCTGTCATTTGTTTTCTTTCTCTTGACAGTGTCTTTCATAAAGCAGAAGATTTTTAATTTTTTTTTTTTTTTTTGAGACGGAGTTTTGCTCTTGTTGCCCAGGCTGGAGTACAATGGTGCGATCTTGGCTCACAGCAATCTCCGCCTCCCAGGTGCAAGCAATTCTCCTGCCTCAGCCTCCCGAGTAGCTGAGATTACAGGCATGCACCACCATGCCTGGCTAATTTTTTTTGTATATTTAGTAGAGATGGGGTTTCTCCATGTTGGTCAGGCTGGTCTCGAACTCCTGACCTCAGGTGATCTGCCCACCTCGGCCTCCCAAAGTGCTGGGATTACAGGCGTGAGCCACCGCACCCGGCAAGATTTTTAATTTTAATAAAGTCAAACTTAAACATTTTTTTCTTTCATTGTTCTTTTGATGTTGTTTCTAAAAACTCATAATTAAACCCAATGTTACATAAATTTTCTCCTTTGTTTTATTCTAGAAGTTTTAGTTTTGTATTTGCATTTTATATTTAGACCAGTGAGTTAATTTTTGAGTAAGACATAAAATGTCTGTGTTCATATTTTGCATATGTTGAAAAGACTATCCCTTTTCCATTGAAAATCAGTTGACTATATTTGTGTGAGTCATTCCCTGCACTCTCTTCCATTCCATTGATCTTGTGTCTGTTCTTTCACTATGTGCTGTGTTGATTATTATAGCTTTACATTAAGTTTTAAAATCAGGGAATGTGAATCCTCCACCATTGTTCTTCATCAGGATTGTATTAGTTATTCTAGTTTTTTTGCCTTTTACCATGTATTAGCCTGCTCAGGCTGCTGTAATAAAATAGCATAGACTGGGCGGTTTAAACAACAAAAATTTATTTTCTCACAGTTCTGGAGGCTGGGAGTCGGAGATCAGGGTAGTAGCATAGTCGGCTTCTGGTGAGGACTTGCTTTCTGGCTTGCAGCTGGTCTCTACCTTGTTGTGTCCTCACATGGCAGGGAGAGCAAAGTCTTTGGTGTCTCTTTTTATAAGTACATGAATCCTATCAGATTAGAACCTTAACTTTATCACCTCCTTTAACCTTATTAATTCCATAAAGGACCTGTCTGCAAATAGTTACAATGGAGGTTAGGACTTCAACATATAAATTTGGGGGCAAGGAACACAATTCAGTTCATAGCACCATATATACTTTATAATTGACAAGTTTGTTGATATCTACAAAATAGCTTGCTGGGATTTTGGTTGGAATTGCATTGAATCTATAGATCAAATTGGGAAGAACTGAAATCTTAACAATATTGAGCCTTCCAATCTATGAACATGGACTATCTCACCATTTATTTAGATATTCTTTAACATCTTTCATCAGTACTATTTTTAATATTTCTTGCAGGATAGGCCTATTGGCAACAAATTCTCTCATATTTTTTGTCTGAGAAAGTTTTTATTTCTCCTTTGCTTTTGGAGGATAATTTCATTGGATATAGAATTCTAGGTTGGTGGCTTTCTTCTTTGAACACTTTAAATATTTCACTTAATTGTCTTGTTTTTGCATGGTTTCTGATGAGAAGCTCATTGTAATCTTTGTTCTTTTATAGGTAAGGCATGTTTTTCTTCCTTTGGCTTCTTTTAGGTTTTATCTTTGTCTTTGGTTTTCTGCAATTTGAATATCATAATACCTAGGGCTTTTCATCTGTTTGTCATATCTGATGGTGACTTTGTTCCTTTATGCTGAGTTTTTTCTTGCCTTTTGGCATGGCCTGTAATTTTTTGTTGAAAGATAGCCATGATGTATTGGATAATAGGAACTGAGGTAAATAAGTCTTTAGAGTAAAGATTTATGTTAATCTGACTAGAAGTTGGACTATATTTAATGTTTGCTATAGCTAAGATACCAGAGGCTTCTGATTTCTCTGTTGTCCTTGTTTTTTTCTCCTATTGTCTTTAGGCTTTCCTAACTGTTCCTCCTCAGAGTGAGTTTGTGTCTTGCAGTGATTTCAGCTGTAATCCACCATTATTATACTGAAGTCCTGTTGGTGTGGTGGTAAGGTGCAAAGGAAGGGGACCATTCTATAATCCTATGATTAAGTCTCAGTCTTTTACTATGCTTGTATCTCAGGGCTGTGATCTTTGCAAGTGTTTCTCTGGTGCTATAGCTTTTTTTTTTTTTTTTTTTGTCTCCTTCTAGCTCCTTACTCTCTACTCTGGCTCCAACATTCCCAGTCTATTTTCTTGAAGCCCTGACCACTGTTGACTGTATGCTTTCCCCCTTAGGTGGGACAGAAATATTGAAGTGGGGTAAAGTTGGGGGAGTTTCTTCCCTTCAGCTGGAATATGGCTTAGGTAACGTCTTTTCCCTTTGAGAGCAGGTCCTTGTTGTGGAGAAGGCTCTGGTTTTATTTCACGATAATTAATCTTCCTCTCCTCCTGCCAGAGTCATCGGAGGGTTCCTGGAGGTAGGGTGGGGGCTCCCCTATGACTGTGGCCCCAGGAATTTCTCATTCTTAAGCTACTTGATGCTCAGCTTCCAGCAATTTGTCAAACTTTCGATTTAATCATTCCTACCAGATTATAGCTTCAATCACTTCCATTGCATGTAAGCAGATCACGTCTCACTGGTTACATCTGTCTCTCCAGATTTGGAAATTGTAGTTTTCCCTGTGGCCTCAGTTATCTGATGGGTCCAAGAAGTCACTGATTTTTTTAAAAATTTATCCAGCCTGTTCTTGGTGTAAAGGTGGGAGTGATGATTTTCAGGCCTTTTATATGCCAGAGTAGAAATCAGAAGTCCCCAACACAGTTTTTATGAGAATTCATACATATAGAAAGTCACTTAAAACCATACCCTATTTTAGGGGTCTTGGCTGAATTAATAAGTGGGGTTAGCTTCAGGACAGGTGGGAGAAAGAAAAGTTTTCTGTGGATGCCTGGTCATCACTGGCTTCAATAACATAATATCCTTTAAGTGGGAGATGACAAAACTGACATAAAGAAAGAGAAAAAAGAGAAAACTGAGATAAAGAGAGATGTTTCCCTTGTTTACCACCTTGTCCTGCTTTCTCATGCCATTGCTATTCTATTAGTTAATTCCCTGGCTTCCAGAAACTCAATCCTTTGGTATTTGCTGTGTAACCAGCCCTGGGGTCCATTAGGCTGTCCACTGGTAAACGCTTGATGCCCATAGCTGTTCTGAGTCTATGGGAGGTTGAAAGGGCTACAGAGGGGCTTCATGGCTGGCTGTGGCCTTGGAGCTCCTTCCATGGGGGATATAATCACAGAGCAAGGGGCTGGACTGAATTGTCATCTCTGGCTGCCTACACACTAAAGGCATTTACTTCCTTTACTATGGTAGCTTGGGATGAGAAATGGGACCACCTCCAATTATGAAAAATGAAGGTGCCATCAAGATTAAGTAGTTAGGCCACATAGAGAACAGATCCCACTGCTCTTCCAGAAAGCTCAGATCTGTTCCCTGCACCCAGAGGGAGGAGTCACAGAGCACTCCCAGGAAGCAGCACCACGCTGAAGAGGAAAGGGTGCTATCCGAGTACGACACAGGCTTAACATGTAGCATCTCTCTTATGAGCTGTGTGGTCTTGTGCAAGCTATGTAATTTCACTGAGTCTCAATGCTATTCTCCAGTGAAATAGCTAACACTTAAGTAGCACTTTCTATGTGTCAGACATGGTTTTAAGATCTTTACTGTAATTCATTCCATTCCTATAACTATCTCATGAGGTATGTTCATATTATCCTTATTTTGCTGTAAAAAAAAAAGGCTCAGTAAGTGGGGGAGGGGCACTTAGGATCACTAGGATTATTATTATTTAATATATGTCAAGTGCTTAGCATAGTGCCTAGTACCCTGTAAATATGCAATATATAATCATAGATAAACCATATAAACACTCCACTCATTTGTTTAAAACCTCTATTTTTTGGTGAAACGTAGCATAGAAAAGTGCACACAACAAAAATATACAGATCAATGATTTATCACAAAGTGAACACCTACAAAATATCACCCAAATTTTAAAAATAGGATATGCACAGCACCCTAGAAGTTCCTCTAATCACTACTCTTCTCCCAAAGGTACTAATATCTTGATTTTTATAGAAATTACTACTTTCTTGTTTTTTTTTTTTTAGCTGCTGAAGATTCTTTTTTTTTTATTATTATTATACTTTAAGTTCTAGGGTACATGTGCACAACGTGCAGGTTTGTTACATATGTATACATGTGCCATGCTGGTGTGCTGCACCCATTAACTAGTCATTTACATTAGTTATATCTCCTAATGCTATCCCTCCCCCTTCCCCCACCCCACAACAGGCCCTGGTGTGTGATGTTCCCCTTCCTGTGTCAAAGTGTTTTCATTGTTCAATTCCCCACCTATGAGTGAGAAAATGCAGTGTTTGGTTTTTTGTCCTTGTGATAGTTTGCTGAGAATGGTGGTTTCCAGCTTCATCCATGTCCCTATAAAAGACATGAACTCATCCTTTTGTATGGCTGCATAGTATTCCATGGTGTATATGTGCCACATTTACTTTTTTTTTTTTTCTTTTTGAGATGGAGTCTCGCTCTATCACCCAGGCTGGAGTGCAGTGGCGTGATCTTGGCTCAGTGCAAGCTCTGCCTCCTGGGTTCATGCCATTCTCCTGCTTTAGCCTCTTGAGTAGCTGGGACTACAGGTGCCTGCCACCACGCCTGGGTAATTTTTTGTTTTTTTTTTTAGTAGAGAGAGGGTTTCACCATGTTAGCCAGTGTGGGCTCGATCTCCTGACCTTGTGATCTGCCTGCCTCGGCCTCCCAAAGTGCTGGGATTACAGGCATGAGCCACCGCGCCTGGCATGTGCCACATTTTCTTAATCCAGTCTATCATTGATGGACATGTGGGTTGGTTCCAAGTCTTTGCTATTGTGACTAGTGCCACAATAAACATACATGTGCATGTGTCTTTATAGCAGCATGATTTATAGCTCTTAGTGAGTGAGATTGCTTGCAGACCTTGAGGGAGTCATAAAATACCTTCCACCTGTGCAATACCTGTATCTGTTTCCTGTGGCTGCTGTCACAATATGCCACAAATTGGGTGGCTTAAAACAATGGAAACTTTATCCTTTCACGTTTTCAGAGCCTAGGAGTCCAGAATCAAGGTGTCAGCAGGCCACACTTCCTCTGAAGACTCCAAAGAAGAATCCTTCTTTGCCTCTTCTGGCTTCTGCTGGTTGCTTGGCAACCCTTGATATTCCTTGGCTTATAGATGCATCACTCCAATCTCTGTCTCTGTTTTCACATGGCCTTTTCCCTGTGCATGTCTGTGTCTCTGTGTCTAAATCTTCCTCTTCTCATAAGGATACCAGTCATTGGATTTAGGGTCCTTTCTTATCCAATATGGCCTCAACTTGATTCCATCTTCAAAGCCCCTATTTCCAAATGGGGTCACATTCACAGGTTCCAACTGGACATGAATTTGATGGGGAACTATTCAACCCTGATGTAAAGGTGCCCTTTACCTCTTGGTTTAATGTAAATAGAAATAGAAATCTAATTTTCACATTTATTTTGTAACTCATTTTAGAAAGTTTGCTGGCATCTGCCATGCCCAAGAAGGATGTACTAGGTAATGGGGACACAAGGAAGGCTAGACACAGCCCTTAAGCCCATCCTTCAGCCCCTTGGAATCTTGTGTGTGGCTAGGGTTCAATTTCAGTTTTTTTCTGGGAAGCTAATAGTGAAGAGCCATTTTGTTTTATAAAGTTTGGGCATGTGAGAGAGGAAATCAGAGACAGCAAGGTGGAGAACCCAGTAAGCTTAGGGAGCAAGCTAGGTGTGGGGAGAGTCACACCTGGAGCCAAGCTCTCAGTTTGAAGGGTGTCTTCTTACCCTAGATGCTTAAATAAACTGTAAAACCTTAGTCAGAGGAGGTGTTAATAATATCACCTCCATATTATCCCTGTGCAAATATAATTTTGGGGTGGTTACATGAATCATGTTAATGGAACTCCCTTTGCAAAGGAAATCTATTTTGATACCATTATAACTTATGGCAATGAACAATTTTCATATACCCGGGAGTTATCTGGATGTTTTAATGAGCCCTCCACAAAATGGGATTTTAAAAAATTGTCTCTTTATTAGAATTTGATATTGACTCACCAAACAATAATGAATTTCTCTCAATCTAGCCAGGAAAAAAAAAAAAGAGAGAGCTGGGGATTATTTTTTCAAATGAGACTGATGAAACTCAGACATTCAATTAAACACATTCCCTGCACTCTGCCTCTGCCTCCTGCCATTCTGCCTCTGCCTTCCACCTTCCCCAGAGCCTATCAGGGCCATCCTTGGCAATACTCCACATTCCTTAGGAGATAACTACTCGCATATACTTTGTACAGGAGAAAATGCCTAAAAAGTGACTTAGGAGTCTTTATTGGGGTCTGTTTTGGTATGCAATTGAACTTTGCATGAATCACTCCCTGGCCCCAATCAAATGTTTTTCTCGTGCAGTGAGGTGCTTTAGGCTGGTCCAGTTCCCCTGGGGTGGAAGAACGCTCTGGCTGGTACTGGATAAATCTGATAAACAGCTTCACCATTGCTCACATTAGTCCTTTAGAAAGATCTATAATGGTTTTTGTGCAAAGCTAATGTGAAAGTTGAGTGTACCGGGGCTCTCTTTGGGTAACCTCCAATTATTGTGTCATTATTAATGTAAGCTCTTCTGTTTCCTCTCATTTGGGAACTCAACTACAGAGACTCCCTCTCAGCTTTTATGTCCTTTTCATTTGTTTACCACTGGTTGGTGAATATTTTCAGGTGGGGGCTGATCTACTGGGTGCTAAGGAGTGTGGCCAGTCCTATGTCTTTTAATTGAAGTGTGTGTCACACTATTTTTCAGAACAAGAAAAATTGTAATGGGGACAGAAGAACATTGATTATAAGTGAAGTGCTACTAGAAGAATTAAAAGGCTCAGAAGGTGAATTTCATTAATGCTGTGTTATCTTGAGAGCTTGGCCCCTTGCTAAAAACCTTCTGGCAAATCTCATTTTCTTTCTTCGGTGGTAAAGGTCTGTGGAGGTCTTAGAGAGTCTCATGAGGCCATGGAGAAGCTGGATCCTGAGGGGAGACCAGGAGTCTCATACAGTTCCTCTTCAGACTGCTGATAGGAATTTGAAACAAGACTTCTATTAACACAGAGATGACCTCCCTTCTACCAGGACCCTGTACTTCAGGTGCAAATTTGGAACTGTGATGAGATGAAATGGGAAAATGAAGCAATTAATTGAGTTGGGTGATGAGAACCTGCTGTGGAGAGAGAAAACATAGCGTTTAGCCCCGAATTTTCCAGCTTTATCTTTTAAAATACACAACTAAATTCCAACCCTTCAAATAGGCTTCAGATGAAAACTTTTATTTGGCATAGTCTGAACTGTCAAAATGTTTTATTACACAGGAAAACATGTGTACTGCTAAGGTTTCCAAAACAGACACACTCGCCAGTCGCAGCCATCACAGATCAGGTGTGCAGTGGGTTGGAAAGGCTCCCACCTGTACTGTCTATTGAGGGTAGATCCACCCGTTGGTGGAGACGTGTGAAATGTCTTCCAAAACACCCTGCTTGGTGTTTGGCCCAGTCAATGGGAAAAGAGATGAGACTCTAGGAAAAAGGTTTTTAAGAAGAGTTTCTGCTTCTCAGCAACACTTTATGTGACGGTGCAGACATGTCTTGTCAGCTCCAGTGTCTCTGCCCGAGTCCCCTAGGATGGCACTTTGCATGCATGCAGTATAACATTTAGCAAGTAAGTGTACAAGGCCTGTCACTGAGGCTTCAAAGCAACTTTCCTGATGAAATTTATGTTTCCAGCCATTAGTATAATAACCATAATCAATCTTATTGCCAAGCACACAGAATCCCTGTACAGGCAATTCTCAGTGATGTGATGTAACTGATATGCCAATCAGATAAATATTGTGTAAAATTGCACTAAACTACAGTGACAAATGGCATGTTATACACACATTAAAATCATGTTTTTCCTTAAATCCATCTCAATATTCAAGGGCATCAGATTAAAGTCCATCATCAAATCAGTGAGTGACAGAGTTGGAGGTTATCAGGTCTTTCAGGGTATTTAGTAAATACTAAATTTGTTTTGTGATAAATATCACAAAACAAACCATAGCAAAACTTAGTAGCTTAAACAATAATGATGTTTCATTTTTCATGATTCTGCAACTGAGGCTGGGTTCAGCTGGGTGGTCCTTTGGTTCAGTGAGTGGCTACTGCGGCTGGGCCATTCAACATAGCCTCCTCACCCCATGGCTTCTGCCTCAGCAGGGATGGCTGCCATGGCTGGGGCCTGGCCAGGGCTTCCTCTTTTTCTCTTCCTCTCTCCATGTGGCCTCTCCAGTGGGTTGCTGGATCTCTTCTCACAATTGTTTGGGATCCATGTAAGAGCATTCCAAGAGAACAAGCTCCAGTAGACAAGTGCTAATCCAACCTCTGAGTCGTGCTTACTAATGTCACATTGACCAGAGCAAGCTACAGAGCCAATGTGGGAAGGGACTACACAAAGAGGGTGTGATTATAAGGAGGGTGTGGCTCATTGGTGGCCACCAGAATAACAGTCTAACATACTAAGAGTGTTCCCGACGGAACCCAGAAAGTACACACACACTCTCTCTCTTATAGCTTTGGATTGGAGTATATTACTCCTGCCACCAGGAAGAGCTATCCTCTGTGGCTCTAAAATTCATCATAGCCTCTTCCTCCTCCTCTTTCTCCTTCCATCCTTCCTCCTTCCATCCTCTTCCTCCTCCCATCCCCTCCCTCCCTCCCTCTCTCCCTTCCTTCCTCTCTTATTAATTTACATAAGGTCCACCTGTTTAAAGTGTACAATTCAATGATTTTTAGTTTGCAAAGGTGTATAACCATAATCATTATCATAATCCAATTTTAGAATAATTTTATCGTTCCCCAAAGAAAACTTGTACCTATTAGCACTTGTTCCCCATCTACCTTCACATTCCCTGTTTCCAGCCATAGACAAACCATAAATCTACTTTCTTTATACATTTGCCTATTCTGGATATCTCACATAAGTGAAATTATACAATATGTGGTCTTTTGTGACTGGCTTCTTATACTTAGCATAAATGTTTTCAAAGTTTATTCATGTTATAACATACATCAGTATTTCATTTTATTTATGAATAATATTCCACTGTTTGGATAGATATACCACATTTTGATTATTCACTAATCAGATGATAGATATTGGGTTGTTTCCATTTTTGTCTAAGTAATGCTACTGTGAACATTCAGGTACAAGGTTTTGTGTGAACATACATTTTCATTTCTTTTGGGTAGATATCTGGGAATGGGATTGATGGGTCAAAGCTCTATGTTTAATACTTTGTGGACTGCCAAACAGTTTTGGAAAGTGGCTGCATCACTGTACGTTCCAATGTCTATTTTCATACTAGTAGAGGGCAGGTACTCTGCTGTTTAAGATGGCTTCGTAAGGATTTAGAGGAAAGACAAGATACTGTCTCAAAACTACTTTTGGCCTCAGAACTTTGATTCAATGGTTGATTCCCAGTGCTGAAACAAATAATGGAATTAACAGAAATGTCTGAGTATTTTGGTGTCCTAGATTTTAGCTTCTAAGACATCAAAGGCAGAAGTGGTGTGGCTGTAGCTTCTAGGTTCTCGGCTTCCTAGGTGATATGCCTTTGCATCACGGTCAGATCCGTCTATCTTGGCAATTCTGCCTGCATCACCCGAGTGCCGCCTCCTCAAGGATGAGGGCATGAGGCCATTAACACTGCCATGGGGAAATCTGAGGTAGACTTGAACCACTTTGTCAGAGTTTAGTAAATCTCTGCCTAATCAAGTTCACTTTCCAGATATTTCTTGTTTTGCTGACTCCCAGCATTGTATCCTGGCCAGCCAATAATCTTATGGCCCAAATTCCTGAGATAAACCTGAGGGATATCCAATTCAAAGCCCCGAGAGTTCCTAGCATAGAAGAATTCCCAGCTACTATGTCCTGCTTACAGCCTAGTGGAAGTGTTTCTGTTGTAAGAATCAGAGGCCCTGAGAGGCCAGGGAATTCAGGTGTGTAGACTGAGGAGATGTTATCTTTCTCCTTGACTTGGCTAGAGAGCCAGGGAGTCATTTTTCCTTACCTCTCCTCAGCCCATCTTTGGAGAGTTAATCTCCTGAAGTAGTAGCTCAGGTTTCTTTTAGATACTCTTGGATTACCTTCTACTTGATGGGTGTGGGGTGGCTGGATCTAGCAGGCAGAATCTGGCCACCCACTTGGCATTACTCATTCCAACCTGCAGGATCCCTTGTTCACATGAAAACCAAGTCCTCTCTGAATCACCACCTGACATAAACAGGCTCCAGCTAGAGCCTTGTATGTTGAAAAATATCTTCATAAAAATATTGCTAAATTCATTTTAGTGGATTCCTGAAATGCCCCAAAAGGACGGGCCCTTCTCTGGACTCCTATCCTCTCTGTGTTGAAGTTGTCCACACACTCCCCATCTACCACAGGAAACTCTCTGAGCAGCTGAGGGCAAGGCTGGCTTTCTTGACAGTTGTTTTGCCACTGCTCTGTTGCTGTATGTCACAGAGGAGGCTCACAGTAAGCATCTGAAGAGGGAATGAATGAATGGATGAGGAAGTGAGATAAAGGACAAAACGTGTCCTTCTGTATCTGATGGGTTCCCATTAGATGAGGAGCCAATCTAATCTATCTATGTAGCTCCCAATTGAAGACCATGACCCAGGAAATGGATGTTGTGGGCAGAGTTGCTCTCAGTATAAGGAAAACCTTTCTCAGTTTTAGAACTGCTGCCTTAGGGAGTAGGGGAGCTCATTTTTTTTTGTGCTCAAACAAAAGCTGGACCTCTGTCTGGAGGAATGAATCAGATTACTGGTGAAGAGCTGGATGACTTTTGGATCTCTTCCAATTCTGAGGTGATCCAGCTGTCATTGGGGTAGCTGTTTTTCCAAACCAACCGTGAAATAGATGCAACTCTCCTCACACATTTCCATCACCAGGTATTTGGGAAATAATTAATTATTTTTTGAGGCAGAATCTCATTGATCTATCATCCAGGCTAGAGTGCAGTGGGACAATTTAGCCTCACTGCAAACTCTGCCTCCCAAGTTCAAGCAATTCTCCTGCCTCAGCCTCCCAAGTAGCTGGGATTATAGGTGTATGCCACCATGCCTGGCTAATTTTTTGTATTTTCAGTAGAGACAAAGTTTCACCATGCTGGCCAGGCTGGTCTCAAACTCCTGACCTCAAGTAATCTGCCTACCTTGGCTTCCCAAAGTGATGGAATTTCAGGCATGAGCCACCGTGCCCGGATGAAAATTTAGATTGGACTTAAGACCTTGTAGTGAAAACTGGGGAAGGCAGCAGCTGCTCTGTCCCCCATGTCTCCCTGGGATGTATCTCCCAGTCTCCCTCATTGGATACCAGCCTCTGGCCTCTTCTTTGTTTCTCCAGCTCTGTGTCTCCCCATGTTCTCATGCCGGGATCTCACCCCTTTGCTCAAGATGTCTCTACTATTCTTCCCTGAGTACAGCCATTGGACTTCTGGGATCCTCTCATCTTGTACTCTCATGCCCATCATCTCTGCTTCCACCCACACCATTAGCCAATGAGGAAGCCTATGCCACCAGGAGCCATCCCTGTGGAAAGTGGTTTATGTGTTTAAGGACATGGAGTTTCCTTTAGAATCTTTGTTGACAAACATTTTCAAATTCAAAGGAGATAGGCGAGAGAAAGCAAGAAAACAAGTGAGCACATTTATCTTTCTCATTTAGAAGAGCCTAGAACCTCCTTTCCTTCCAGCCCCACAACCTCCACTCCACCCAGAAGAGGAAACAGGCACCATTTGATGTTGGTGAGGTCATGGAGGGTGGCGAACGGTGAAGCTTAGTATTCCCCAAGAAATAGGGTCACCATCCTCAGGAAAGCCTTCCCTAGCCCCTAAGATTAAGGGAGCAGCCCCCTCCTTCCATGGCTCCATATGCCTTGCCTTATTATACCACAGCTGTGGCTTTATATTTATTTGTGAATTTATTTGATTATTTTCAGGATTTTCCATAATGTTTTAAGCTCCATCTCTGTGTCTCTCCCCATGTTGTCATACTGGGGGCTGTGTCTGTTTGGAGTCGTTACTGAATCCACATAGGGCCTAGCAGAAGTTCTGGGCTAGGAGTAAGTGCTCAATTAATATTCGTTAAATGAATGACTGAATATGTGGAAATAAAAATATAATTTCTAAAAATATGGACAGGCAGTCTTTGGCATGAAGTTAATCCTCACGGTTGTGTTTGCTCAGGTACTTGAAGGGAAACCAGATGAAGCCAGATGAGAGCACCCACCACCCCAGCCTCACTGCCTTTCACTTCCAGGAACTAGAACTCACCCTCCCATTTCTCAGTCAAGCCTGCAGATGCTGAGACCAGAGCTCAACCCTCACCTTTAGGGGGCCTGCCAAACAGAAAGAGAAAGTCTTTGGTATGCCTGTGGGGCCAAAGGACAGAGACGTCTTCATTTTATAGGGAAGGTGCTTAGACAGTTGGAAAGGGGGAAATGGTTAGGAAAAGTGGTGTAAAGTAAGGGCTTAAAGGGAGAAGACTGGGGAGGAAAGAGAAGCAGGAGGCATAGGGAATGAGGAGTTTCCATGAGGGTTTTCTTCCAGAAGCCCAGGTGGGAAAATTTGCTCTTTGTTTAGTGCAAGGGTTCAAGGTGGCCAGACCAGAGACCAGCACTGATGAGCATGAGTTCTCTGCTTGCTGAGTGACAGAAGAGAAGGGAAAGGGAGGAGAAAAGAAGATCAAAGTCAAGTGCAGAAGGAAAATTGCAGGTAGGCCAGGTTCACTCATCAGCTTATTTGCATCTAATATGAGCACTGGGATGACAGAAAATGATGCCTACAATTTCAGGGCAATTACATCCAACTACCACATTCTCTCCTTCCCCTTCCCCCGTGCTGCCTCCAGCCCCAACTGCGCGGTTCTACTGTAGACCTTGAAGGATGGCAAGGAAGAAACAATGGTGCCAGTGGGTCCCTGGAGAGAGGGGACTGCAGGAGATCCATGGGGAGGGGCTGCAGTAACTGAGACTCTATGCCCATCTCCACCAGCTTGCCTGCCCACTGCCAAACTGCCTATTGCCATGTTTTTGTTTCTTGTTTATCTGACAGGATCACATACATACATATAGTTCCTTGTATACCCAATTCATTGGGTGGAGTACTTTGATTTGTAGCTTAACCCTGCCCTGTACTTAAAAGGTCTGGGTCCCAGAGCCCCGTGGCTGTCTCACATGGTTCCCTAGCAACCAAATGAGACAGCGAAATGTGCAGTTTCATCACCACAAGATGTTAGGTCAATTAATATTCATTAGCAGTGCCTGTGTTTGGCTGCTAGGAGACATTGTGGGGAAAAAAAAATCTTTGTTGCTTGAGTGGGGGATGGAAGGAGTGAAGAGACCAATGAATATGTATATTATGTACTGAAGATGTGTTTTCTTAGACTAGTACACTGGCCTGTCTGCACATGTGCATGCAAGATTTTAAAAGATTAATCTTTGTATTTACAATTATCCTTCTAAGTTTATTATATGGAAATAGATTACAGAAACAATAGGAAAGTTGTACCCCAAAATATTTATCATGGCTCATTCAGGACACCTAAAATTGTACAATTCATAGTGATTTTATTTATTCTATAATTTTTTTTCTTATTCCATTGTATGCTCCAGGTGGGAAACTTGGATGCTTGAATAATACATAAAAGAAGCATAGGAGGAAAAAAATTCAGAAATTTCCTGTGTACTCATCATGTAAAGATAACAGCTTTTAACGTGTTGTTGTATGCCCTTTTAGTGTTCTTTTCATTCCAGAGAACACACACACAGTCACATACGGTTTTACAAAAATATCATTTTATATGTACTGTCTTATAGACTACATTTTATAATGTGGCATTGTCATTACGAACATTTTCTTGTGTCTAACATCATTTTTATTAGTCACATAATATTTCAGTGATTGTATTTCCTATGGTTCATTTAACCAAACTCCAATTTTTATTCACGCATTTAGGATGTTTACTTTTTTTGCTATTAATAATGTTGGAATGAGTATCCTTGTACATTCATCTTTCAGTCCTTGTCCAATTATTTCCTTAGAGCAAACTCCTAGAAGCAGAATTACCCACTTAAAGGTCTTTCACATGCTGCGTCGTGTTTTCTTTCAGAGAGAACAGAACAATTTCCATTTGTACCAATAGCGAATGAAGGTACCCTATGATCTTCTTTATAAATAAGACTGGAAAAGATCATGAAGTTCCCAATGTCCAATATCTGAGTTTTATCAGAGACTTCCCTTAATGAGGCTAAAACGAGAGCCCTGGCTCCCTTTGATGGGGAGGGCACATATTCTCAAAGAGGGGAATCTGGGCTGCAGAAGACTTATGATTTTGACTTGACCCAGCTAAGTATTTTCAGGAAATTTGTCCTCCATAGCCCCAAAGTGCAGCGTGAAACCAGCCAGCATCCAGGTGCTCCCTGCAGTGAGAGTGTACACCACTGGCCTCCAGACTCTTGCCCATCCTGTGTTCCCGATGTTTCTGCCCACCCCCCTCCCCTGCCCACAGATCTAGTTTTAGTCTCATGGCTCTGGTTGCCCCAAGCCCCAGCTCCAGGAAGATGACAGAGGGATCAGGCAAGCCCTGAGGTGAGTGGTAAGCTTGTCTCTGGGAAAGAGAGAGGACAGGTCTCAGTTCCCTTGGGAGTCCTGAGGAGGAAGACAATGTAGTATCAGCAAAGGCCAGGGGCACCTGTGACCTGAGAAACAGGTGACTAGAAAACCAAACCAAACTGCTCCAGATTAGGGCAGTCCTTCCAGTTCTGTTCTAATTAAGAACAGTTTCCTTTGTACTCCTAGAAAACAGAACCCCCCCCACCCTCAAGCTAGGTGGGACAGGAGGTGGGGCAGAAGAGTGAAAACAGAAGGCCTATTTGGCCCCCTTTCCTGGATTCTGTTTAAAAATAGGTTCTGGTCATGGATGACCAAGGACCATGAGCTGAACTTCCCAATCAATGGAACCAACACAGACACTTGTGCCCACTGGGCCAGGCTGGGCAAAAGAGCCCACTCCAGAAAAAATTAGTGGGCCTTGATGGGAGAAATGGGACAGAATAGGGCAGTGGTTATTTATTGAGGTGTGTGTGGACCAGCAGCAGCTGCATCATCTGGGAGCTCATCAGAAATGCAACTGCATGGGCCCCACCCAAACTGCTGAATTGGAATCTCAAAGGATGAGGCCTGGAATGTGTGATTCACCACGTTCTCTATGAAGCACTTGGGGACAGGAGTTCTTTGCAGAACATGGGGACAGGAGTTTTCAGTCTTGGCTTTTTCTGCCATCCCGTGAGATACCAAGCAAGCCTCTTTGTCTCTCTTGGCTTTATGTAAGGATAAGTAGACTTGATACTTTTTCCTTCAACTCTCTCCTTGTTAGTATAAACATCTAAATAAGGTATGCATGTGTGTGTACATGTATGCATGTGTGTATGTGTGTTTGTGTGTCTGTGTATGCATGCACATGTGTGTCTGTATATGTGCATATATGTGTGTGTACGTGTTGTGTGTGTGGTTAGTTTACTCTGGTTCTTCTTTTCCCTTCACCTTCCATTCCCATGAGATGATAAAGAAAGCTTATTGGAAACAAAAACTCAGAGTCAAAACCAACCAATGATGTTTACTGTGAAGTCATCTGAGAAACAGGATGTTGAGGTTCTCTAAGGAGCTGCTTCGCAGCTCCTAGCAGAATAGTGGGTTCTCCTGTAGAAGCAGGACACAGGTCCTTACAGACAGAAGCACAAATAAAATACCAGTTGGATTAGAGGTGATTTAAATTTATGGCTTTCCATCAACTTTATCACTTTAGAAAATGCTCATTCCAATTGAACTATGTTTTCTTTTCTCTTAAAATTAACTGGTTGAGCTTAAGTTTCAATGAAACATTGCTATCCAAGTTTTAAGGGCTATTAAGGGTTCATCACATTAGTGAGGTCCATTTGTTTTAGGGTATACTCTGGAGCCAATGTGTCTGGGTTTGAGTATAGGCTCTAACAGTTATAAGTGAGTAACCTTGGGCAAGTCACTTAACCTCTCTGTGCCTCAGTTTTTTTCACCTACAAAATGGAAATAATAGTGACTAGCACAAAGTATTGTGAGGATTACGTGGATTAATATATGTGAAGTACTTTATAATAAACAAAAAAGCAAAGTACTGGTATGAAAACAGACACATAGACCAATGAAACAGAATAGAGAACTCAAATAAAGCTGTACACCTAGAAACATCTGATCTTTGACAAAGTCAACAAAAATAAGCAATGGAAAAAAGACTCCCTATTTAATAAATGGTGTTGGGACAACTAGCTAGCCCTATGCAGAAGAATGAAACTGGACACCTTCCTTTCTTTATATACAAAAGTTCACTCAAGATGAATTAAAGATTTAAATTTAAGACCTCAGGGCCGGGCACAGTGGCTCAGGCCTGTAATCCCAGCACTTTAGGAGGCCGAGGTGGGTGGATCACCTGAGGTCAGGAGTTCAAGACCAGCCTGGTCAACATGGTGAAACTCCATCTCTACTAAAAATACAAAACTTAGCTGGGCATGATGGTGTGTGCTTGTAATCCCAGCACTTCGGGAGGCTGAGATGGGTGGATCACCTGAGGGTCAGGAGTTCGAGACCAGCCTGGCCAACATGGTGAAACCCCGTCACTACTAAAAACACAAAAATTAGCTGTGTGTGGTGGCATGGAGCTGTAATCCCAGCTACTCAGGAGGCTGAGGCAGGAGAATTGCTTGGACCTGGGAGATGGAGGTTGCAGTGAGCCAAGATCATGCCATTGCATTCCAGCCTGGGAGATAAGGCTCCATCTCAAAAATGAATAAAAAATAAATACAAAATTAAAAAATTAAATGTCAGACCTCAAAGTATAAAAATCCTAGGGAATATCATTTTGGACATTAGCCTTGGCAAAGAATTTATGACTAAGTCTTCAAAAGCAATTGAAAAGTGGAACCTAAGTTAGCTAAAGAGCATCTGCACAGCAAAAGAAACTATCAGCAAACAGGCAACCCACAGAATGGGAGAAAATATTTGCAAACTATGCATCAACAAAGGTCTAACATTAAGAATCTACAAGGAACTCAACATGCCAAAAAAAAAAAAAAAAACCCATTAAAAAGTGAGCAAAGAATATGGATAGACACCTCTCAAAAGAAGACATGCAAGCAGCCAACAAACATGAAAAAAAAATGCTCAGCATCACTAATCATCAGAGAAATGCAAATCAAAACCACAATGAGATACCATCTCACACTAGTCAGAATGCTATTATTAAAAAGACAAAAAACAACAGATGCTGGTGAGGCTGTGGATAAAAGGGAATGCTTATACACTGCTGGTGGGAATATAAATTAGTTCAGATCCTGTGGAAAGTGATTTGGTGATTCCTCAAAGAACTTAAAAGAGAACTACCATTCGGCCCAGAAATGTTATTAGTGGGTATATACCCAAAGCAAAATAAATCATTCTAACAAAAAACACCTACACGAGCATGTTCATTGCAGCACTGTTCACAATAGCAAAGACATGGAATCAACCCATCAATGGTGGACTGGATAAAGAAAATGCAGTATATATACATGGAATACTATGCAGCCATAACAAAGAATGTAATCATATCCTTTGCAGCAACATGAATGGAGCTGGTGGCAAAATCCAAAGTGAATTAATGCAGGAACAGAAAAATAAATACCAGATGTTCTCACTTACAAGCAGGAGCTAAAGATTGGGTACACATAGAAATAAAAATGGGGGCCGGGTGCGGTGGCTCATGCCTGTAATTCCAGCACTTTGGGAGGCCCAGGCAGGCGAATCACCTGAGGTCAGGAGTTCAAGACCAGCCTGGCCAACATGGTGAAACCCCGTCTCTACTAAAAATACAAAAATTAACTTGGCGTGGTGGTGGCTGCCTGTAATCCCAGCTACTCGGGAGGCTGAGGCAGGAGAATTGCTTGAACCCGGGAGGCGGAGGTTGCAGTGAGCCAAGGTCACACCATTGCACTCCAGCCTGGACGACAAGAGTGAAACTCCATCTAAAAAAAACCAAACAAAGAAATAAAAATGGGAACAATAGACACTGGGGACTATTAGAGGGGTGATATGATTTGGCTTGGTGTCCCCACCCAAGTCACATCTTGAATGGCAATCCCCACCTGTTGAAGGAGGGACCTGTAATCCAAACGCGTGAAGGGAGGCAGGTGATTGGATTATGGGGGCGGTTTCCCCCATGCTGTTCTTGTAATGAGTGAGGTTTTTTTGTTTGTATGGTTTTTTGTTTGTTTGTCTTGAGATGGAGTCTCACTCTGTTACCCAGGCTGGAGTGCAGTGGCACGATCTCGGCTCACTGCAGCCTCTGCCTCCCAGGTTCAAGCAATTCTCCTGTCTCATTCTCCCAAGTAGCTGGGACTACAGGTGCCTGCTACCACGCCTGGGTTAACATTTGTATTTTTAGTAGGGGGGCGGGTTTTACCTTGTTGGCCAGGCTGGTCTTGAACTCCTGACCTCAGGTGATCCAACCCCCTTGGCCTCCCAAAGTGTTGGAATTACAGGCATGAGCCACCGCGCCCGGCCCCTGAGTGAGTTTTCACAAGATCTGATGGTTATAGAAGTGGTTTCCCCTGCTCTTCTCTTTCCTGCCACCTGGTGAAGAAGGTGCCTGCTTCCTCTTCTGCCATGATTAGAAGTTCCCTGAAGCCTCCCCAGCCATGCAGCTGAGAGTCAATTAAACCTCTTTCCTTTGTAAATTACCCAGTCTCAGGAAAGCTCCTCATGGCAGTGTGAAAACGGACTAGGACAAGAGGGAAAAGTAAGAGGGCTCCAGGGGCTGAAAAACTACCTATTGAGTACTATGCATACTACCTGGGTGATGGGACTCACTTGTCCCCCAAATCCCAGCATCATGCAATAAACCCATGTAACAAACCTGCACATGTGTTCCTGAATCTAAAATAAAAGTTGACTCTATATATTACATATAATATAAAATATATATAATATGAAAATACATAATATATGTAATATATATATATATATATATGCACTAAGCACTAAGAATGAAGCTTGTCATACTTTGGCTCTGATCACTATTCAGGTCAATTTGACTCAAGTCTCTTCTGTTCAAATTCAGAGTCACGTGGCTTCTCTGAAGCTCAGCCTTGCTGGGGACAGGGCTGGTACCAACTTTCTCTGTCATTTCTACAACAGGATCCAGCTGCATTTGGTGCTAACTGCCTCTCATTTGTTTATGAGGTAACTGCTTTCTCTCTTTTCATTTCACTCTCCCTTCCCTCCAATTTCCATTTCTTTTGTGAAATGGTTAAAGTGCTTGACATAATTAGCTGTTAATTGTTAGCAGCTGTACCCATTATCAGTTTAATGCCTAATTAATTGCAACAATTAATGCTGCCCGTCCTGTCTTAGGAACTGTTGAGGGAAGGCTGGTGTTGTTGAAGTTATATCTTAATTAATTTACCTCCAATTTTTAGCATTTAACTAAAAATCCCAAATTGGAAGCTGTTTTCCTCATATGAGTAATTGATGAGCAGAAGGTCTCAGTTCCACCCTTTGCAAGTTGAGTGTCTCTCAAAGTCAGTATCTGCAGTCAGGAAGTGGAGTTTCCAGCAGCCACCTTACTAGATGGTGGGGCCCTGTGCACAAATGTACTCTTCTCTGTAAATTTTTCTGTGCTGTATTGTTTTGAGAAAATGACAAGCCAAGAACCTCAAGAGCCAACAGCTTCTTCCACCAGACTTTGTTCAAAACTGCACTGGAGTACATATCCCATTGTAGATGACTTGTGTGGGAATCTGACCTGGGTTGAGCATCTTCATGGCAAGCCTGCCTGGGTCATGACTGCACCTCCAGCATTAGTAGGATGTTCAGTCCACTATTGAAGGGAAAACTGAGTGGATGAGTCCTAGTCTCAGCGTATCTAGCTTCTCCTGTGAGCCGGGCTTGGTGCTATATGCTTCACACACATAACATTTTTTTCCTAATTCTCAAAATAACCCTGCAATGTGGACATTATTTTCCTTTCTATCTTCTTATTTGTGGATGAGGAAACAAAGGCTTATAGAGATTATGTAACTGGCAAGTGATGGCATTATAGCTCAAGCCTACATGATTCCAATTGCAATACAGGCTTGCCACCTTACAATCTTACCTTTCTTTGAATGAATGAATAGGTGAATCTTTTGTCACTTTGTTCTGAGGTGATCCATTGACTTTTAGAGTCCTAGGACCCTACATCCCTTTGGGCAATCCCACTGTCTATCATCCTATGAAGAGGCCAATCCTCGTACGGGAGATGGAGAATGGGCCAGGTGGGCTTTTGACTTGGCAGTGGGATATAAAGGCAGGTGGCAGAGGCAAACATAAGAAACAGGTCCCTCTCTTTGGGTCTGGGGGAGTCAGGAAACTATGTATACCTCAGCTATGGGAGGTGTGCTCCAGGACTCTGTGCTGGACAGAAAGCTTGTCCTTGTAGTATGACACAGACCAGGACCTGGGTGGGGGACACCACCACTATAAGACACCACTATCGTCTTAGGGCTTCAGCTCTGAGAGGAGCTCTCCGTAACATCCAGGTGTGGTAGGCTAAAATAATGGCTCCCCAAAGATATCCATGTCCTCGTCCCTGGAACAAGTGAATATTACTTTATATGGCAAAAAAAGGCCTTTGCATATGTAATTAAGGATTTTAAGAAAAAGAGATTATCCTGGATTGGTTAGGTGGGTCCTAAAAACAATCATATGTGTCCTCCTGAGAGGGAGGAAGAGGGATATTTGACATTTAAAAAAAGGAGAAGGCAATGTGACTGTAGAGGCAGAAATTTAAGTGATGCAACCACAAGTCAAAGAATGCCAGAAGCCACCTGGAACCGGAAGAGACAAGGAAGGATTCTCCCCTAGAGCTTCTGGAGAAAGCATAACCCTGTCAGCACCTTGATTTCAGCTCAGTGATACTGGCTTCAGACTTCTGGCCTTCTAGAACTCCAGAATGAAGAGAATAAATTTCTATTGTTTTAAGTCATCAGGTTTGTGGTAATTTGTTAGGACATCCATAGAAAACGAGTATGCCAAATTTGTTTCCTTTGTTATAATATTTTTGTTATCTCTAAGTCTTCAGCAAAGTTTTGTTAAGCATTAAAAAAGACAAGAGAAAAAAATTGCGATGAGAGCTGGAGTTTCTTCAGAATTATCTGGTTGAGAAATTTCTTGGGGTACATATACAACTCATTATAATAACTTCAGGGTGGCAAATTTAGGATTAGGTCTTAATGCATATTTAAGAAAACACTCAAATACTATATAGCTTAAATAAAGGAGAAGTTTTTTTTTTTTTTTTGCATAAAACAAGTCTAGAGTTAGGCAATCCCAAGCTAGTGGGGGCAGCCAGCAACACAGAGTTGTCAGGAACCAGTTCCCTTCTAATTGCTCAAGTGTACAGTCCACATCCTCGTGGTCCAGGATGACTGCTAGAGTTCCAGGCATCACATCTGAGTTCCAGAAGCAGAATGGAGAAGGCAGAAAGAAGGGTCCACCTTCTCACTCTTAAGGAGGCTTCCAGGAAGTTTCTCACACATTTCTGCTTATGTCTCTTTGGCTAGAAATTAGTTACATGTAACACAGCTGCAATGGATGATTGGAATTGGACTGTTTTACCCAGGTGACAGTATGCCCAGCTAAAAAATTAGATCCTGTTGATGAAAAGAAGGGGAAATGGATATTTGGAGGCAACTAGCCATTTCTATCTCACCAACTATTCAAGTTCTAGACAGTGAGGGGGAGGGATATAAGTTAAATTATAATTAACTAATGTGTGGGCTTTTTTTTTTTTTAAGACCTCACCTGAAGTAGATTTTAGTTCTGATGCTGCAGTGTAGTCTAACGTTTGTTTGTGTAAAGTATCCAGGCAACCATGGATAGAATGGCTGTGGGTCTGAAAACCATAAGGAACAGGAGAGGAAACAGGTTGTTTAGGTGAAAAAGAGTTTTTTTTTTTTTATAAGGACAAAAAGATCTGTTTTTCAATAAATTCCTGTCCTATGGATGTGAAAATGAACTACATCTGTGATAAGATAGAAGGGGAATGGGGTGGAAGGGAGGCCAATTTTAGCTGAATAGGGAAAAGAAATTTCTAACAACTGAAAAGCCGGCAATGGTACAGCTGCCTCTCAGAGACGTGACTCCCTTTCTGGGCTGGGAGCTGCGGGGGTGCTGGGAGTGAGCCTAAAGCAGGGGCTGGACTGGATGACTTCCCTCTGATCACATGACTCAGTGGGGAGGCCCTCTAGGAGCTTGTCAAAGATCACAGTGGAGGACACAGCACCGTGGGGGACTGTGTCTAATTAAGAGACAAATGAATGAGGCTGTCAGGGAGAGGGAAATTTCCATGCCCCAGGGTAACAAAGCTACAGTTGCTGCTGGGCTAAGGCCTGGAGGTCTGTGCCAGCTTCCCAAAAAAAGAATGTAGGGAGTGTGGCTTAAGCTTGGTGCCCAGCCCTGAATCTGGACAGCCCAAGGTGGGAGGGGCCCAGGACAATGGGATGGCGGGGCCTCATTTTATTTGCCTCCTGCTGTGCTTAACTTGGTAGGGGCAGTTAGACAGTTCCCAGCATCTTCTGAGACAAGCCTGGCAATCCGAGGGTGTCAGGGCCAAAGATGAGGGCTGGAGGGGAGAAAAAACCTGGATCTTTTGTCTGTATCTATATGGAATTACAGACTAAAGTCTTCTGGACTTCATGCTGAAGCTTCTCCAAAAGGCTGTGACTTGGTGCATGACTGTAGGCTATTTTGTGGATGTTTGAATGATGTTAGCTCTGTTGTGGGGTAATCATAGGTCATGCACTAACAAGAGCTGCCTTTCTATCCAGAAGAAGCACAGTGGCTCTCCTTCCATGAAATGATGGCTTGTCCCCACTGTTGTGAGCATACAGAGAACAGGAAACATGTTTAAGGCTCTGTCTCAGGAACCTGTGGTGGTCTGGCCTATTTTGATTGCAAGTGGCAAAAGCCACCCCCCGAACTAGCTTGAGCAGAAAGGGAAATTTCTTGCCCCCTGTCACCAGAAGTAGATCTGGCACAGTGGGTTCAACACCTCGCACTCTGACATTGGAGCTCTCCTCTTGCTCTGCTTGGCATGGTTCTTTTTGCATATTGGCCCAGACTCTCTGACCTCAGCCAAGCAGTCACCTGGAAGAGATGGTTCGGGGAGCTTCAAACTTACAGCTTGCATTCCAGCTACCCCCAGTCACCTGGAAGAGATGGTTCAGAGAGCTCCAAACTCACAGCTTGCATTCCAGCTACCCCGTGTCTTCATCTCCCCTCTGTTCCTTAGCCAGAGGCCAGTTGTCTCCTAGACAAGTGTCCTGACCAGAGGGTCTTTGGAAACAGGAAGACCCTTAGCAGGGAGCGTGTAGAGAAGTCCCAGCATGGTTCTCAGGGTCTTCCATGCCTTCCTTCTTCAGTTCCTCAGGAGTGTGGGAAGGATAATTTGTTTATATGTGACCAGGCACCTTGCCAGTATTTCTGTCAGCAGTGCCAGGGCTCTGGAAGGGCTTAACGTGGCTGCTCCCAAGCCCTGGACAGGAGCTGCAGCCAAGGAACTCATGACATGTCTCTGAGCGGGCCTGAGCTCCTCAGTCTTTCCCGTCACCATTCCTTGTGTTGGCCTGACCTCAGAGCCCTCAAGCTCTGGACCCAGGCATGACCTCGGGCCCTTTGCTTACTGTGTGTCAGCTGCCTGAGGAGGGCCTTTGGTCTCAGCCTGTAGCTGTGGCCCCTG
Source organism: Homo sapiens (assembly GCF_000001405.40). Taxonomy (NCBI): domain Eukaryota; kingdom Metazoa; phylum Chordata; class Mammalia; order Primates; family Hominidae; genus Homo; species Homo sapiens. Next base: position 112,525,107 of record NC_000011.10, read on the forward strand.
GAGCCTGTTTTGGAATCATCCCAACAAAGACAGCTTTGACCTCTCCCCTGGAGGAAGCTGCTTTGACAAATGCTGAGATGCTGTTTATGCCTTCTCAGGCTGGATTGCAGGGTCACAACCTGCTCCACTTGCCTAAAAAAACATAAAGTCTGAGGTTTCCTTTTGGGACAGGACCAGGGGCACAGGAATTTAAAGGGTTTGGACATATCTATTAAGCAAGAGAGATCTCAGTAAGACTTGACTTCTATGTTGCCACCATGTGTTCCCTGTGGTTTTTGCCTGTAGGAATCGGGGTTCCTCATGGTAAGCAGTTGAAGCCAATTCTGGCTGACACAGCAGGAAAGGTTTAGTAACAGGATGTTGGGTGTCTCACAGAATCAGCAGAGCCTGGGAAACCAGGCCCCAGGCTACACGTGCAGAATAATGTTCCACTACACGTGGCAGAACTGGCTTAATGAGAAAACTGCTGTGGCACCGCCACTGCCGCCAACTGGATGTTCTAATTTGTATCACAATTTGCCAGGAACATGACCATTGTCACCACTGCTGCCTTCAGTGTCCATGCCACATCTGGCCCCAGAATGTCACCTTATCATCCCAGCAGCTCCTCAGCCACCTGCTTATGTCTTAGCTGCAAAGGAGGCTGGGAAAGTGACTGTTATTGTTTCTACTTTTAGGAGGCAGGATGCATAGGATGGAAAATTCCTCTAATGTAAGAAGGGTGTTTAAAGGGGCTGGGCAGCCAGGAAACTTGACAACGGCCCACCATACCAGCTGTGTAAGGTGTGTACCGCAACTTTGAGGGGAAGCAGTTTGCATGTAACTCAAGGGTGCTGCCTGAGATGGCTGATGCAGTGACCGCATCCTCAGAGGGGAGTCATAGAGGAGGAGAGCCCTCCAGGGTCAAGTCATAAGTGAGAAACACAAGTTCCTGGTGCAGTGATGGGAGGTGGGGGCTTGCAAGGCAGTTTCAGTGACGGTGTCTGGTGTCTTTCCTTTCTGCATCTCCAGGGAAAGATGAGATTTGCTGTGAGTCACTCTAGTTGGTCCTAGCTTCCAGCCCTGGGTTGCTAGACTAGATTAGCAGACTTTCCAGAGTGTGTTTTCCTTAGAGTTGATTGAAGCAAAATGCTGGGCACCCGTCTAGGATTCACCTAGAAGGAATCAAAGGAGAAAGGCAACAGAGTCCAAAAGTGGGACTTAACCCAGCAATGTAATCTGTTTTAAAAATAACTTCTTCCTGTCACTCTCAGCAAGATGTGGCTCCCACAGAGCCTTGCTTGGGGTCTGGGCTATCCAATACCTAAAACGGGTTTCCAAAAATAAAGCTGACATTTATTGAGTGCCATGTGTCAGGCACTTTATGGAAGGCTTACACAAATTATCTGAGTTAATCCTCACAGAAACACCATGAAGTATGAGCTATTATTACCCCGTTTTACAGTTGAGGAAACTCAGGTTTAAAGAGGATAAATAACTCCACTAATGGTTAATTAACCAGTATCAGAGCTGGGATTTGAACCTTAGCAGCCTGACCTCAAAGCCCACGTTGCTAAATTGTCTCTCTAGAATCTTGAGCTAGAAAGTAACTTGACCTCCCCAACATGAGGTTTACATTCTGCTTGGCTCTTCTAGAGTTCAGTCTAAATCAAAGTTAGAAAAAGCTATGCTGGGTAGACCTATCTGTGCTAGGTCCTGCACACAAATATGTAATCTAAACTTCTGGGTGGGGCAGCCCCTTCCTTAGTCACACAGCCCATCATCCTCAGATGCTTCAATCTGAGGTCTGACTAAGTCAGCAAGTGCGAGCAAAGGGTGACCAGGGTGTTGAGCTGAGACTGCAGGCAACACCTCCCTGTAGGGGTGTGAGGCTCTCACTATCTACAGGAGAAGCAGGAAACTGCCCACATCAGCAGGAGACTCCAGATGTCTAGGGAAGAAGGAAAAGAGAGAATCATTGAAAAGGAGATAAATGGAGAACAGAGGGCTGACTGGGAAAGAATGAGGATCCCCCAGGGATGTCTCAGTGGGCTGGAGGAGTGCCCTCAGACTGGATTAGACTTCTCTCTGGACCCCCTCCCTCCACATGCTTTCTGATTGTGTCTTTGGGTGGTTGCAGCCTCTACCAGATGACTGCACATTACACAATAACAAGGGCGAGTTGTGGGATCCTCCCTGTGGTAAGTGCTCAGTGCATGTTTGTTTACTGAGATGAATAAATGAGTCCTATCCTAGGGACAGCAGGGATTTGGGAAAGTGGAGAGAAATCCAGCCTGAGGAAGGAAATCCTTAAAAAACAAAAGTCCTCTTTGAGATTAGGTTCTACGTCCAGGCTAGGCAGAGGCAGTCCTGGAGAGGTGAACACCTGGCAGGTGGCTATGCTGCCTGCTGGAGGGTCCACCACAGAGCCCTTCCCACTCCATGGAGGCTGCTCATGCTCTGTGAGCCCCTGGGTAACAGCCTGCCTGGAGCCAGGAGCTGAGGCTCTTTCCATTCTTGCTTCCAGGGAAAGAAGTGGGTGAACTCTCTGCTCCGGAGTCTGAAAACTGTCAGGAAGGGAGGCATAAGTGGCACCAGGGGTGGAGAAATATGGAACATCAGGAGTCATCCTGGTATTTTGGAAGAAGCTTCAGTGTCAGAGCAGAGTCATCCATTCAGTAGACATTTATTGAGCGTTTAGGCTATATCAGACATTGTGCTAAACACAGAGGGGTGAGTGAGACAGACAGCCCCTGCCTTTGTAACGGTTATAATCGGGTAGAGAAGACAACAAATCCACACTTACAATGTAGTCTGAAAGAATTATTTTGGGGTGCTATGGGAGACAGAAGATAGCCATGGAATCCAGATTTGGGGTTGCTGGGTAGTGACATCTAAGCTAAAACTGTGAGTAGGAATTGGCTAGGAAAAAGGAAGTATTATGGCCTGAATGTGTCTCCCCAAAATTCCTGTGTTGAGATCTAACCCTCAATGTGATGGAATTAGGAGGTGGGGCTTTTGGGAGGTAATCAAGTCATGAGGGCAGAACCCTCATGAGTGGGGTAAGTGCCCTTATAAAAGAGGCCGCAGAGAGCTGCCTTGCCCCCTTCCACCAGGTAAGGACACATGAGACACATGCCCTGTATGAACCAGGAAGCCAAACCTGTTGGCACCTTGATCATAGACTTCCCAGCCTCCAGAACTTGGAGAAATAATTTTCTCCTGTTTATAAGCCATCTGGTTTATGGTCTTTTCTCATAGCAGCATGAACTGACTAAGAAAGGCAGAAAGGGAATAGGAAGGTAGTTTCAGACAGAGGGAGTAAAAACCTGACCTATTAAAAGGATCTGAAATAGCCCAGTCTGGCTGAATGTGAACTCTCAATGGAACAATGGTGAGAGATGTGTCTGCAAGACCTGGTCCGCCATGATGAGGAGCTTAGGCTCTGTCTTGATATAAACTGAAAAAAGCTGTGGCTCTGTGTTTCTTAGTTTCTGTATAGAGCTGCATTTGGAGAAGAGCAAGCCAACCAACAAATAATAATTTGATTTAAATCTGTATTGAGATCTCTTAAAGAATGCTAAGAGGAATCCATTTCACCCACATACCACTTCTCAGAAATCCCCCCTTTTCCTCCCTAATTGTCTCACTTCCCACAGCTCCCAAATCCCAAACTGTTTCTCCAGCCCTACTCACTTGGTTTCCTTCCTCTCTCTTTTGCCCCCTGCCCCTCGCCCCTAGCCAATGCTGTGTGAATCTAATGACTGAGTCAGCTTAAAACAACATTAACTCAGAGCTTAAAACATGAGCTTGATAAACCTTTCTCATCCTAACAGCAATTCCTGATTTTACGTGTGTCCAACCAGCCTTACAAGGGTTGAGGAGGCGGAGTATCTTTGCATTTGGACTTTCTTGAGGCCATCACATACCCTTCTGATGCTTCTACCGTGATCCAGGCAGGGTAGAAATAAAGGTGATCTGAGAAGACCTAACCCAAAGGAAACAAAAATCAGAGCCCAGATCCCCCAGCTGAGCCATTAAACCAAAGGGGCTGGGAAGAGACAGTAAATCCAGACATGAGGCCATTGGATAGAAATGGGAAATGACATGAAAACGAAAACCACTTCAAAATGAAAAAGATGGAGCCAGGAAAATTTCCCTGTACTGAGGAGGGTAGCACCAGAATTTTTCCAAGGCAACTGCAGCCTCATGACCTGTGATGGAGGGAAAGAAGGCTGGTGATGGTAGCCAGCCAGCCTGCTGAGTGGCCCGTGATTGTACATTTCAATTCCTGCAGACAGAGAAACAAGGATAGAGAAAAAAGAAGGGGAAAGGAGGTGAAAGAAGGTGAAAGGGAAGGGAGGAAGGCAAGACGGAAGCCGAAGCAGAAGCAGGAATAGAAACCAGAAATAGAGAGGCAGCATGTCATTCCGGATTCTACCACAGCTCCATCACAAACTGAGTTCGGGGAACTCTCTCTCCAAGAGTCCTAACTCCTGGTTTTTATCTCTAATTGGTTTTAGTAGGAACTGTTGTGGAATGTTTTTTTTCCTTTTTAAAAAATCCAAGGAGATTTTATGCTTTTAATAAGCTTTCCTGTTCCTGAACTGCTGTGGATAAACCATGATCCCAGAAGCCAGTTCCAGTTCTTAGTAGACAGGCAGGAAGCATTCAGTGAGAGATGCTCCCCAAGCACCTCCGAGTCCAGAGTTGTCTTGTAGAAATCCCAGGCTGGACAGCCTTAGGGATATGTGGAACAGACAACCTGAAGGCCAGAACAATCATGAGAGGGTGTGGACCACACCCCAGCAGCCATCCAGCTATCTCTAGGAGCCAGATCCCAAACCGCTGAAGGTAACATTGGTCCTGGATGTGAAAGGATGTTTACTAAGACATGTGTACCCCAACTTCTCAGGCCTTAAGCCAGCCCGAGCTGCTGTGTGTGTGCACAAGTGAGTGCGCGCATACACACACCCTAATATACCCTCATCTAGGATTAGCAGCTGGAACCTAGCCTGATAATGTATACACATGGGTGAATCTAGACACCAATGTGGCCTGAGTTGTCTGAGTAACTGGTCTAGGCTTTTCCACTAGTTCTATGGGCCCTGCTGACACTCCCTGAAAGAGCTGGGCCAGCCAGGCCATTTCCTGGACCCCAGTCTCTAAGAGTATGTCAACATTGCCAAGTGGTTAAATAGAAATAACTTCTCACAACAAGAGTATTCTTTTTTAAAAAAATTTTTATTTCCATAGGTTTCTGGGGGACAGGTGGTGTTTGGTTACATAAGTAAGTTCTTTAGTGGTGATCTGTGCAATTTTGGTGCACCCATCACCCGAGCAGTATACACTGCACCCAATTTGTAGTCTTTTATCCCTCACCCCCTTCCCACCCTTTCTCCCTGAGTCCTCAAAGTTCATTGTGTCATTCTTATGCTTTTGCATGCTCATAACTTAGCTCCCACTTATGAGTGAGAATATACTATGTTTGGTTTTCCATTCCTGAGTTACTTCACTTAGACTAACAGTCTACAATACCATCCAGGTTGCTGCAAATGCCATTGATTCATTCCTTTTTATGGCTGAGTAGTGTTCCATCATTCATATATATATATATATATATATATATATATATATATATACATATACACACACACACATTCATATATATACACATTCATATATATACACATTCATATATATATACACACACATATATATACACATATATACATACATACACATATATATACACACATATACATATATCTACACATACACACACACACACACCAGTTTCTTTATTCATTCCTTGATTGATAGACATTTGGGTTGGTTTCACAGTTTTGCAATTATGAATTGTGTTGCTATGAACAAGCATGTACAAGTATCTTTTTTGTATAGTGACTTCTTTTCATCTGGGTAGATACCCAGTAGTGGGATTGCTGGATCAAATGGTAGTTCTACTTTTAGTTCTTTAAGGAATCTCTCCACTGTTTTCCATAGTGGTTGTACTAGTTTACCTTCCCATTAGCAGTGTACAAGTGTTCCCTGATCACCACATCCATGCCAACATCTACTATTTTTTGATTTTTTGATGATGGCCATTATTTTTTTTTTTTTGAGTTGGAGTCTCACTCTGTCACCTAGGCTGGAGTGCAGTGGTGCAATCTCAGCTCACTGCAAGCTCCGCCTCCCGGGTTTATGCCATTCTTCTGCCTCAGCCTCCTGAGTAGCTGGGACTACAGGTGCCCGCCACCATGCCTGGCTAATTTTTGTATTTTTAGTAGAGACAGGGTTTCACTGTGTTAGCCAGGATGGTCTTGATCTCCTGACCTTGTGATCCACCTGCCTTGGCCTCCCAAAGTGCTGGGATTATAGGCATGAGACACTGCGCCTGGCTGATGATGGCCATTCTTGAAGGAGTAAGGTGGTATTGCATTGTGGTTTTGATTTGCATTGCCCTGATCATTAGTGATGTGTGATTTTCAGAAGATATACAAATGGCCAACAAACATATCAAGAAGAGTATTCTATAAGCTCAGTAGGAAGGCTTTGATAAATAGCTTGAGGGTAAAGGGTGAGGCCTCCCAAGGGACAAACTTGATCAACAATAAATAGCTGCTAAATCGCCTTTTAGAGAAGGTGGGTCCAATGAAACCCAGGGCTCTTGTTTTAGTGAGGGGGGCTTGAGTGTTGGGGGGTAAGAGCAAATTGCTCAGAGAAGCTGAGAGCTGGAAGTACTTTTTTCTTCCTCTGCCTCTCCCTGTCTGGAGTTTAAGCACTCTCTTATGGCCTTGGGTTGCCTTGGCCACCTTCTCTGATGGCATTTATATGAACACATTGCATTTATTGAGAAGGCCAACTTTTGTTCTACCTCCTTTCAGGGGGCTTCCCCTCTCCCACCACCTCCACAAAGGGCTCATGAATGCAAGCCCCAACACCAACCAGTTTATTGGCCCTCTCCCCAAGCCCTTGCTGTTGGTGGTCTCCTCGCCTGTTCTTGGCCTCACTGTCCCAGGCTGGGTCTTGGCTCCTGGCTCACTGAGAGCTAGACTTTGCCAGCTCCCGTCCTTTTTGATTTGGGTGACCCTATTCGTCCTGAGTTTTTAAGCTTTGGATTCTTGAAGTTTTATGCTCTGACTATTTGGGTTTTGGGAAGCCTCTGTTGTTTCAGATGAGAGGACTCCACCATGGCTATGAATCATGGAATCTTCTAGAAATAACCCCTTCTCAGTCCTGTTGGGCCTTATACTTTATACTGGGATGTGCAGATCTGAGCATGGGAAAAATTGGGCTGTAGAAGCAAGGCATTTTTTTTTTGGATGAGAAGATCCTTTAAACTTGCTGGCAAGGGGTTGAAACAGCACCTCCACATTCGAGCTCAGAGATAACCCTGTGAAGAACTCATAGTTATCATTGACTGAACACCTACAATAGTCGATTCTTGTTATTTGCAGGAGTTGTGTTCTGTGATGTTTCTGCTAATGTTGAATTAGCCAATAATGAACCATTGTTTCTAGGGGAAGTGCAGACCTGTGAGCCTCTGGTCACATGTTCCTCAACTGATCCATACATAACCTTGTCTTGTGTGTGTTTCTGTTTAAAGTCACCTTATTTGGTATGCATTGTTGATTCATTAACATTGAACTCATGGCCAATAGCACTAGAACTCATGCCTGAGTGAAGTTTACCTAACACACATATATTCTCCCTAAGGCACTTCACAGCCTTCCTGCACATAGGAATTCTAGAAAGTGCTTTAACATTACACTTGGTGGCCATTTTACATAGTAGAATGACCAAAAAAAAAAAAAAAAATACTTGTTAGGTGAGTGTGGTAGCTCACATCTGTAACCCCAGCACTTTGGAGAGCTGAGGTGGGTGGATTGCTTGAGCCCAGGACTTCGGGACCAGCCTGGACAACACAGTGAGACTTTGTTTCTACAAAATATTAAACAATTAGCGAGGTGTGGTGGTGCATGCCTATAGTCCTAGTTATTCAGGATGCTGAGGTGGGAGGATGGCTTGAGCCCAGGAGGTTAAGGCTGCAGTGAGCCATGATTGTGCCACCACTGTACTCTAGCCTGGATGACAGAACCAGACCCTGTCTCAAAAATAAAAAAGGACATTTGTTTATAGTATGAGAGCTGAAATGAGAAGGCAGAGCCTCCCCTTGCTCCATCTCACCTGGGAATGTGCACATCAGGCTTCTCAAAATTGTCACTGCTCTGTGCATGCTTGCAAATGACCGCAAAAAGTGCTTCGGGCATTGATTTTGGGGTTATACATAAATTTAAGCGAGGAGGTGAATTTGCAAATATGGAATTGGTGAGTAATGAGGATTGATTTTATGTGCCAGGCGATGACGGTGAGGTGAGAACCGATGTGACCCATATTCTGCAGATGTTCTTGGAACTTCTGCATCTGACCCTTCTTTGGGGCTTACTAGAATCCGAGGCCAGAGGGGAGCTTTCTGGCTTCCCAGTCTGTGTTCCAAATGAACTATTTCCAGGGGTTCAGCTCCTCTGAGGGTAGAGGAGTCACCAGCAGGACTCACCTTCGTATTTAAGGTACAGGACACGAACAGCAGCTCTGTTTGTACTGTACAAAGAACAGCCTCTTGTAATTTGGTTCTTTTTGAAGAGTTGCTAATAATTTTGCACTCAATTTCCATTTAAATGGAAACATTAACCTCTGGAGCCTGGAAAGGAGCCTAGAAGGGGCTCATAAGTACAGCTCTTATCTCCATGGCTCAGAGTGTCCCAGGAGTCAATCCAAACATACTTCTAAATCACTCTCAATAGATGAGGGGTTCAATCCTGTTTTGAAAGACCTTTTCCCTCCCTCCCAGTACAAAGTTCACTTTCTTGTTTACTCACCTGATTCAATGTCTGGAAGTTCTTCCTTAAGTCTAACCTGAAGTTTTTCTGCTGGAACACAAGCCTTCTTTTTCCTGGATCACATGCAGAAGACATTGGAAACCTACCTCCTGAGCTGATAGTGAAGCTCCTAACAAGTTGGGCAAGTGACCCCAGGTGGAGGCTGGAACAAAGCCCAGGGATCATCGAAAATAACATTTTGTCAACCAGCAACAAGAAGAATCCAAATGATCCCACATGAGTCACAAAACATTTTCACAGATATTATTCTGTTTTATTTTTGTAATTCCTCTGTGAAAGAAGTACATCAGTTACCTGATTCTACAGATGAGGAAACTGGAGAATAGAGTTAACCTACATCAATTACAGACTGGCAGGGCTGGAGCCCCAGAGCCCCTAGCCTGCACTCTGCAATGATTACGAAATGCTGAGAGCTGGTCAGCTTCTATGTCAAGAAATTAATGATAGCGATGATGTAACCTAGAATTCAGTCACTGGGTATCCCTAAATCCTCCAACTTCCTACTCTAAGATATCAATCAGAATTGGTCTTCACTGCCCCCTCACATGTGGCAGAGAACCCATGCTCCTCCCAGTCTTTGTCCTGGGTGGCCTGCACCCTAAGACCTTGAATGACTTTTTCTTTTTTTTAATTATTGGTTCTCGCCTTGCATTTTGTCTCCTGTGTTGGATCTCCCTGTTTTGCAGATATTATCTTCACTTATGGAGAGGACAAGCAGGGGTCTACAGATGTGAAGTGACACCTGCTTGCTGCATGTGGTTGGGTAGCTGGGATGCTGCACAAATGTACTGTTGGGAGGGTGGAAATTCAGCCATGCACTGTTTGCCAGATCAGGAACTATGAGATGCTGCATCCAACCAGAATATTCTCTTATTTACTTGTGCAAAGGGGTGTCTTCTATTTGCACAAAGACACCTTATAGGCTAGAGGTGGCCCTCAGGAACATATTCGAGGTCACACATCCAGAAAGTCTGTAGCCAGAGTGGAAAGCCAGGTCAGCTTCCATCATCTGGTCTCATGTGCCCTTCTTTCTCCTAGTGCTCAGCTCCTGGAATGGGAGAGGGAGACATGGGGGTGGAGGGGAGAGGGGAAGAACTGCCTCCCTGTTCTCAACTTTCCAATCACCCTCTTCAGCCTACTTATCTTCTGTTTCCAATAATGAAGCAATCTCTTTGGTCAGCAGCCCCCACCCCCATTCTTTTCTACCACTTGCAGTATGAGTTCTAAAAATAGCAATAATTAGACAAGTCTGCACATCATTCCAGGTCTTTCTTGTCTTTGTTTAAATTCTGTTGGTTTTATCTCCTATAATTTCTGACTGATCTGGAGGAGCCTGAGCAGTGTGCAGTGATACCATGTGCAGACTATGATTAAGTGTGGGTATGTGTGTGTGCATGTGTTCACATATGTATGTGTGCTTATATGTGTACATGCATGTATGTTGCATTGTGCACATGTGCAATGTGTGCATGTATGTATGTGTGTATGTGTATCCCTATGTATGTGTATCCCTATGTGTGTGGATGTGTATCTATATATATATATCTGTGTGTAGTGGGCATGTGTGTGTGTGGTGCATTTACATGTGTGTAGTGGGTTTTGCGATCAGGAGGAGGCAGAAAGGAGTGTGGACCCATTATCTGTTGTTATGCATTAGTTGTCCCTCTGAGGATCCTTGACACACAGGGATCCTCTCCTGGATGTTGGTACCCAGTCAGGTATTTTCCGTTTGCTCCTCCAGATTCTCTCTCCAGCCCTCTCAGCTCTGCTCTCTTTCCTGGGGCTGACTTGATGGATCACAGCAATGGTTCCTTGAATTCTAGATTTCTGTCGAGGTTGGCCAAGGAGGAGTGCAGGTGGTCAACTGGAGGAAAAGGGACATGTAGGGTCAGGGCATTTATTCCCCTGGCCTCTTTCCCGCAGACTTGCCTTGGGCTGGTGGTCTTCCTTGATCACTGCGCCTCTCAAGGAAGCCCTCTCTGCAAGCTTATTTCTTTTGGGTTCTGGTCACTGCCCCTTCCTTTATTCCTCTGGATTAATGCATTCTCCCTTTCCCCCCGTGCCCTGCCTACATTTCTGTAAACAGTCTTTCATTAAAGCCTCCTCAAGTAGTCCTAATTTGAGTGTGCTATGTGTTTTCTGTTAGAATCCCGACTGATACAAAATTCTCTTGGTCACTGCCGTTGGCTAGTTAGATTGTAACCCATATGGTGGTCTCCATTTGTCTCTGTCCTTCAATATCTGCGTCTGGCCCCTACCTCTGTGGAGGAAAAGGTTGGGCAATAAGCTTTACTGTTTCTTCAGCTGAGCTATTTGGTACAGGCTGCTGCTTCTCTGACCAGTGGAGCTGCCATTCTGCTGGGAAGGAGGGCATCCTCTCTCTCCTGCCTGTTGCAAGTATTTCCTCACCTATTTTTCCCAAAGGGTATATCTACTGGATCAGTAAGACGGATTAAGAAGATTTTTACTCAGGAATCAAGTGTTATTACCCTGGTCAATTGTCTACCTCCCTCATTTCCACACTTAGAGCAAAGCCTTGCTGCCAAGCTCTCTGGGATCTTCCACACCGACACTGCTGGGCCTTCGGTGGATTTCCAGCCTTGACCACAATGTTACTCCTTTCCTCCCTATTTTCTTTTAATCCTTTCTTCCTCTGATGTACTGCTTCCAGTTATTTTTCTCCCTAGACATTACCTGTTCCTAAAGAAAGAGCAAAGCCCATGTTCATTTAGTGCTTCCTTTTCTTTGGGTAGGTTTCAGTCTTGGTATTGTAGGGGAGGAAAAGCTTTTTCTATACACTCTTATGTCCTGTACCTGGGGATGGGCAAATTAAACTGACAAAAGACAGATCAGCAAGAGAAAAGAAAGAGCTTATTTATGCACACAAAATGTGTACACATGGACACAGTGTACTCAGTGATGTGTAACTCAAAGGGATGGTTAGAATTTGGAGCTTATATACCTAATTTAGGAGAAAAGGTAGGGAGAGCAAAGGCTTCTATGGGAAGGACAAATAGGTTTCTTTAGGAAAGACAAATGGGTTTTTAGGAGAACAAATAAGAGGTAAAGTTTAAGATAATGTTTATGCAGGTGTGGTGGTCTCTCTGTCTTCTTTATGGCCATACAACTCCCCCGGAGAGGAGATTTATGGTAGATTTATTCTTGGTTTCTCTCCTGGGAATAGACTTGCCCCAAAGAGGGAATTTATGGCAGTTCTCATTTCTCAGAAGTATCTCTGTTGAGTCAGATAAGGGAAGCTCTGAGAAGTCATCTTTCTCTATCTGTTGAATCTCAAATATCTTCAGCTTAAAATAATGTTGATGCCAAGTCTGGGATTCTAAGTGAGTCCACACAGTGTACACTGCAGGTTAGTAGCTTTTCCCTTTGGTCTGCTGTCTACTGGCTCTGTATGGGAAGGATGGACCCTGGCCTCAGTAGCTACTGGTTCCACAGGTAGATGGGGAAGGAAGGGTGAATTCTGGGCCCACGAATGGGAGTAACGTGGTTGTGGTGGCAGTGTTGGGAGAAGAAGGTCCATTTTGAATAATGGCTTGTTCTTCCCTGCTAATGTCTTCTAAGTTAAACACGTCTCCCTACAATAGGGATTAACTTCCTTCCACAACCTTCACTTGGGAAATTATATTCTTCTTAGCAACTTAATTTCATCTTTATTTCTTGTGAAAATTTTCTTCCTCCTGTTTTGCATTACATGGCAAAGCTCCTTTTTATTTCATGATAATTAAGGGTATTGTTTCTAAACCCCTTCTTCCAAATTCTAGGGTGGAGAAATCCATTTTACTCCACTATAAGGGCTAGAGGGCAGAGGGCCTCTGAAGTGAGAACACTTTTGTGATGGTCAATTTTATGTGTCAACTTGACTAAGCTCAGTTGTATAGTCAAACACCAGTCTAGATATTGCTGTGAGGGAAGTTTTCAGATGTGAGTAACATTTAAATCAGCAGACTTTGAATAAAGCAGATTATCTTCCACAATGTGGGTGGGTGTCATCTCATCAGCTGACAGGCCTTAAGAGCAAAGACTGAGGCTTCTGGAAGAGGAAGCAATTTGGTCTTAAGATTGCAACACAGAAACCCTTCCTGAGGTTCCAACCTGCTGCTGCCTGGAGGAATTCAGCCTCAGGCTGCAACATCAGCTTTTATCTATGTCTTCAGGCTGCTAACAAGTCCTACAACTTTGGACTTTATAGCCACCTGAATTGTGTGAGTCAATTCCTTAAAATAAATCTCTCTCTATATCTATACCCTATTGGTCTGTTTCTCTGTAGAACACTGACTAATACCATCTTACTCTCCATTGCCTTCCTCAAAAGAACTCACAGGGTGTGTGTTTCTGCCAAGTCACCTGTCCTAGGAACAGAGAGCTTTGTTTAAGTCTCAGGAGCCCGGGAGAAGAGAAGGGGATAAAGTGGGCAGGTATGTGTGGATGAATTCATAACTAAACTTCACACTCCTAAAGATGTAACGATGGTTACCCAAGTAATTTGGAATACCTGGAGGGCAGAGCCACACCCTCTGTATCCTGTCTTGACTTTCAGGAGCCCTCAAATCAGAGTGAATGTTGGTAGGGGAGAAAGTGGGTGAAAGCAGCAAAGATTGGTGAAGCGTCTGGAGCTGGCTGGAGGCTCCGAGGGGATGCACAGCAGAACGCTCAGGGCCTTTCCCTACTGGGAGGAGTGTGACAGAGAGGAGCCCTGCAACTGTTGCCGACCACAATTGGAAGTGATGAGCAATCTGGTAAAGAGCATTGGAGAGGGAGCTAGTAGTCTGGGTTCCTCACCCAGTCCTCACATGACATTTGGATCTTTTCTGTCTCTCTCTCTGCAGGGGCTTACACAGCTCTGCACACCCAGCAGACACTGACAACTGCTACCCAGCTCCAGCTACTTAGAACATGGGAATAGAAACTCTTGATTCGTGCTTTCTTGCATTATCACAGACCAAAGGAACTCAATGCAATTTTTTTAAAAAACCATCTGATTTAGCAAATTCCAAGTGACAGTCATCAGCTAGCCCTTCTCAGTTGGGATAAGGCCTTACTAGGTTCTGGTCAGAGAGCAAATGAGACCCAGAGGAGAGAGAAGGTTTACAGTATGGCAGTTTGCCCACATCTGCAGCCTGGAAGGAGTTAGGAAAATTCAGCAGGCTGGGAAGACGTTGAGACTATCGATTTGTGCAGAGAGTTAGCAAAATGCTGTGCATACTTTATTATTAATGATGACTTTTTCACAAGTTCATGCCTCATTCTGGTGCATCCTCTTCTGTCCTGCTTTCTTCTGCACTCAGTGTGGAAGTCAATGGGGGTGTGGTTCCAAAGGAATGAAAGAGAGGATCAAATTAGCTTGAGACACAGCTGTTTGGTTGGCTGAGGCTAAGCCGGAACTAAAAAAAGGATGCTTTCCTTGGTCTAATCCCAACAAATCCACACTAACATTTTGTTACCAGTGGAGGGTGTCCAGGTTCTTGGCATCTTGAACAAAGAATTGGGCAAAACACACAAAGCAAGGAAAGAATGAAGCAACAAAAGCAGAGATTTATTGAAAATGAAAGTATGCTCCTCAGGGTGGGAGTGGGCCTGAGCATAGGGGCTCAAGGGCCCCGTTATGGATTTTTTGGGGGTTTAAAAACCCTCTATAGGTTTCCATTGGTTACTTGGTGTATGTCCTATGTAAATGAAGTGGATATTTCCTGTCATAGCTGAAGTGTTTCCATTTGATTTAGTTCTAGGAAATGCTTAGGTTTCCCGCCTTCCAGACCCTATTCTCCTTCCTTGATTTGATTTGAATTTGTTCCTCTTCAGGAATTCACCCATGTACATCGAGCACCTAGAACAGTGTCAGGCACATGGAAAATGCTCAAATGTTTGCTGAAGTAATGTTCGAGGTCTAGTGAGGAGTGCAGGAGGAGGCATGGGGAAGATGTGCAACTTGCTCCCTGTGTGTACCTTGGCCGGGCCTCTGAACTTTCTCAATCTCGTTTTCCTTTTCTGTGGGTGTGATGAGAATGACTAGCATCTAAATGCTAGTCATGAAAGACGAGAATGATGATGATAATGATAGCACCTAAACTACAGAACTCAATCCATGGTAATTCTACTTTCTTTCCCTTTTCTTGGGAAGAGGGTAGAACATTAACTAATATCAAAATTGACCAAACAAGCTGTTGCCCTGTCTACACCATAAAATGTAAGCATCAGTAAATGTTAAATGAAATGCATGAAGGAAAAAATGAATAGGTGAGAAGGGGCCTTATAAATTTTGTAATGCAGGAGTTTGAAAATATTTTTCTTTTAAAGCAGGAGAAGTCCCTTATTAAACAAAAGCTCACATGGAAGCCCAGGATATAAAACTAACAAAACCACATCCTGCTGTGATTGAAGTGGATGGGGGTGGGGTGGTGGAATGGCCCTGGGGGCATTTCTAGTTCTGTGGTCTCTTTTTAGGGCTTCCCTCCCCCCGCCCAACTCCACTACCCCCCAACCATCACACCATCTCTGGCCTTGGGCTCTGGTTTGCTAGTAAATATTTAACAACTGGCTCTGGGGTTGGGGAGCCCTGATTTGTCGCATTTTCAGATTTCTGTGGTGTGAATATTTCCACTGCTTTAAGCTACTGATGTGGCAAGACTGAAGGTAGAGTTGGGACTGCTGCTCAGAATTATATGCACCATTATACAGTTATTTCACCAAACCTACAATTGCTGTAAACAACCTCAAGGGTATTAAGAATTTGATGTAGTAAATTAATTGAGTGGTAAATTCTGAATACTTACTACCTTTGTTTTTAATATAATTTAATTATAAGTTTATATGCACGTAATTTAATTTTTTATAATGACTTCAATTAAGAACAGGAAAGCAAAATTTTCAAAAATTGAGCAACTGGCTTTTAGGAGCTAGTATCAGCTGGGTCCAGCACACCACTGCCTCTGGGACATCTCTTTTGAAACCTTGGGTTCCAAAGAATACACTTTGAATGATTGATGTATAACTCTTAACATTAGAAGGTAGGAAAAATGAGAGGTTATGACTTTATGAGGGTCATAGAACTAGTAGTTATTTTACTCTAGAGCTAGACATTATTCCTTTTCCTGTGGTAGAGAACCTACTCTTCTTGCCTTCTGAGACATGCAATTAAACTATATCTCACAACTCCTCTTCCATCTAGGTGAACCACTTGGCTGAACTCTGGCAAATGGGTTTTGACTATAAATGATGTGCACCACTTCTAGACTTGTCTAGTTACAAAACATCTTGTGTGATCCTCTGTGCTCTTTCCTGATCCCCAGCCAAGTGGAAGAAGCCAAGTGAAGGGCTATGGGGACCTAGAAGATGGAGTCGTCACACAGTGGAAGAATTGCAGATCTCTGAGTCACCATTTGGACAAGAACCTACTAGAACAGGTGCCTGAACAAGAACACTGGACTTTGTGTGAGTGAGAAACAAACTTTTATTGTGTTAAGCCACCGAGATTTTGGGTTGGTTTTTATAGTAGCTGGTGTTGCTTACACTGACTAATACATCTTGAAAGTAAATGATGCAAAACAATTCTACTTATTCACAGGGGGTGGTATTTATAAGGGAAAAGAATAACAGGGTGGTGTCAGTGATGGGTCCTGATAAGTAAGCAACAACAAGGAAGGGGCCCCAGGTAGGGAAGAACAATTGTTCTGAGAGACTGTTAATCACAAACAACCTGCTAGCCCCACATCCTGTTCTCAAATACTTTGCTCAGCATGTAGCCCCAGCAGCATGACTTTGTCTGCATGTAGACCCTCCAGCATGACCCTATAAAATTTCCCTCCAGCCACTGCCTCTTGGCAGACAGTCCCTTCTCTGCTGTGCTGCCCACTGCTTTCTTACAACGTTATCTTTGTACTTTCTCTAATAAATCTGCCTTTCTTTACCCACAACTGTCTTGAAAAATTATTTTGCTGTTCATGATGCCAGCCCCAGCCAGTTGACCAACAAGAGTCAGTGGTAGGGGGAGGAATTAAGTCATCCAAAGGATAAAAAACTCTATGGAGTGTAATGAAAGAGCACAGGAGAGCAATCTAGCAGACTAATGAGTCTGGGGGATCTTGCATGAAATGACTGTGGGTGAGAATAATAACGATGATATTAACACAGATGATTGTAGTGGTCAGGACTCTTCAGGCACAAGTAACAGACACCAATTTGAGCCAGCTTATGCTTGGAAAAGGAACCTTATTTTAGGTACACAGGAGCATCTCATGGAGGCCAATGGCAGGAACACAGCTTCTGAAGGGTCTGGAATCAGGACCTGGGAATCACAGGGACCCTGCCACTGTTTCTTGTCTCCATCTTCATGTCTGCTTTGTTGCAGACCACCTTATCAGTGACCACCTCCTGCCCCATAGTGAGTGAAAGGTGGCTATCTCCCAGCTCCTAGATTCACTGTTAAAAGCTTAGCCAGCCACAGACTGAACTGCATCTCTCTTTGGCCTAATTCCACACATACCAAATTAGCTCTCTTTAGATCATAATTCCAGAGTCCATAAAGAGAGACTCTAGTTGGTCTAGCTTGGTCAGGTTTCCACCCTGGTCTAATGTGCTATGACCAGAAGGTCAAGTGTATACAGTATGAACATGGCTGAAAGGGGCCTTCCCTCTAGACAGAGGGAGCCAATTCCCCAAGAAAGTGAGGTCATTGTTGACTCAAGGTGGCTCCTGAATATTTCTGTAGGCAGAAACATCCCACCAGGAAGAGGGAGGAAGGGGCGGGGTTGTATATGCACAATTCTTCTCCCAAACTCACCCACCAGTCAGGTAACTGACTCCATCTCCTTGTGGAGGGGTTAGGGATAGAGGAGAGAAGGTCAGAGTGTTACTCTGGAGAGCTTCCTCCATCCAGAGGGAACCATCATGAGTGGGAAAGATGGGTTCAACCTGCTATCAATAACGTTTAGAAAGTGTCAACCACAGTCCTGACACAGAGTGAACAGTCAGTGTAGGTCAGATCCCTTTCTCTCCCTGCCCCACCCCCAACATTCTCTCTTCTTATCACTTGATTTCTTGCCACTGACAGTGATAGTGCCACATGGAGCCATATTGAAGCCTGAGGTGAAAGGGAAAATAAATGACAGTAATCTGGTCCTGTCTTGATTTTGTTCTTCATAAAGTACTTGCATTGATTTTGACTCTTAAAATATTGTATTAACATATTCTTTGCCTTGATTACTGAGTATTTGGCACCCTCTTACATTTTGTGCCCAAGTCAAGTGCCTTGCTCACTTCAGCCTGGTACCAGCCCCACTTGTCAGAGGCAGTTGAAAAGTACCCCAGGATACATTTCCTTCCACAACAACCAGCCCTTCCTGACTCTCTGATTTAAGGTTTAATTTAATATGGTTTTGAAAAATAAAATTTTTTTTTTAATTATGTGTACAGGTGGTGCAGGATATTTCCCTGACCCCTTTGCAAGACTTGTGACAGGGGTACCTTGTGTACTTAGCCTGCAGCATTCAACTCCTCGTGGGAGGGAGTGCATGAGTGAACAAGGTGGGAACTAGAGTGCACAAGCACTGGAACCAGCAGGCTACTGCCACACTGGCAGAGGTGAACTCCACTCACCAAGACACACTGTGTTCCACCCCTCGTGGGAGGGAGCATGCAGATGAGCAGGTGCAGGAGCTTGGGAGAGTGTTTTTGGGCACTGGCAGGAGCAAACTCTGTGCGGTCCCAGCAGCAGCATCTAGTGGGGTGTTCATGACCCCTAAGTCCCCAGAGGGCATGTTACAGTGCTCTTTTAGCTCTGCCATCCATGGACAGCTTAAGTGTTAACAGTTCAGTTGGCCCTTTTATATTTGCACACTTGGCTTCTGAGCTCTTCCAATGTCCAGGAAAAATGAGGTTGCACAAACAAATTGAAGGATGGTAAATGTGGGGGATTTTATTGCTGATGAAAGTGGCTCTCAGCTAGAAGGGGAGCTGAAAAGGGAGTGGGGTGGGAAGGAAATCTTCTCCTGAGCTCCAGCCATCTTCAGCCAGATTCTTCTCCACAGTTACGCCATCAAGCTGTCCCTCTGCAGTCAAACTGCTTCTCTCTAATGCCCAGCCATAGTCCCCAATGTCCAGCTGCTTCACCTCTCTGCCAGCTGAGTCTGAAGTTTTTATAGGCACAGGATTGGGTGGCGGAGTGGGCCATGGGTGATTTAGGAAAAGGCAACATTCGAGCAGGAAAACAGGGATGTCAGTTCTCACTTTGGGCCATGGTTTCAGGCTTGAGGGTGGGGTTTTGTTGGGGACCTGCCCTTTTCTGCCTAGAATTTCTCTGCCTTCTGTCCTTATCACATGCACAGTGTCATTGAAGTTATCCAAGAAACTAGTAATAGATGTTGCTCCTACGAGGGAAAATGGCAATGAGAGGGAGGAAGGGATATATTTTGCCTTAGAAATGTATTTTTAATTTTTTAAGGAAAGCCTAATTAAGATGATTTCTTTACTACAAAAGCAATACTTGTTCACTATAAAAAATTAGAAAATACAGATAAAGCAGGAAAC
Source organism: Homo sapiens (assembly GCF_000001405.40). Classification (NCBI taxonomy): domain Eukaryota; kingdom Metazoa; phylum Chordata; class Mammalia; order Primates; family Hominidae; genus Homo; species Homo sapiens. The sequence continues at coordinate 112,544,528 of NC_000011.10, forward strand.
AGAAACTATAAACTGTAGGGGAGAAAACATTTCTTTTCTTTATCTTTTTTGGTTCTAAGTTGAGATACACTCCTGAAAACAAAAGTCAGACTAACAAAAGAAAAACAAGCAGAAGTTTATTAACATGTGCTGTACCCATCACACAGAAGAGGCCTCAGTTCAAAACTCTTTTTCTCTCTCAAGGCAGCGGCTTTAGAGGCCTTGCTTAAATAGTATTTTAACAAAGAGCCATAAATTCTATTCAATGACAAGACAAAGAGGAGAGTATCTTCAGGCTTCCAAAAGGCAGGAAAATGTGGGAAGGTAGATTTACAGTAAGAGTAAAGTCAGCTCCCAGATCCTCTGGCGGCTGCTGTCTCTGAGCTCTGCTTCTGAGCTGATAAGCAAATGTAAGGAAGGGGCCTACCTGTGGGTACGGAAGGCAGAGAGGAGGAGCAAAGCATGCCCTGCATTTCAATCTTTTTTAGCTCAATAGTCTCCAGCATTTTAGAGAGAAATATTTTGGTTTCCTTCAAAACATTAATAACTCACCATTCCACTAATACATACCTTGGTGTTTATCTTTTTTATTCATATATGTAGATTTTACAAAAATAGTATGGTTTTGAATAATATTTGCGGTCTTCTTTTTCCATTTAAAATACATTGCGTATCAATGTCTAAGTTAGTAAATACTTCTCTACATCATTATTTTTAGGGGTTCACATTTTGACTGTGTCACAGTATTTGACCAACTCCCTATTGCTGGACATTGAATCTTTTCCCCAGTTTTCATGATTGTAAACAGTGCTGAGCCAAACATCCTAGCTGTGTAATCTTTTGGCACGTGTCTAATTGCTTCCCTAGGATGAATTCCTAGAACAGGACTTGCTGGGTCCAAGCGAATGCCCTCACGTAGAGGTTTTTTAAAAAAATACTTGCTGCCAAGGTACCCTCTAAAAAGCCTGTGCTGGTTTATACTCTAACAATGTGTATGAGTCCCATTGTCAGTTAATTTAAAGCCCAAACCGGAGGGCTGAGCAGAAAGTGAGGCAGATACAACTAAACCTGTACAACCTGAACATGACTGTAATACTCTCATCTTATGGTAAAATCAGTGGCATCTTTAAAGGTGCCTGTACTGGAATACTGGAAAGGGTACAGAGAAGGATTTCAGACAAAGTGAGACAAGAAGCCGGAAACCCACAAGTAAAGTTACAAGGAAGATGATCTTCTCTTTCTTTCTCATAACAGCAGTGAGCTCTGATCCACTAGGGCGGACAAAGAGCCCCTTCCCCATTTATCCCAACTCTCATCACTGTCTAAGCTTTTTCTAGATTTCTAACCCTTTTTTCAAGTTTTAGACATTCAATTCCCTTGGCTCCCTTAAGGAGCATTTAGACAATGAGAATCATCAAATGGTAATAATCTTCTTTTTGTGAGGGTTGAGGAAGACATTTCTTTTTAGGTTTGCTATCTGCTACTTTTCCTAAGTCTCGGGTATATACATCCCACAAATTATCATCACCATTATTGCCAAGAAGCCTCCTGCTAGTGAAGCACCCTTTCAGATGGCTTTCCTTTCTTAAAGACTCCTGGGAGGTGGCTTGCTTTTTGTCCCTTTCTGATAGCTGCCACAGCTGATTTTACATCTTGGGGGTTTCCTTCTCTAAGTAGAGGATATTTAAAAATTCTAATTATTGTTGTGATTATCTTACTTTGGTGGTTAAGACGAGCAAAGTGAAGATGTTTCACTTTGTGCATTCGATGTATGGAGATCTTTTCTGTAGACATTTTTTCCCCCTTGGGAAAAGACAGAAGTGAAGGCCTTTCCATTGTTCAAGGTTCAAATAATGGCTCCACATGTACCGTGAGCTCAAAACAGTGTTCTGTGGCTCATGTGACCCAACAGATGAATGTTTTGGTCTACTGAATATCCCAAGAAGTAAAATAATAGTTGGAGTTTGAGGAAGGGGCATAGAAAAGGCCCAGACCCAGGTCATGTGCTTGGGTGGCTAGACTCATCTGGTGTTAGGCTTGTCTAAACTTGTCAGAATGAACACGTGGGATCAAGTGCTTCTCTGGTCCCCGTCGGCCTCTTACATCAGGTCAGTGTGAGTCTTTTATTTACTCAGGGGCCCAGAATAGACAGTATAGCCTGGGAGACTGGTGCCTTTTCCATCTTACTTTTTGGTCCATCTGTGCAATAAATGGACTTCTTTTTAAATTGCTTCACGTCTTCATGTTTCAGAGTGTTCAGCTCAGATAAACCAATGGAGTGGACCAAGAGACTGTAAATGATTGACATGAGTCCACTGAAGTCATCCTCCACCCAGCACCCTCTAAGATGATCTCAGGAGGAGGATGTGGTCTTTCTGGCTCCCTGTTTCCTTACTCTTTCTGAAGCATATAAATGTTTCTCACTTTCAGACTTTTTTTTTTTTTTTTTTTTTGAGACAGGGTCTCACTCTGTCCCCAGGCTGGAGTGCAGTGGCGTGATCTCAGCTCACTGCAACCTCTGACTCCCTAGGTCAAGCGATTCTCCTGCCTCAGCCTCCTGAGTAGCTGGGACTACAGGTGTGCGCCACCACACCCAGCTAATTTTTGTATTTTTAGTAGAGACGGGGTTTCACCATGTTGGCCAGGATGGTCTCGATCTACTTTACGATATTTAAAAACCACTAGTTAACAGAAAGAAGCTGTGTAATAAAACTAGCAAACATGTGCCAGGTAAAATGAGGCAATTACCTGAAGCTCTCATGTGATCTACCTAGAAATGTGGATGGGGCTGGCCTGTTGTTCAGAATCCCTACTTAGATTCCCTTCCTAGAGCACCAAGAGGAAGAAGCTCTAGCTCCATTTATTACCAAGTCTCTGGGGGTGGAGCCCCTCAACTCCCCCGTCTCCTAGGCCAGGAGTCCCTCCCCTTCCTCTCAGAGCCCTGGAGACCCATTTAGGCAGAGCATCAGATATACATCATTCTCAAGGGAAGAATGAGAAGACAGGGGATGGGTGTCTTTTTCCTAGTACTCAGAAAGCAGTAAGTGAGTGGATAGAATTTCTCTAGTTTAATTCATTCTCTTAAGCCTTTGACACTAGATACCCCACTTATGGAAGCTAAAATCTAGTTTTAGATGGTATCTGATATTGTAAAAAAATTTTATGTTGAGCTATTTTAAGTTTAATATGTCCATGTTTCATTATGCTCCATAAAGAGCACCATGCCTGAGAGTTGTTTAGCCATAAAGAACAAGTTTGAGTAATGCTGAAACAGGTCATATGGACGCTTCTTAATTCAAGCGAGGCATTTACATCTTGGAAAGATGGTGGATTCATGTGAAGGTATGTACACATCTTCCACTTGCCTCTAAACAAAGCATAAGCTAAGCAGAGGGATGAGCCATTCAACACCCTGGCCCCTCTTCTTCTTGACCTTCTTATGTCCAGCCATGTTTTTTTCTGTGGTCCTCCTCATTCCTATGACCATACTCTGTCTTGCAGGCAACATAAACTACACCACTTTGCAAATCTCAATTTCAAACACATCATTTTCCAACTTACCAATTGTTCTACCTTTCTTGCACTGATACCTCCTGTTTTACAAATCTTTGCCTTCTTGGAGACCCTTAATCCTTTGACCCCACTCATCCCTCATTTTCCACCAGCACCTGCTTAGCTTTACTTCCTTCCGAGTCCAGCTCAAATTCTATAGTTTTTCATTACAATTCCTTAACAAATACCTTCAGTTTCTGTGCTCTTCTCTCCTTTCATTAAACTTTTGTCTTGCAAAACTCCTGTTGGGCTTCTAAGTGCAACTTTCTTCTCCATGCCTGTTCCTGAGCAGCGGAACCCTAATGGAGAAAGCCACAAAACAAAGTTTTTTTTAAAAGAAATTAATTCATGATTACACATTTCAGTTGGGGACTCATAGCTGCCTGGCAACTCTATTGTGTTCTAATAGACTTATTCTTCATTTCCCAACATAATCATTTCACATCTTTTCCTCCCTCTTCAAATTCCACATTCCCTTATCAGCACTCATTCTCCATAGGTGACCTCAATCCTTTCTGAAGAAATAGAAGCTACTGGATGCTAATTCCCTACTGATCCTACAAATCCACCTGCATCAGAAACAATTTCCTCCTCCTCTCTTATTATTATGGAGAGAGGATTTCTTCCCTATTAAAAGTCAATTCTCAGATGCTCTGGTTCTGCCTCCTACATTCTTAAAGATTGTATTTCTTGGTTATCCCCTGTCTCTACTGTGTCATTAATTTCTTCCACTGTACTGAATCATTTGCATCATAGAAACATGTTCTAGCATCTCCTGACTTATGAAACATCAAGAACATAGTAACCTTCCCTCAACCCTGTGCAATTCACCCAGTGTTTCCTTTTCTTTTCTTTTCTTTTTTTTTTTTTTAGTGGGTAGGGGAGGGAGTTGTTTGTCTTGGTCTCATACCTCATATTTACAACTCAATTCATTCCCATCTGGCTGCTTCCACACTCTACTGAAACTGCTTTTCTAAAGGTCACTGATGACTTTCCAGTGGCCAAATCAGTCCTCCTCTTGACTTCTCAGCAGAATTTGACACTGTTGTTTGTATTTCCTTCTTGAAACATGAAACTCTTTGTGGATGCTGTGACTTCTTGGGTCCTGTGTTTGTTTTCTTTTTCTACCCCATGATCCACTTCTAGTTTTCTTTGCTGGGTTCTCCTCCTCCAAATGCTGGACTTCCTTGAGGCTAGATCATGAGACCTCCTTTTCCTTCTCTACATTCTCTTTCCAGGTATTCTCATTCCCGTGACTTTAAAATGCCATGTAGGTACTGACAATTGTCAGATTTGTCTCTCCAGCCCAGCCCTATCATCTGAACTCCAGACTTCCATATCCAAATATCTACTTCATATCTCTTCTGGAATGTCCCACTGACATCTTGAGTTAATACATCCAAAAGAGAACTCTTCACTCCCACCTCTTCACTCAAAACCTCTCTTGCCTTGCCTGCTCTGTCTCAATAAATGTCACTGCCACTCATCCAATTACCTAAATTAGAACTCTAGAAATTGTTCTTGATTCTTTCCTTTCTCTAACTCCTACCTTTCTAATCCAACAGCAAATTCTGTCAATTATACCTCCAAAATAGATTCTGCATTCATTTCCCATTTTCTACTGCCTTCCCCAATCCACGCTGCCATCTCTTTCCAACAGAATGATTGAAATACTCTTCTAACTAGGCTTCCTGTTTCAACTTTACCCCTTGTATTCCCCAAACAGCAATACAAATGACCATCCTAAAATATCTGTTAGATCATGCCACCTACTTGTATAAAATCCTTTAATGCAGTGTGAGTAAACCCAGCTCTTTCCCCTGCCTAATACAATACTATGCCATCTGTCCTTACTTTCACCCCTTTAGGAATGGGTTCCCAATTCTGTTTGTTCCAGTGAATCTGACTTTATTTAAACACTCTATAGATTCTTCCTCCTCTGGGTGTGGCCTACTGCTCCAGATGATCAGCCTGAAATGATCTTCCATGGTTTCTTTCCAATGAGAGCTTCTCACAGAGGCCTTCTCTAACTGTAGTATCTAAAGAACATACTCTCTTTCCATTATCTACCTAAGTCTTTTATTTCTTTGTTTCATTAGCATAATGCAGAAGGGTTTTTTTGGTTGTTTGTTTTCTATAATCTTTACTAGAATTTACATTTTATGAGGACAGGGTCATGTCTTCTGTGTTTTCATCATGTCCCTCTGGGATAGTGCCTAACTTTCAGGAGTGTAATTGTAGAATGTATGGATGAATAAATAATGAATGTTAAATAAAGATATTTATTATAACACCCAGCCTATTCAATAGACTTAATGGATCTCAGTTTACCTTCTCCTCAGTTCATGTGCACCTCCTCCTTTCTGGGATATAACAGGGTAACCCATTATGAAACTAAACAGTTTAAACAAACTATTTCTGTGCAAGATGAGTGACCAGTTAAGGTTCTTATTTTTTAGGATTGGTCTTGCCTTCTTCAAATCCGACAGTCACTGTAGAGTAGGCAACAGGGTTTAATAAAGAAACAAGGGCTATGAAGAGAAGAGCCCAGGAATGAATCCCTGCAATCCTACTCTTGAGCTGCGCAACCTTGGGCAAGACATAGCCCTCTCTGATCCTCCATTTTTTTTTTTTTTCATTTGTAAAACGCGGAGAGTGATATCTCTTTTGTCTACTTCAAAGGGTTATAGTGGCAACTAGGTGGGATAATGTAAGTAAAAGACCTTGTCAATTGTAAAGTGTTGAATTAATGATTTCCAAGAGTTTCACCAAACTCTTCTTGTCAGGAAGTCAACCATGACTTTCACATCCCTCCAAGGAATGATTTAAAGGTGACTTTCTATAGTGCTTGACCTCTACTAGGCTGGGACTAGTTTAAGTCCTGTGATCTCTTCCCACCCCACCTCCAGGTCCTACTTGTACCTTTCCCATAGAGAACATGTCAGCTGTTCTTTCTCCATAAGGCACAGTTCTGTCTGGTGGGACAGATAGCATGTGGGGCTCACCAGCCATTGCTGCAGAACCAATGGATGATATTTCCTGTTTGGGTCGGTCAAGGCTGATGGTCTGGGGCAGCCAGCCACACCTGCTGTTCAGTACGCCCCTGCCACCCACAGGCCCTGCTAGAGGGGAACTGGAGCTGTGAAAACATAGCTCCCACTTCCACCAGCCTTGCCCTTTGTGGTAGCTGAACAGACACTTCAGCTGGCTTGGCTACTACCAATCTTAGCTTCCACGAGAAGCGAGTATTTTGGCTCTTACAGAGCTCACTGCTCAGGAGTGAGCTGGGTCACGATGCTATACAAAGCAGTTTCCCCAGCTCCCCAGTTTGGGAGTGTTTGGCCCCAGGGTGTATTCTGGTGATCTCACCTGTAGGTTTTCAGACAGCTTCACGGCCATGGGTGTCCCCCAGCCTTCCCCGGGGTTCAGGACTTGGCTCATGTCATCTTTCTGCTTTTAGTCCCACCCTGTCCTTCTCTCTCCTCTCTTGTCTTTCTCTGTTTTAACCTTCTGACACCCAGAAGGTGGGGATTGTTAATGGGTCCTCTTATTCACAAGTCTCCACATTCTGTCTTATAGATTACTGCAGTGGCTGCTCAGTGCAGGTGTTGAGTGCCAGGAAGGTTGTGTCTCTCAGGTGGGGCAAGAGCTCTTTGCTGCCCACACTGTGATGCAGTCATGCCCCTATGTTCTCTCAGCTGAAGGCTCTTCTGCATTGTCCAAGAGACCAATTTTATATTCCTTATCCCGGCACTCAAGGTCCTTCCTAATGTGGCTCTAAGTGTTCTCTCTAGGCTTTCTTCCTCCCATGCCCCAAGTTCCTGCTGGGGCCTCTCTGCTCTACTCTGTTCACTAGATACATCTTCTTTCCCTGCTTCAGTCCTCCCACATTCCAAGGCTTACTCAAATGTTTCTTCATTGATTTGACCCATGCTGCTCTCTCATCGCTCTCAAGGCCAAGTGTCTCTCATCTACGCAGCACAGAGTGGCATCTTCTTTGCTGTTTTGCTTCATTATCCTTGTGTCCCTTGTGTATTATGTTTTTTTCTTTCCTATTAGGTTTTAGGCTCCTTAAGGTTGGGATGGTATCTTTCCTTAGTGGTCAGGAGCATATTTTGAGACCAAGACAAATTTGAGTGCAAATTGTATTTCTTCCTCTTATCAGTTATGTCACCTTTAGCAGGTTACTTAACTTCTCTGGGCCTCTGTTTTTTTATACAATGGAGATGATAATAGACCTTACCTTTTAAGGTAAAAAAATGAGAAAGGAAGAGATAATGTATGTAATGTATTTAGCACAATACCTGGCATATAATAAGTGTTCAATAAATGATAGTAATAGTTATTTTTTTTAAAGTCTTCTTTATCCCAAAGCACCCATCCCAGAGCAAGTAGTTGATGCTTATCCAACAATCGTGGATTATGTAGCAATCTATATAGATTAATTCATACCAAGGGTTAAGAAGGAAGGAGCAGAACCATGAACAGGCTTGCCTAGGGTGCCATACAGTGTAGCTGATGTCAGTGCACAGGTCTAAGAATGCTGATGAGCTGTGGAATAGGTCAGTTATCCCTGGTTTGGCCTGGAGGAGGGTGTGGCATCTACTTCAGGCCTCTGCTGTCCTAGTTCCTGGTACTAGGAGGACTATATTGCAACTGTATCTCTGCATCCATTAATTGTAGCCATTTTACACCTACACAAGATGATCCCCTAAGATACCAAATTATGCTATCTCCTTGTCTTAAAAACGATCACAGGGCCAGGCGCAGTGGCTCACGCCTGTAATCCCAACACTTTGGGAGGCTGAGGCAGGAGGATTACCTGAGGTCAGGAGTTTGAGACCAGCCTGGCCAACATGGTGAAACCCCGTCTCTACTAAAAATACAAAAAATTAGCCAGGCATGGTGACAGGTGCCTGTAATCCCACCTACTTGGGAGGCTGAGGCAGAAGAATCACTTGAACCCAGGAGGCAGAGGTTGCAGTGAGCCGAGATTATGCCATTGCACTCCAGCCTGGGCAATGAGAGTGAAACTCTATCTCAAAACAAACAAAAATGACCACAGCATGAGGCCTCGGGATGATGGAGAGCTGACCCTTTTCTTACCTCGGTGTGCACCGTCTGTCTCTGTGGGTGTCCTCAAAGCTCCCAGGACCGTGCCATGCTAGTAGCAGCTTCAGTCCCTCTGGGCCCAGCTGTAGAGGTGCCCTCAGGTCAGAGTACTGCAGATGGAACTCAGAAAACTTTGCAAAAGCAGGGGGGAAGAGGGGGCGGGCAGCTTCTGGGAGAGAGGGAGTCGGAGCCTGACAAATGGAGATACCTTGTGTGAGATCAGCAAAAGAGGAGACACAGACACTTGACCTGGTTTGGAATTATTGCAAATCTATCAGGCTCTGTGCAAATTGAGACCATAATTCAGATTGTTCATATCATCACCAGCATCCCCATTTCCATTAAGCCCTGCTGTTCATCTCTCCTGGGCCTGGCTCTGTCCAGCAGCTAATTGAAGGGGTCAAGCTAGCACTAAATCAACAATCCAGTCCAGATAGGTCAGCCCCCACCCCAGTCCTTCCAACTCAGAGGCTGTGGTTAACCTTGAACGGAATCTTATCTCCTCCTCAGCCTCAGGAGAAGCTTCAGTGGAAAGATGCTTGTTAACAGGGCATGGTGGAAAGGGTACTGGACTGGAGGCCGGAAGAAGTGGGTTTGAACCCCAACTCTGCATCTCACTAGCTCTGTGACCTTGGGCAAGTTATAGAAACTGCTGAAACCTTGGGTTTCTCGTCTGTAAAATGAGAAAGATAAAGGGCATACCTGCTCTATCTACCTCAAAGGGTGGTATTAGGCAAATGCTGAAACATAGGCCGAGATGCTTTGAGGTTTATAGAACACCATGCAAATGTGGGTGCTTGTGGGTGCTTCCCTACATGGCCTCCAGGGGTTGTGCCCAGTGAATACCTAGCATCTGTCCAGCTTCTGTTCAGGCTGGCCTTGTCTCAGGTTTGAGGCTCTGTCTCCCTGTGGATCATGTCCCCTCAAGTAGGAGACTCAGAGAAAGAGCATCAGGTACCAATAGGGCTGGCAGCAAATCTGCCAGGCTGAGCGCTGGGCCCTCTCCCCCGGCCCTACTCAGATGGAAAGGGAAGCGGAAAAGGACTTTTATTGAGCACCTACTTGACAGGCTCCTCACTGGCCATTCTTCCTGCGCTCATACACTCTCCTTACCAAATACTTTGAGGTAGCTATCATCATCTCCAGCTTTCAGAGGAAGAAAGTCAGTCATAAAGAAATTAACTCACTTGCCCGCGGTCGCCTAGCCAGTGAGTGGTGGGTCTGAATTAGATTCATTCTGTCTGCCTCAAAGCCTACCTCTTCCAACCTCACCTGCTGACTCTCAACAGACCTTTCTGTACTTTGTCCTGGGGCAGTCAGGGCCAGGGACCAAGTAGTCACCCTCAGGGAGCAGGACTCCTTGCCACAGAGGTAGGGGAATGCTAAGCACAGGTGAGGATTTCCGCCTGCTTTGGAGACTGAGGGCAGCAAGGCATCCTGGGGATTGCCCTGTACCTGTAAGCTCAGGTCTTGGTCCTGCCTGGGGTCAGCCCCCCATGCCTACCCTCTCCCACCTCAGCCCCCTATCTGTGGGTGCACCCATCTTGTTCCCCCTGCACACAGCCTAACTGGGCTCTGACCCATCAAGGAGCTAGGTGCAGGGCACTGTGCTCTAGCCCTTGTCCTCTAGCCCCGGGCCACAGGGTGTGTCCCCATCACTCACCGGGGAGCCAGTGCCAGCCTCATGGCCTCCGAGCAACACAAACCACCCACTGTGGCTGGGGCTCCTTTCCCAGTCCAGGATAATCATTTCAATGGAATGTTTTAAAGAGTCCTTTTCTAAATTAAACTAATAAATGGGATAGTAGCCGAGAGGCAAGAAGGGTCTCTGCTTAACATTGAAATAGAAATTAACCAGAAGGGGGAAAAATAATGTCCCCAGAGGTTATCAGGAGGCGATTTGAATCCTGTTCCCCTGTGGATGGAGTCATCTGAAGTCTAGCTGGGTCTGCCTGCTGTGAGGACCTCAGATGCTAAGGGGAAAATGAAGTCAGCTGCCACAGATGCCCCAACTCCCAGCTATGAGAAAAACTCTGGAAGGTGGACTTCATTTTCCATGTTTTATTCAAGATTTTTTTTTCAGATATGTCTCGTGCTCAGACTCTGAGATACCACAAAAGCATCCAAACCCAGCCTGTGACATTCACCCTCGTTCCTACCACCTCCCTTGCTGAGGAAGGTCCTTTGACTCTTCTTCCAGAGGAAAAGAATAAAAAATCAGAACCCAAATGGCTATGGAAAGGGCCCTCTCTACCCTTTCAGCTGGGACGGGTCATGGCCTTGTTCAGTGCCCACTGTGGGGGCTCTGGTTCCAGGACTGACTCAGGGCTACTTCAGCTTCTATCTGGCCATCTGACCGGGGTGGCATTCGAGGGGAAGTGACATAGCCTCCTGCCACTAGCCGGGAAGGGCCATCAGGTGAACAGCTGCCTCTGGTTGTCTGAGACACCTCATTAAGGTGACATTGGTAGCCACCTGCAGAGGCACAATTTGAGGTGTAGCTTACCCTGGTCTCACCTCTGCCCATCCAGGCTGCTGGCTGCTTCCTCTGCTCCTGGGGAGTTGGCCCCAGCCCACCAGGACCTCCTCTCAGCTTAATGTTCTCCTCCAGTTCCCCTTCCATGTGCTGACTGAGTATGGACCTCACCCGCAGCATACAAAGGTTTGCTGGTTGGTAGGCCAGACTATCAGGGCCCCTCACCCTTCTGGCTGCTCAGGTGTGACCCCTGCTGGTGGGAGTTGAGCTGGCCTGGGGGAACTTTTCTGGGACTGGTCGCTGTAGCTTTGAGTCTGTTTCTGGCAGGAGCAGGCTCTGCTGTGTTTGTGTACATTTGTTCAATCAGTGGACACCCGGGATTCCTGAGAAAGCTCCAAAGGCAGCTGTAGCCACAGTAGAGAGATAGCCATCCTGCCCTCTGCTAGGCTGGCCTCACGGGAATCATGTCACATAGGCCCCTCCAGGCCACAATCAGGGCTCCTTTAAGAAAGGCAGACTCTATACATCAAACCACAGCACCCTGTGCTCATCGAATCATGTGATAGGTAGAGAGGAATGCCCAGTCCTAGCCTTCCTATGGGACATTCCTTCTGATTGACACCAAGGCGTAATGACTGGTAGAAATTCAGTGCATTCATTATCTCCATGGGTACGTTTTTTAATGGAGAAGGGCCTGAAGCCAGCAATGATTTGACCTAATTCCAGAGCAAAGAGTTGGTTCCAGTGTCAAGCCTGCAATGGAGTGATGATTCTAGGATAGGGTTGGGCCAGAGCCTTTCTAAGAACACCAGTGGTAGCAGACGACACTACTTACGGAGTGCTTACTGCGTGCCAGGCATGCTCGTTTAAAATGATCTGCTAGTAAGCATCTTGCCGTCGTCCTGCATTTGAATTCTGATCTGTCACCTGGTAGCTGCGGTCTTTGGGCAAGCCTCTTACCCTCTCTGAATCTTAAGTCCTTCTGGAGGTAAAAAGACGTACTTCACAGAGGAATTGAGATGATTACATTTATATGATCCTTGTATGTGCTAATCACAAAGGCACAAGCCTCCTTGTCCAGTGATTAGCACATATTCAACATTCAATAAATGGTAGTAGCTCTTTCATTTCATCCATTTCCTTTTTCTTTTTTTTGTAAAATGAGCATGATTTTGTGAGGCTAAGTGAAAAAAATATAGGGTATTAGTGCTTTGCAAATTGGAAGGGGGATATGCGATGTGTTTATTATTGATGTGATTTCTCACCCTAGGCAGTAACACACTTCTCCCCTCACTGCAACCTCGGCCCCCAGCAGAGCAGCTCTCCTACCTTCTGAGTCTGGCCCCCATCTAGCAGATGAGAGGGAGAACACATCACGCTCAGGAGCCAGACAGGCCATGCAGCGGTACCATCCAATGTTGTTCCCTCCCAGAATCATCCCCAGATTCGCCTTTGACTCCTGTGATGGTATCTCATTGGATAAGCCAAACTGATTAGCCACGTCAGAAAGTTTTTTATTCCCAAAGTTCAGAGAGCACTCTCCACATTGCTTCTCTGTGCCTTTCTTTGTGAGAGGAAAGGAATTAGAGTGGATCGTATCAAGGTGAAGGTAAGTCCCATTCTCTCCCTGCTTCCCTGAGAGCCAGCCTGGACCTGCTCGGAGGAACACTATCTTCTTATAATTGCATTTCCTTTCTGTCCTCTAAAAGCTTTTGTGCACTACTCCTTCACCGATTCATAGTAATACACTATTTGGTCGGCCTTCTTTTCTCATTTCCTTTGCTTTATTTGGTGGCTGTTCTCGTTTTTTTGCAGACTCTACTCAAATACATTTGATATAAAGGAAAAAACTTAGGATTTAGCATCGGGAAACTCAGTTCTGACACTAGCAGGGTGATTTTGGTAAAATCACTTAACTCCTTTGTGCCTCTGTTTCCTTCATTTGGTAAAATGGGATTAATAATCAAATTACATAATAGACATTAAACTGCCTTGTAAACAATAAGTGCCATATAAAACTAGTTACAAGTCTCACAGCCTCTGAGTCCTCTTCCTTCTTGGCCTGGATCTTTTTCTTCCTAGCTACTCAATACAATGAAGACAGAGAAAAGCTAACATTTATTTAGAAACTGAATAACCAAAAAAAAAACAAAACCACTAAGTGCCAGGTGCATTTATATGTAGTATTCATTTAAGAAGTTTTCTCTTTGTTATGGAGATTTAAAAAACTTGCCTCAGTTTAATGTTATTGGTTCAACATTACACAATGATTAATCGGAGGATTTGAATTCCAATCTGTCTTGATTCAAGAAGCGAGGCTTTTCTGCTTGTGGTAGGAGGCTAAATAACGGCCCCTTGCAAATATGTCCATATTTTCATTTCCGGGACCTGTGAATGTTACCTCATATGGCAGAAGGGAATTTGCAGATGTGATTAAATTACAGATCTTGGGATGGGAACTTTATTCTGGATTATTGTGTGGGACAGATGTCACCACAAGTGTCCTTGTAAAAGAGAAGGTGCTATGAAGACAGTAGCAGAGAGAGATGGAGAAAGTGACCACGAGCCAAGAAATGCAAGAAATACAGCTGTGGTAGCTTGAAAAGCAAGGAAATGGATTCTCATCTAGAGTTTCCAGAAGGAACCAGCCTTGCTGACACCTTGCCTTTAGGCCAGTGAAACTGATTTCCAATTTCTCGCTTCCAGAATTAGAATAAATCTATGTTGTTTTAAGCCCCCAAGTTTGTGGTAATTTGTTATTGCAGCTGCAGGAAAAGAATACACCATTCTATCACGCTGTGCCCTTCACCATTTCATATCTCTTTGCCACCTAAAAGGTCCAAATTATAGCCTTTCCCAAGCTCTCCCATGTCCTAGGGTGACAGACTGTTCTTCCCAGTCAAAGCAATTGGCTGGCAAATACTTAACAGATACCTACTAGGAGACCAACCCTGTGTAAGACATTAGTTATCTGTGGTGCAACTCTAAAATGCAGTAGCTCAAAACAGTAAACATTTTATTACCTCCCACAGTTCTGTGGGTCAGGAAGCCAAGTGGTTCCGGTTCAGAGTCTCTCATGGGGCCTCAGTCAAGATGCTAGCTGGGGCTGCACTTATCTGGAGGCTTGCCTGCGGCTGGAGGATCTACTTTCAAGATGGAAAAAAAGGTTTAGGACTTAGCATTTTAAAATGTCTGACATTTCTTTCATTCTATAGTAAGTGATTCACGCAGTTGTTGGCAGACCTCAAGGGCTATTCATTGGCAGGAGGCTTCGGTTCCTCACCATATGGGCCTCTCCATTGGGCTGAGTGTCCTCATGACATGGCGGTTACCTTCTCCCAGAGTAAAAGATCACACAGAGAGAGGGGGGCGGGAAGATAGGAAGCACCATGTTTTTATGACCTACTCTCAGGAGTCATATATGCTGTCACTGCCGCCACATTCTAATTGTTAGAATCAAATCACTAAGTACAGCCCACATTCAAAAGGAGGAGAATTAGGCTCCACTTTTTAAAGAGACAAGGATTTGTGAACATATTTTAAAACCACCACCGGAGTTTATGGTAGAGATGACGGACCTGAATATTCCCACACTAGGAAACAACACAGGCCAGGCTCTAACAACAAGCAGAACTGAACTGTCTCTGGAGTGAGGATGCGGAAAGTGAAGGTGAGGACTCCAGTGGTCAGGGAAGTCCTCTGGGAGCCAGGTGTGGAAGAATGGGTAGGAAGTTAAGAAAAACAGACACCACCTCTAAAACACAATGAGAAGCAAATGGTGACAATGGGGAAGATGTAGTTGAAAAACAATGGGCCAGGCGTGGTGGCTCATGCCTGTAATCCCGGCACTTTGAGAGGCTGAGGCGGGTGGATCATGAGGTCAAGAAATCGAGATCATCCTGGCCAGCATGGTGAAACCCCCTCTCTACTAAAAATACAAAAATTAGCTGGGTGTGGTGGCACGCGCCTATAGTCCCACCTACTCAGGAGGCTGAGGCAGGTGACAGAACAAGACTCTGTCTCAAAGATAAAAAAAAAAGGAAAACAATGAACGTGGGTATCTGATAGACTTGGCTTGAACTTCATCTTTACTACTTCCTTGAACTCATGCTGATATTCATGTTTAAAGGTAACTGTTTAGGAAACTGCCTGTAGTGCATTCTATTGAATTGGTTGGGCCATTCTCAGTTAAATCTTCTCATCCTTATGAAAGAAGCTATTGGGAATTTAAGGTACAGAGATTGGTATAATTTCAGTCAAATTCTGTTTCTGAAGTGAGTAGTCTCGTACACAGTTTACCTGACAGCATGGTAGTGATGGTAACAGCTTTGGTGAAGTTTAATTCCTGTCTCTGTATCTACAAGTTACCCTTCCACCAAAGGGGCATCTCTCTGATTTTTCCATATCTAGTCAGCCCACCTTGAGTAACTTTATTTATTTATTTATTTATTTTATTTATTTTTTTTTTTTTGAGACGGAGTCTCGCTCTGTCACCCAGGCTGGAGTGCAGTGGTGCGATCTCCGCTCACTGCATGCTCCGCCTCCTGGGTTCACGCCATTCTCCTGCCTCAGCCTCCCGAGTAGCTGGGACTACAGGCGCCCGCCACTACGCCCGGCTAATTTTTTGTATTTTTAGTAGAGACGGGGTTTCACCGTTTTAGCCGGGATGGTCTCGATCTCCTGACCTCGTGATCCGCCCGCCTCGGCCTCCCAAAGTGCTGGGATTACAGGCGTGAGCCACCGCGCCCGGCCTATTTTTTTTAAGAAGACAATTTTGCATGGTTTTGAACACAGGGTCCAGATAGTAATCTGCACATTTTATCTTAATAGGCAGACCTTGTTATAAAGCACCTTCTCTAATCCCTCTAATCCTTAATTACCTTCAAGGCTATATTTAACATTTAACTCTACTGCAATCTCTCCATTGTTTCTGCACCAAACTCAGGAACACTGCTGCATGCTCATTTTCTTGACTTTGGACTACAATACCGTCTGAGTTTTCTGCTTTAGAGAAATGAATGAAAATTCAGACCTGGAGATGGTTGGAGCCAGGACATTCAGTGAAGTCTAATGGTTGTGTTCAGGGTGAGGTTTTGTGGAAAGCCCTTGCTGATGGGAATATAGGTTGCAGATTCACATCCCCTTACCCCATGCCTAACCCAGACCTTATGCAAGTTGGGGTCACCAGCCATTGGCAATGTTTCTATTTGGAGGACCACAGCAAGCTTTGTTGGATGACATTCTCTCTACCCGTGGTTTTGGAGTAAAGAAAGGTGAAAAGGCCCCTAGAATGTTTTCCTTTTCCATTCTCACCTCCAACTCCGGTAATCACCAGCACAGCAGGAATTTTTTTTTTTTTTTTTTTTGAGGCAGAGTTTTGCTCTTGTTGCCCAGGCTGGAGTGCAATGGCGTGATCTTGGCTCACCAAAACCTCCACCTCCTGGGTTCAAGCAGTTCTCCTGCCTCAGCCTCCAGAGTAGCTGGGATTACAGGCATGTGCCACCACGCCCGGCTAACTCACGCCTATAATCCCAGCACTTTGGGAGGCCGAGGTGGGTGGATCACCTGAGGTTGGGAGTTCGAGACCAGCCTGACCAACATGGAGAAACCCCATCTCTACTACAAATACAAAATTAGCGGGAACTTTATCTGGAGATTTTAAGCCCTGGAAGTTCCATCATGCCACTTTAAAGGGCTCTGGACATCTGTTGGTTAAACACTTGAGATATCTGGTTTGTGCTGACTCTCGTTGTCTCTGCTCTCCTTAGCTTAGATGCCTGGATGTAGTCATGTATTCTGCAATGCAGAGTGATGCATTCTGTGATGCAGTCCCAAGATTCTTCCTGGGTTTTGTGGCAGATGCTGTCAAAGTCCCACCCATATCCCCTGGAACTTACCTGTGTTCCAGCCAGACTTCCATGGTGAGCACCTAGGATACTTTGCCTGTCAGCTTTCTCTGATTACCAGAGCCCACTCTGTCCCTTACAGCTGGCTGGAAGTGCCAGTGAGTGAGCAGAAACAGACCCCAGTTTCCTTGATCCTCAAAGGAGACAGGCCTGATGCATGTGTTCTACACTGATCCTAGAGCTTCCCAGCAAGATTGAGCTCCAGTTGTTACAGCTGTAACCTGTATGCCACCTTACCCTATATTGGTTTTCCTTCCACTTCTCCCATCTCCCTTCCCCATTCCACTGCTGATGTTTCCTGGGATCGCCTCCCAAACAAACTACTTGCTAGAGGAACTCAAACCAAGACAGACTCCAATGACTGCATGCCAGCCAGCCACTGTGTGATGTACCCATGGCACTACCTGTGTCCTGGAGGGCCACACAGCATAATGATAAGATCACAGCTTCTGGAGCCCTCTGCCCAGGGTTAAAAGGCTCAGGGTGGCCATCTGGTAGTTGTGTGACCATGGACAATTTACTTAACACTCTTTGTGTCTTGTTTCCTCATTTGTAAGATAAAGTAATAGTCCCAGTCTCATAGCATTGTTGTGAATATTAATTGAAATATCCCATTAGCACTCATAATAATGTCTGGCATATAGTAAACCATGCATATAACAAGTATTACCATGATTATCTCCATCGATGGTACCACCCTTCCCACAGCTCTTCAATTCAGCAATGTCAAGGTTGTTCTTAACACCTCTCTCTCTCCTGCAAGCTGCATAACCAAGTCTAGTCAAGCCTGTTTTCTCAATATTTCTCACATTCACCTGATACTCTCTGATATAGTTTGGAAACGTGTCTTCACCTGAATCTCATGGTGAATTGTAATTTCTAGTATTGGAGGTGGGAGGTGATAGGATCATGGGAGTGGATTTCTCTTGAATGGTTTAGTAGCATCTTCATGATAGCGAATGACTTCTCATGAGATCTGGTTGTTTAGAAGTGTGGTACCTCCCCAACCCCAAGTTGCTCCTGCTTTTGCCATGTGATGTGCCTGCTCCCTCTTTGCCTTCCACCATACTTGGAAGCTTTCGGAGGCCTCTACAGAAGCAGATGCTGCTACACTTCCTGTACAGCTTGCAGAAACATGAGCCAATTAAACCTCTTTTCTTATGAATACCCAGTACCAGGTATTTATTTTTTTCTTTTTTCTTTCCTTCTTTCTTTCTTTCTTTTTTTTTTTTTTTTTTTTTTTGAGATGGAGTCTCACTCTGTTATCTAGGCTGGAGTGCAGCAGTGTGATCTCGGCTCACTGCAGCCTTGACCTCCTACCTCAGCCTTCTGAGTAGTTGGGACTACAGGTGGACGCCATAACATCAGGCTAATTTTTGTATTTTTAGTAGAGACAAGGTTTCGCCATGTTGGCCAGGCTGGTCTTGAACTCCTGACCTCAAGCGATCTGCCCACCTCAGCCTCCCAAAGTGCTGGAATTACAGGAGTGAGCCAACACGCCTAGCTTCAGGTATTTCTTTACAGCAATGCAAGAACGGCATAACATACTCTCCTTACCTTCTGCTGCTACCTGAGCTCTCTCCTGGATTGCAGTGACAGCCTCCTAGCTGATCTCTTTACCTCCACAGTGTCCTCTAATCAGTCATTCTCCACGCTGCAACCCGAGTGATCATTCTGAAAAGTAGATCTCCTCATGCCACTTTTCTTCCTAAACCCATTCAAAGACTTCCCGTTTCCCAGAGGAGAAATTCCAAGCACCTCCCCTTGACATAAAGGACCCCATTAGACCCTCCTTGACCTGACCCCTGCTGGTCCCTTCAGTCCTACCTCTACTTAGTCTACCTTGCACATACATCTAGTCACATTCAACTGCTTCCAGCTTCTCACACACACCAGGCCGTTTCACATGTTTGTGTCTTTGTTCCTCTTGGTTGTGCTGCCTGTAATACATTTTCCATCTTTATTCATTTGGACACAATTTATTTTCTGAACTCAGTTTAGATGTCTCCTCCTCCAAAAAGCCTTCCCTAGATGCCCAGGCTGGGTCTAGTGATCCTCCCCTCTGCACCTGTAACACTTTGTACCCTCTGAAATTGCCACTTACCACTCCATAAAAATATTAACTATTTGTCTCTCCAGGTAGATGGAAAACTCGTAAGACAGAATCTGAGTCTAATTTGTCTTTGTATCTCCAGAATCCAGCCCAGTATTTGGCATGTAATCTGTGTTCAATAGATATATTTTTGCAGTGAACTGATACGCACGGTGACATGGTTTGGATCTGTGTCCTCGCCAAATCTCATGTTGAAATATAATCCCCAGTGTTGGAAGTGGGGCCTGGTGGGAGGTGTTCGGATCATGGGGGCAGATCTCTCATGAATGGCTTAGTGCCATCCTCTTGGTGATGATTGGGTTCACACGAGATCTAGCTGATAAAAAGTGTGTGGCACCTCCCACTCTCTCTCTTGCTCCTGCTCTGGCCATGTGATATGCCTAATCCTGTTTCTCTTTCCACCATGAGTTAAAGCTCCCTGAGGCCTCCCCAGAAGCCAAGCAGGTGCCAATGTCAGGGTTGTACAGCCTGCAGAGCTGTGAGCCAATTAAATGTCTTTTGTTTACAAATTACTCAGTCTCAAGTATTTCTTTATAGCAGTGCAAGAATGGATGAACACACAAGGAGACAGAAAAGCTTGCAGAGAGGGCAGTATATAGACAGGGCTTAAAAGTGGCTGCTAAAATGGGACTGGACCGGTGCCTGTGAGCTCAAACACAAGTTCACATACTCTCCTCAAGCAGGCCTAGCATCCACCCCCCTCCCTAGGGTTCCAGTTTGGTTCTAAGTAGTTTTTGGCTCACAGCATCTTTTGTTGTTCTCTGCACTGCAGAGATATTTGCTGTCACTTTGTTGTCAGACCCAGGAAACGTTGTCTGGCTCCCAGAGGTCAGTGACTCATGGACTCACGGTAGACACACAGATTGTTTGTGAGCTAGGGCTTGCTGGAGAGTATCTGGATAAACAAGAGAAACCCAAATCAGGCTGTCTCTCTGCCTGCTGAGAGCACTGTTTATTGTTCCAGCCTCAGTGTTTGGAAATGTAAACCTCTGGCTGACTTTTCACTCCTCTGGCTTCACCACAGAGTTCAGAAATCCACTGTGGCCACAAAGGCTGTTTTGGAAGAGCTTTCTCTCTTTAGCTGTCTCTGCAGTTTTAGGATGCTGGAAGCCATTTGCTTTTCTGATTTAAGAACATTTTTCCTGGAGTGAGGGAGGGAAAGTCCAGGGTCTGATTGGTGAGGCTGCAGGGGTGGAACTGGGTCACCTGGACCTGGGATGCCTGCAACTTGTGGGCTGGCTGGTTAAACCATGAGAGGGGACAGGCCCCCCTCTCTCAGGTATGGTCCTGGCCTTTAGTCCTGGTCTTTCCCACAACTAGGGCCCTTACCTGATTGTTGGTGCCAGCTCAGACCCTGGGAGTCTGGTATTATGGTTTCTCATTTCCAGAAATGTTTCTTTGGGGTCATTGGTGTCAGGTATGGGGAGATAAAGTATGGCTCCTTTTCTTAGGAATTCATAGTCTAGTTGGAAAGAGAGAGAAAATAATGAGTAGTGGTCAATGCCCTAACAAGGCTAGGAGAAGATTCCTCGAGAGCACAAAGGGGACAGAGTAACTTAGCTTGTCTGGGGAGGTGGGTGACTTGGACCAAATCCTAAAGTAGGAGCAGGAATTCCCCAGGAGGGCAAACCCTCTATGGTGCCAACCATCCAGCTTACATTGGCACTCACTAAACAGCAGCTATCCACCCCCAGTAATACTCAGCAACGCTTACGAGGTGAGAATTTCCCTATTATTCCTTCACCTGCAACTCAAAGCATTCATAGTCCACCAAAATTACTTTCTCTTTCTTCACTATTTTAACTGCAGACAAGATGCAGTCTGGATCAGAGTTTAAGTTGGTCCTCAGCTTTTAACACATCAGATCCATCATTAGTAAGGACTAGAATTTTACCCAGAAGCTGCCAGGCCCAATAGTCTCTGATACAAAAGCTGCATTTTTTCTCCTGACTCCTGAAGGCTGGAACATCAGCAGGGCTGGAGATAGAAAACAGGAGCCCGACATTTTAAAAACCTTTGCAGCATGGTGGAGCTGCTCTTTAAATACCGAAATGCACATGCTTAAAGACTAGAAGCCGTGGCTGCATGCAGACTGTGTCAGAAGGAGCTGGAAAAGCCAACCCGGGCTGTAATTAACAGGATCTGTAATTGTGGCATAAATAAGAGCCCAGGCACTGACAACTATTGTTATTGAAATGTCATGTTTTGAATGCAAAAATACAGTTAAAATGTAGGGAAGCTGAGTGATATTAATGTATGCAAATACGCTTTAATTAAAGCTCAGCAACCACTGGCTTAAAGAACTTGATTTAAATACTTAAGCAAATATTATAATGGCTCCTATGACAGGTGACATAAATGGTAAATGACACTGCAAACACTACCAGGAAATATCTACTCCCAGACCTCTTTACGTGTATGATGTTGGCTGAAGAAAAGCAGAAGTTCCCAGCGTGGGAATTCTCCAAACTGATCTCTGGGATATCTGGGGTTTGTGGGAACTTGGGCCCTGGGTATTAAGGCCTCTTGAGGGCAGGTCTAAGAGGGTATGAATGGAGCAATGACCACACTTGACTGAAATGACCTGTTGACCAGCTGCCTCCTCTATCAGACCTTTAACTATCTGAGGGTGGCACTTATGTTGATTATCCTCACTGATTCATAGTTCTTTTCCTAGCCCCTGGCTCTGTGCCCTGCACATGGTTATATAGTGCTCACTATATATTTGTCGAGATGAACTTTTCTGTATTTTTACCCCTGGAACAATATTTAGTGAGGAAATTTGACAACCGCTGATGGATCTCAAGGTCCATGCCCTCTCTGGCACCTTGACAATGCTGCTTCTTAAATGTACAGCCAGTCTCTATGTCTCTGTCTCTCCTCTGGCTGGAATCCCAGCAGTCTACCTTCTCGGCAAAGAGAACAAATCAGTGTTGCACCTTCCAGTGGAGGATGTGCGCTCATTAACGGATGTCTTAATTACATATAAATTGGTAAGGGCAGGTCTTGAGAGGTCTGGGTTCTTGCTGTGACATTCAGTATTGTGAAATTCAGAAATGCTTATGGGAAGTAGTACAGATTATTTTCTAGTAAGCAAGGATCATTTTAATGAGGGTAGAAGAAGTTCAAACAAATAAATGTTTAGAGTTGCCGGAAGATGTGGAAATAGAGACTCAATCTGTACAATTTACTAATTCATCATGCTAAAGATATTATAAATATGCAGTGAGTCTTGTAAGATAAAAGATATATAGTAATTTTGTGTCATATTCAGAGTGGGATAAGAGAAACCATGCCTTGGAGAAGATAATCTTTTGTGATCACACCTTTTCTTCAGTGATTTTTTCAAAGACAAAATAATGTAGAGCTACATGAATGGTCCTAACCTACTGTAGATGGATTTAGTAGCTGTTAGTGGTCATTGTTAATGGTCATTAGCAGAGAGTTGATATAATTTATTGAGTACTTACCATACACTAGGCATTTAGCTGACACCACTTCATTTTATCTCCATAACAACTCGGCATGGTAGATGTTATTATTCCCTTGTAATTAATTAAAAAACAAACTGTAGGTCAAAAGATTAGGTAACTTTTCAAGGTCTTACAGCTAGTACATAGTAAAGACAGGTTTAAAAAAAAAACAGCTCCACCTGATAATCTCTGTCTTCCAATTGGTTTGTTTAGACCACTTATAGTTAATTTAATTATTGATATGGTGGGATTGAGGTTTACCATTTTATTATTCATTTTTGTTTGTTCCTTCTATTTTCTGTTCCCTTATTACCTCTGTAATTACTTCTTTTGAATTATTTGATTAAGTATTCCATTTTAACTTATCTGCTGGCTTTTTGACTATTTCTCTTTGAATTATTTTTAATGATTACTCTAAGGATTACAATATATATACCTAACCTTGCACAGTCTATTTAGAGTTAATATGTTATGACTCCAAGTAAAATGGAGAAAACTTAGAAACACACTGCTCTCTTTATCCTCTCATCCTCTCACTTTATGTTAAAGTTGTTATATATATGTATCATCTACATACATTGAAAATCCCACCAATGTTATAATTTCTGCTTTCAACAAGCACATGTTTTAAAGGCATTAAGAGATGACAAATAATGTTTTATATTTATCCAGGTATTTACCATTTCTGTTGCTCTTCTTTCTTTCCTAAAGATACAAGTTTTTCTCTGTTTCTTTTTCCTCTAGAATTTCCTTTAATATTTCTTTTAGAGCACGTCTGATGGTTATGAATTTGCTCACTTTTTCATTTATCTGAGAATTTCTTTATTTCATCTTCATTTATAATGAATATTTTTGCTCACTATAGAGTTCTAGACTGAGAATTATTTTTCTTTTAATGCTTTCAGAGTATAGTCCCATTGCCTTCTGGCCTTTACAGTTTCTAATGAGAAAACCATGGTATTTCAAATCACTGTCTCCTTATATATAATGTGATGTGTTTCTCTAGCTACTTTCAGAATATTTTTAATCTTTGATTTTGAGTAGTTTGACTATCGTATGTCTGGCATATTCTTTAAATTTATCTTTTTTCAGACTTGCCGAGCTTTTGGAAACTGTAAATGTATGTTTTCCACCAAATTTGGGAAGATTTTACTCATAATTTCTTCAAGTATTCTTTCTCTTCTCCTCATGGGACAACAATGCCCTCTTCATATTATCCCACAAGTCCCTGAGGATGGTTCTGTTTGTTTTAATTTTTGTCTCTGTTTCTCAGAGACAATTTCTAATGCTATCTTCAAGTCCTATTGAGACTATCTAGTGAACGTTTTTAAATTTCAGATGTTTTACTTTTTAGTTTTAAATTTTCCACTTGGTTCTTTTTATGGTTTCTATATCTCTGCTGAAATATAGAAATTGACTGCTGAAAACATTTTTCATTCTTTTCAAGTTTTCTTCAAACCTCATACAAGATGGTTATAATATCTGCTTTAAAGTCTGTGTCTGATAATCTCTAGGTTAGCATTTTATGATTGTCTTTATCCCTTGAGATTTGTCACATTTTCCTGCTCCTTTGTATGCAAGTAATTTTGGATTACATCTTGGATTGTATAAATGCTATGTTGTGCATACTCTGTATTCTATTAAAATCCTCTAAAGAACCTTGATTTTTGTTGTTATTTTAGTCTGAACAAGTTGGGGTCAGATTGTAAGTTTTGTCTTACCTTCTGTGAGTAATGATACACGTCTCCATTCGGTTCTCAAAACCTTTGCTAGGCCGCTTTCTGTCTCATGCCTGCACAGCTCAGGGGTTCTTTGAACATGTGTCTGTTATAGATAGAATTAGACGATTTTATTCTCCAGGGTTTTCTTCTATGACATTTCTCTCACATTTTCCAGCCTCCAAGAGGACCTCCTTTTCCCAGTTTCTCTTACCAGAAAAATGGTGTTTCCATCAAAGTTTTGGCTGCAAGTGCCACCATGGGGTACCTCTCCATGTGTGCAGCTGTGCTCAGGTCAATGTGGTGAGAGAGAAAGCAGGGTAGGGAGCCTCAGGAAGTCACTCCCATATGGCTTGCTGCTCTAGGTGTTAACAAGCCTTCACAATCTGTTTGTTTTGTTTACTTTCAGAGTCTTAGGATAGTTGCTTTTTCTATTTTGTCTAGAGTTTTGAGTTGTAATTAGTGGGAGGGATTTACTGGGCTTACTCAACCTTGTAATGTCCTTACTGTAAATGTAGGGTTTGAACTCAAGACTGACCATAAGACTTCTGTTTTTGTTGTTTTTTGTTTTGCCATGCATCACACAACTTTTGCTTCTTATGCTCTTAAATACATGACCATCAAATTGGCCATAAAATTATCCATGAATCTGCCTCTGCCTTCCCCACAGCTGCACATGGTGTTTCTGATTCAGTGAAGAAGGTAAAGCCAGCAGAAGTGAGCAGTTAGTTTATCTTTATGGAAAAAAAAACCTTAATTACAGGATGATCTGCCCACTTAATCAACACTTGGCCTCTTCTATGGAGAGAAACTCTTTCCCCCTACTCACTCCAAGTTAAATAAAATTGTCCTGACAATCCTTGATTAGTTTTTGTGTCATGCCTATGGCCAGAGTCTGGGAGAACCTGAGGAAAAAAGAAAGAAAAAAGAGAAAGTAGAGAAACTGCAGAACAGAGTACAAACAAAACCTTCCTTTCAGATCTCGTTCTGTAAAAGGAGCACAAGAGATGCAAATGAGGTAAATTCCCCCAAGAGAAATGAATTTAATTATAGAACAATCCCTGTCACACCCCCTCCAAAATCTGAAAAATAATTAATACCAATATACTGAGACTCAAATGCACATGTGCGAAATATGGGGCTGTGGAAGACAGATGAGTGAGCACGAGAGAGGAGAGGGTCCTACATATTTATAGTCCGAGTTTCATGGCAAGGCTCCATTTTGTGTGTGAGTGTGTACTTGTGTGTGTGTGGGGGATTTTTTTTCCTCTCACAATTCCATACAGAATAGTTCTGAACTACACATATTTTACTGTTTCAATTAGCAAAGATTAGTATTTGTTTTTCTTTCTTTCTAAGCACTGAGGCAGTAATTATGCCCACGATGAGAGAGTTTTGTGGGGCACTTTCTCATTTGCAGGCATTCCCTGAACAAAATACAATAATAAGCCATAATGAAATAAAGTTGGTTCATTGGAGAGGACTGGCCTCTCCAAACAGACAGGCCATGAAAGGTAGATTGTGAAAGAGGATTAGCAAGCAACCGTCATAAATGTATCATCAGGCAAATTAGCAAAGCATTTACTACTCAATGGTGGGAGAAAGTCCTTTCCAATAACTTTCCCTAATGCCACCATAATTGGGGAAATATCTGCCTGCACAGCTGTGCGGCTCATTATCTGATCGGGTACTCAGCTCTGCTATACAGGACTAGGCACTTGCTGTAGAAAGGATTTCCGTGGGGCCCTGATTAGGTGTGAGCATCCCAGATAGCTGTGCACTCCTTACCCCCATGGCTCTCAGGGCGCTACGAAGTTTATAGTGGAAAGTGGAAAGGAGTGTGGTTAAGAGTTATCTCCTTTAGGGGTATGTTTACAGAGCTTTCAGAAGCCAGCTTATTTGTTTTTTGAGATCTGGAGAATATAGCTTATCTGTGAGGAGTAAGGTTTGCGGATACACTTTTTTGTTAATCTGCAAATAGTTAGACAATTATTATTACCTGTAGATAATAATCTACATTCCTCTTTACAGTCTATAAAGTACTTCCACAGGCATCCATTCATTTGATCTTTACAGCAATATTGGGGGTAGATGATGATTATTCTCATTTTACAGCCTGATAAGCTAAAGTTCCCACAGGAATAAGAAACTTATTTGAGATTAAACAGTGAGTTAAATGGCAGAGTCTGGGATTTTTAACTCTTGCTCTTTCCATAGCTGAAAACACACCTGTTAGCAGCATCCTATCCATTGCTCAGCTTGTCTGGCAGAGTGAAGATTTGTGCAGGTCATGTTGCCTCCACAGCCTGCAAGCTCCAGCCAGTTGATGACTGAACACTTCTCCCCTCCTGTACCACACCCAGCACCTACCCTGGTTCTTGTGTTTTCACTTAGAGGATCTGTCATGAATATGGATTGATTTAAGACTGGTATGTAGGATGGAAATCAGGGCCACCAATATTGAGTACAGTGCCTGTACATGGTAGGTTCTCTATATTTGAGGAATGAATGAATAAACTTATTAAAAAGCAGCCACGGCTGGGCGCGGTGGCTCAAGCCTGTAATCTCAGCACTTTGGGAGGCCAAGGCGGGCAGATCACAAGGTCAGGAGATTGAGACCATCCTGGCTAACATGGTGAAACCCCGTCTCTACTGAAAAATACAAAAAATTAGCCGGGTGTGGTGGCAGGCGCCTGTAGTCCCAGCTACTCGGGAGGCTGAGGCAGGAGAATGGCGTGAACCTGGGAGGCGGAGCTTGCAGTGAGCCGAGATCGCACCACTGCACTCCAGCCTGGGGGACAGAGCAAGACTCCGTCTCAAAAAAAAAAAAAAAAAAAAAAAGGAAAGAAAAAAAGCAGCCATATGGGGCAAGCATGAAGTAAGAAGTGTGGGGTGAGGTAGAAGGAAAAGTAAGAGTGAAGGTCAGCACAAGCAAGGGGGTCATACAACTTGAACACAAAGAGCTTTTGGGAGGAAGTTTCAGCATATGAAAATAGCTCAAGTTTCAGGCTCTCTACATGGTGTGACTGGGGAAATTGAACAATGATGGATTCTTCCAATTAAGAAAAAGATGTTGGGAGTAGCCCCTCCATACCTGGTGTGGCCACCTGTAACTCCTTCAGTTTTGGACCTAGATGTCTTAGAAGTGATCTCAGATCAATGTTCTCATGTCCACTTCTGGTCTCCAGTATCTTGATGTCCTGAGTGCTAATTTGTCTGCTGGTGCAGTGACAGATTTAAAAACAAAGACCCCAAGAAATAAGGGCCATGGAAACTCCACTAGAAGGCACTTGGATTCCGTTCATTCTTTCCCTGTTTATGAAGAAAGGAGTCAAAGGCTGTTCCCCCAGGTATTCTAGGATTTTTATTTACCCGAGTGAAACCTTAAGTCTCTGAGACATCCTGAACTTTGGTAATTTACTGGGAATAAGACCTTAAGAGGCCAAGAAATTTTCTACAGCTGCTGTGAACAGGTTTCATTTAAAAATACAAGAACTTCTTGGCCACATAGTATCAAAATAATGAACATTGCCTACAAATTGCTAGCTTAACCAGGTTTCCTGAATAACCTGGGGCCTCAGCCTAGGTGGGTCCACAACCCAGGACAATAGACCCAACCATGCCCCCTGCTCCTTGTTTCCACAGCTCTACAGCCCTCTCAGCTATTGTCTTATGCCTTCTTCTCAACCTCTGCCTACTGATTCCCAGTCACAGTCTTTTCTAGCGCTTTCCATTGTTCACTCTGGAGCCTTCATTCAGTCCTAATTCCCTATATTTTTGGGATCTTTTCTCTATCTTCTGGCCATAACTAAAATGTGGTTCCTCCCCTGAAGATGCTGCTATCTTTCCACTGCATGGATCCTGTGGTGGTTTGAATGTTTGTATTTTTCCAAAATTAATGTTGAAAATTAATTCTCAATGCAATAGTATTAAAAGGTGGCACCTTTAAGAAGTGACTGGGTCATGAGGTTTCCACTCTCGTGGATGGGATTAGTGCCCTTATAAAAGGGCTTGAGAGTCTGTTTGGCCCTTCCTTTCCTTCCACAATGTGAGGACAGAGCAAGAGGCACCATCTATAAAGTAGAGGGCAAGCACTCACTGGACCGAATTTGCTGGTGCCTTGATTTTAGACTTTCCAGAACTATAACAAATAAATTTCCATTATTTATAAATTTTCCAGTCTATGGTATTTTGTTACAGCATCCCAAGACTGAGACCCCAGAGGAGGTGTTGACACTCTCTTGGCTTCATCATTGCCATTTTTATTCCCTTATCTCAGGCAATAGCCTCAGTCCTTTGTGGCTGGGGTCATGGGACTAAATCACTTTTTATTCTTCCCAAGTGTTTTCGCCTACAGATTTTTACCATCACACAGCGTATTGACTATTTTCATATTTTCCATATTCTAAATGCTCTGGCATTTGGGGCATTGATCCTGGAGAGACTGCTAGGGATAGCAAATGACTCCCCTGAGAACACACCTTTGATATACAAACCAACCAATCTAGGGCCCACACTTCCAACCATCTCCTTTATCAAACTCTCACATACTAAGACAATATTCTCCCTGTTTGAAATCATCCCAGGGCCAGGTACTGAACAACTCGGGACCACCCCTATGG
This sequence comes from Homo sapiens, assembly GCF_000001405.40. NCBI lineage: Eukaryota > Metazoa > Chordata > Mammalia > Primates > Hominidae > Homo > Homo sapiens. Next base: position 112,573,479 of record NC_000011.10, read on the forward strand.
CCCAGAGACCCTCAGAATTATTCAAACCATCCAATCCTAAGTGTACTCGGCGTGTCGACGCTGCCTTGCCCATTCCTTCCCACAGAAACCCCAGGAGAGGCTCTGGTCATTCTCTTCCCTCTCCCTCTTCTGCCCCCTGACTGTCCCTGACCCTTCCCCATGTGGCCCTGCAAGGCGTGTTGTGTCTCCTCCTTTTAGGAATCTGCAGGTATAGATTTCCTTCTTCACAACAATCATTTCCACGTCTGCAGTCTTACCACACTGCATTAAAACAAATCCCGGTACATTTTTAAAACATACACACTCACCCATACTTCAGGTCTTTCCTAGTCCTCACTTCTACCTCATCTGCTGCCATCATCATGAGGAACTTTAAATCCTGTGAGAGAATGAATAGATGAATGAATGAATGTCTGACTTGGCTCTGACATGCACCAAACAAGCCGCTTCACCTGTCCTGTCTGAGACTGTTTTCTCATCTGTGGAACTGGAACAACACCACCCATGCTACAAAATGGAGACAAGGAATAGGTGAACAAATAGACAAATCACCCAGAACCTGGAGCTAGGCATAGGCGGGGTTGAGTATTTGTTCCCTTTCTTCGTTTCCCCTTCATTACTCAAGGACATTGGGTGGTGGGTGAGTCACTGGCAAGAATCTGAGAATTTTTATTGGCCTCAGTTTCCAACTGTCAGTCACTATATCCCCAAACCCCCACCTTTTTTTTTTTTGAGACAGAGTTTTGCTCTTGTCGCTCAGGCATGAGTGCAATGGCATGACCTTGGCTCACTGCAACCTCTGCCTCTCAGGTTCAAGCGATTCTCCTGCCTCAACCTCCAGAGTAGCTGGGATTACAGGCACCCGCCACCACACCCACCTTTTTTTTTGTATTTTCGTAGAGATGGGGTTTCACCGTGTTGGCCAGGATGGTCTCAAACTCCTGACCTCAGACAATTCGCGGGCCTCGGCCTCCCAAAGTGTTGAGATTACAAGCATGAGCCACCATGCCCAGCCTAATTTTTTGTATTTCTAGTAGAGATGGGGTTTCACCATGTTGGCCAGGCTGGTCTTTTTTTTTTTTTTTTTTTTCTGTTTAGCTTTTCCTTTTTTATTGTTAAAGTACATGTATGAATTTACAGTAAGTTTGCATTTGTTTTTTTTCTTTATTTTTTATTTTATTATTATTACACTTAAAGTTTTAGGGTACATGTGCACAATGTGCAGGTTAGTTACATATGTATACATGTGCCATGCTGGTGTGCTGCACCCATTAACTCATCATTTAGCATTAGGTATATCTCCTAATCCTATCCCTCCCCCTTCCCCCACCCCACAACAGTCCCCAGAGTGTGATGTTCCCCTTCCTGTGTCCATGTGTTCTCATTGTTCAATTCCCACCTATGAGTGAGAACATGCGGTGTTTGGTTTTTTGTTCTTGTGATAGTTTACTGAGAATGATGATTTCCAATTTCATCCATGTCCCTACAAAGGACATGAACTCATTATTTTTTATGGCTACATAGTATTCCATGGTGTATATGTGCCACATTTTCTTAATCCAGTCTATCATTGTTGGACATTTGGGTTGGTTCCAAGTCTTTGCTATTGTAAATAGTGCCACAATAAACATACGTGTGCACGTGTCTTTATAGCATCATGATTTATAGTCCTTTGGGTATATACCCAGTAATGGGATGGCTGGGTCAAATGGTATTTCTAGTTCTAGATCCCTGAGGAATTGCCACACTGACTTCCACAATGGTTGAACTAGTTTACAGTCCCACCAACAGTGTAAAAGTGTTCCCATTTCTCCACATCCTGTCCAGCACCTGTTGTTTCCTGACTTTTTAATGATTGCCATTCTAACTGGTGTGAGATGGTATCTCATTGTGGTTTTGATTTGCATTTCTCTGATGGCCAGTGATGGTGAGCATTTTTTCATGTGTTTTTTGGCTGCATAAATGTCTTCTTTTGAGAAGTGTCTGTTCATGTCCTTCGCCCACTTTTTGATGGGGTTGTTTGTTTTTTTCTTGTAAATTTGTTTGAGTTCATTGTAGATTCTGGATATTAGCCCTTTGTCAGATGAGTAGGTTGCAAAAATGTTCTCCCATTTTGTAGGTTGCCTGTTCACTCTGATGGTAGTTTCTTTTGCTGTGCAGAAGCTCTTTAGTTTAATTAGATCCCATTTGTTAATTTTGGCTTTTATTGCCATTGCTTTTGGTGTTTTAGACACGAAGTCCTTGGCCATGGGCCAGGCTGGTCTTGAACTCCTGCTTTAGGCGATCCACCCACCTTGGCCTCCCAAAGCACTAGGATTACAAGTGTGAGCCACCACAGTCGGCCAAAATCTTTTTTTTTTTTTTTTTTTTTGAGACAAAGTCTCAATCTGTTGTCCAGGCTGGAGTGCAGTGGCACTATCTGGGCTCACTGCAACCTCCGCCTCTCAGGTTCAAGCGATTCTCCTGCTTCAGCCTCCCGAGTAGCTGGGATTATAGGCATGAACTACCACGCCTGGCTAATTTTTGTATTTTTAGTAGAGACAGGGTTTCACCATGTTGGCCAGGTCTCGAACTCCTGACCTCAGGTGATCTGCCCGCCTCAGCCTCCCAAAGTGCTGGGATTACAGGCGTGAGCCACTGTGACTGGCTATTTCTCCTCTTATGGTAGACTATCGGGAAGAAAAGAGGTAGTGAAAACAGACATTGGTGAAAAGAGATACTGATTTGGGGGGCTCAGAAGTCCAACCCAGATCCTCAGAAATTGTTACAGGTTTCCATAGCCTCCCCTGCCCTCATCTGAAGGGTGTAGCAAGGAAGTCCTGCACATATCCTCAGGCTTGTGACTTCCTAGATGGACTCCAGGTCACCTGGGCCTAGGCCAGGAGGGCCCACCGCTGGTGGGAAGCGTTTCTCCACTGATCTCAGAAGATCAGGAAGGATGAAAATACAAACTCCCCAGCGCTCCCTTTCTTTGGAGCAGGATCATTTGTCAGCCAGAGTATAAAAGTTACAATGCAGGTCTCTGCTTTGATTGGGTGGGCCCACCACCCTCACAGGGACTTGGGGAGAGGAGGGTTGCCCCCCTGTCCTTCTTTGTGCTGTATGGTCCAGGTTCAGGTCCTTGATTGCTTAAGTATTTAACCTTTGCCCCATTTCTGGTTGGGGAGCCAGCCCTGAATACATGACTGGGTGTTACAGCTGTTGATATGCCAGTGGCTGCAGCCATTGCTGAGAATGGCTTTGAATCCAACAGCCGCCCATCAATCATCCAGTGGTACCATGTGCACAGTGTCACTCAGGTGGTTGTAAGGAATAGAGAAGAAAAGGAAGCATGGATATCACCCCTTCCTTCATCAGTTTCTAGTCTCAATGAGGAGATAGATTTAGTAGACCGAAGAGCAATATGTTGCATATGTAAAGGCATGGTACATGCTCTCCATGCAAATCATGGTACATACTCTTCACGCAAATCATGGTACATGGTCTCCACGCAGTTGTATCTGGAGTAGAGGAGGCATGTGAAGGAATTACAGAACAAAGATTCAGGCAGGGGCTGAGGAGGAGAGGGCCTTGAGGAGGAAAAGGACATTCCAGGGCTGAGCATGGTCTGGGGGAAGGGGCAACCATGCTCACTGAGAGTTTGCCACGAGTCAGGCATGGCACAAGTGCATTCACACTCTTCTGCCAACCTCGTAAAGGCCTTAAGAGATGAGGCTTCATTATTCTCATCCCTGCTTTCCAATGAGGAAGTAAAAGCACAGAGAAAACTACTTAAGGTCATGTGGCTAAGATGTAGCTGCAGGCAACTGGCTCCAGAATCCACACTCACAACCCTTCATATAATTACAGATCAGGGATCTCCATCTTGGCTGCATATTTAAATCACCAAAGATGCTTTTACAGAAAACCAAGGCCGGGTCCCAATTCTAGAGATTGATTTAGTTGGCGTAAGGTGAAGAGGAGGCATGGGTATTTTAATAAAGCACTCTGAATATTTCAAATGTGAAGCCAGGGTTGAGTATTACTGCTTGTGACATTATGTGAGCATTGGTTGTGAAGGTGAGTAGTGGGAGGCAAGTCAGGTAGGCTAGGTATGGGCAGGTGATAGAGACACATGAATGTCAGCAGAAAGAAGAGGAGGAGAAAAGGGAACTTATCCACATTAGGCATGCTTGCTGAGTGGCTGCTATAGGCCTGTCACCAGCCCTGGGTTATTCCATTTAATCACCCCAAGGTAAGTATTATTCTAATTTTACAAAGGAGGAGACTTAGTAGGAGATTACATAGCTTGTCCTTGTCTGATGGTAAGTAGCAAAACTAGGACTTAGATCCATGTCTGTTTAATAGTACCATAGGTACTATGTAACCTACTTGTATATAACCTATTACATTGGTTATAGAACCATAAGCTGTGTACCATATCACACATGATAATGAGTAATGAGAAACATTATAGGTTTTATTGCATTTGGTAGGTATTAAGATAGTCTATGTTATGCTGCAGTAATCAGCAACCCCTAATTATCAGGGCCTTAAATAATGAAGGTTAATTTTATATTTTATATCCACTGTGGGTTACCAGGGGTGTCTGCTCACCCTGGTAACTCAGGATCCAGGCTAATCTGAAATATTGGTGGTCACTGTGCCAGACAGAAAGAGCTCTGGGGGGTCTCACATCAGCAATGAAATGTTCAAGCCCAGAACTGATGTCTATCGTGTCTTCTTACAACTCACTGAACAAAACTAGTCACATATGTGCCTATCATAGGTCTCTAAAGGGATAACCAGAAATATTCAGAAATGGTCTTAGTGACTGTCACGGGTAGCCCAAAGACAGTGGTGTTTTAGAAAGTTGGCCTGGAAGTGGTTCACAACAGGGATAAGATGGGGAGATTGGACGCAGCAGACTGGTTATGTGGATTGATCACTGATATTTCAGGGCAAAGGGATCTTGCACTTGGTATCAATAGTGAGAGTGGAGCGAAAGGGATTTCTCTACCAGAGCTGACATAGGATTTGCTGATGTTGGATTTAGAGTGGCCCAAGAATCAAATATGACTCAGGCAGGACCAACTAGGGCAAAATAATGAAGAGGCCACATTTCAGGCCTTACTGTTTCTAACCCTCTTGTTTTAGATCCTCCTCACCTGTAATGCTTTCCTCTCAAGCATAACTCTAGAAAGTATCTGCGCTTTATAATGTGATGGCAGACTCTCTCATCTTCAAAATTTATTAGCTGAGAACTATTATTAAGACTTAAAGAGCGATTCTAAGGATGTTTGCCTTTTAATAACGTTGAAGTCTTTGAAAACTAAGTTAATAAATCTCCAGTAATAGGCCTTGAGGCCACAAGTGAAGAAACAGTTATTTAATGAGAACTAACTATAGCCAGTCCCCATCTGATGGACTGGGGCTGCGGCAATGAACAACTGACAAAGTCATTGCCCTCACAGAGCGAATATTCTATAGTAGAGAAGATAACAAACAAATAAGTGACAGCAAAAATGGTTAAATGCCATGGAGAAAAATAAAGCAAGATAAGGGAATGAGGAGGTGCTGGTGCACGTGTGTGTGTGTGTGTGTGTGTGTGAGAATGGGTGTGGGTGGGTGTGGGTGTGTGTAGGTGTGGGTCATCTTCCAATGATACTGCCATTGCCAACAACATGAAATTCCTTTTAGAGAATGCCTTTCAAAGCTCAGTCTTTCATGGATGAAGATGTAGAAATTTCCTGTTTTGTCTCTGGCGTTTCTGGAAGCAAATCACATAAATTACCTGATTGATCCAGGCTGAGAATTCCAAACCAGCCAGTGGAGCAGCTTGGGATACCCTAGGAGGGTGCCTGCTGGGCACTTGGCCAGGGGACATCCCAGACGACAGTGCAGCTTTCTGCTCAGCCCCACATCCTTTTCCTGTCTCCTCCCTGCCCTGACCCCCACTGGTGAAGAGACAGCAGGCTACCCAGTCTGATGGGACAACTGTCTAAACAGGTGCCTCACTCTGTCTCTCAGCAGCCTTGTCAGGCTGTCAGAGTGATTCACTCCCAGGGATAAAAGATAACAGCGGACTCGCCAGCATTCCAAATGGCCTAACATTTGCAGAAGCCCTGGCCTTGGGACCTGCCCACTGGTTGCCACTTCAACCTCAAATGAAAGCCAAATAAATAAGCCAAAGCACACATTTATTGGTCTCCCAGAGAAGGCCATTTCCCCATGGAGGAAATGCTCTTAGCACAGGCATTCGAATCCCTATATTTTATTTTTAAAAAACAGCATCGCCACCCCAGCTAGGTCATGCATCTTCCCTTAGAGCTGAACAAAGGTAGTGAGCGGCTTCCCTTCTCTGCCTGTGCTTATCATTCTCCTGGGCTGGTGGCAAGGTCCACTGCTCAAACAGTTAATATTTTTTCTGACACAGCAGTGACTGTGTTTGGAATTTCAGATGGAAGGGATGTCGGGTTCTACATTTCAGAGGGAAACTTGGGAGATCAGCCAGGTCATTCATCTGCCAGATTCTGTGCTTGCAATAACGGAGTAGCGGGGAGGGGAGGCGGTAGAGGGAAAGAGAAACTTTCCAAGACAAAATCCAACAGGAAGAAAGCTAAATGCATTATGGCCTATTGGCAAGAACAATAAACGAGGCTTAGGTGACCTGTGTTCTCCCCAGCTCTACTACTCACCGCGAACGAGTGAGTGACTTGAGGCAAGTCTGTGTTGTTCCTGTTTCTCCATTTCCTTATCTATTTAAACATGGTTTTATGTATAGGTTAGATGTGGGGGTCAAATGTTATAATAGATGTCAAATTTCTTCCACCAGATTAGGGGGGAAAGTGCTTTTCCGGTGTAAGGCATCATTATCAATACTTTTGTGGAATCTTACCATTCAAGAATTAGAGGCTCGATCGCCAAGGTTTAATTCCAAGGAAAATCTTTGGATTAGATGAGTAAATTCTTGGCAGAAAGAGATTATGATTTACATAGAATCATAGAATAATAGGAACCAAGAGATCTTAGAGGTCATTCTGTCCCATCTCCCATCCAAAGGCAAAATCCCTTCTATAAAACCCTCTGTGTTCCCACAGCAGCTTGTAACATTATACACAAAATCATTTGCTTTTGTGAGTGCTTTAGATCCACAGGCTATGTCTTTGCTTTTCCTTTTTAATACAAAGTTCCCTAGAACAAGAGGAGAGCACATAGTAGGTACTCAATAAATATTATGTTGAAGAAATGATGGTCTGAACATTCCTGGCAGATGCTGCTTCAAACCCTGCATTAAAAGTCCCAGCAATGGGGCACTCCCTGCTTGATGAAACAGCTTATTTCATTCTTGGTAGCTATGGTTATCAAAATATTCTTCCATACCAGAGCTGGAATAGAACTCCCCAAATTCTACCCTCCTTTGGTGCTGCCTTCTGGGTCTCTATGGAAGACTTTGCCTCCTTAGCCCCACAACATTTCTTGCTTCCTAAAGCACTCTTCATTTAGGTCTTTTCTCTGAATGAACTATAATTTGTTAATGCCTATCTTAACTCATGATGCCCAGAATAGTCCAAATATGATCTTGCTGGCACATGACTCAGAGGAACAATGAGTACTAGTTTATTATTACTATGTCATTGACCTTGAAGGGCACTTTGCATCTGTTGGAGCTCATTCCATTTCTTTAAACCCACAAAACAACCCTGTGAGATGAAGATCATTATCCCTGTTTTATTTATGAAGAAACTGAGGCTCAGTGAATTAATTCAACTTGCCTATGGACTCACTGACAGAAAGGGGCAGAGCTAGGGCTTGTTCTTAGCTCTATCAGGCAGTCTTCCATCCCATTCCTCTATTCATCAGTTACTTAGTAAATATCTACTGTGTGCCAGGCTCTGTACTTGGCTCTGGGGATGAAATGACCTTAATGTTGGTTCCCTCTAAAATACCAAGCTGCCCTCTGTGGCCCAAGAATATAATTCTTGTCTAGGGGAAAGCTGTGTTAACATAGCACTTTGCAAACATCATCATTCTAGCAATATCACATTATAATTGTGTGTGTATGTGTGTGTGCGCCATTTCCCCCCATTATGCTGGGCTTTGGTGTTCGTCTTGGTTCCCTCACCACCTTAGCATTAGAAAAGGTGTTCAGTATGGTGCCTGGCACATGGTAGGTGCTAAATAAATATTTGTTGAATGCATGAGATGCTTATTTGCTAAATCAAAAGTTATGTCTTCTGTGCCTAAAGGTAGAATTTCAGAAAGGAAAATCAGACACAAATGAGAGAAGAAGAGGATCCCTTTCCAGCTGGCCAGAAAATCAAATCATCCCTGGCCATTGCTTGGGTGACCAACGTGCCTGAAACCACATTGTGTCCACTGGGACTATGACTTTCTCTGACCTGGGACATAATTCCATGAATGCGGCCTCTGAGGTTTTCTCAGCTCTCTGGGCAATTGTAGCACCCTTCTGAATCATACTGAGCTTGTGGCCCCTCTGAAATCCCCAGATGTTTTCTACTTAAACTGTTGTCAAGGCAGAGGACTTTCATAATGTGCACTGCCTCAGGGCCTAAATTTGTGATTTCGTGACTGTCTTTGTTAAATTTAACCTACCACGTCTAGCCTATTACTCTGAGTGTGGATTTTGCACTTGCTGCTTTAGTTGACTCTCCTGGTATTGTGTCACCCACAAACGTGATTAGAGTGCTTTCTGATTCTTTTTTCATTCTAGTAATTGATAAAACCTCTGGACAGGGGAGGGCCAAGGACAGAGTCCTGAGGCACATTGCCAGAGCTAGGTCTTCAGGGTAATCTTCAATCAACATTTTCTAAATAGCACTCTAAATAACTAAGACTTGACCTAACCCTATTATTATATTGGTGATATTTTTAGCTTGACTACAAGAGTATTGTAGGAGTCATTGCCAAATTTCTTACTGAAATCTACAGACTTCCCAAAAGACAATAAATTAATTTGGTTTGGAGATTTTGAATGAAATAAGCCATGGAGAATGGGATCACCACTTTATAAGGAAATCATCTCCTTAATGATCCAGTCTGGACTTCTGTTGAAATTCAACACTGAGCTTTTGTTTCTGGAGTTTCTGTTTACCCTTTTTGTGGGAGTCCAGAATAACAGTCTCCTGTTTTAGTCACTGGCCTGTGTAACAACCCAGTAAAACTATAGACCTTACATACAAAAATATGCTTATATTTTCAAGAACCTCAGGCAAAAAACTCTTGGTTAAGTCTATCAAAGAGAATTATCTTCAAATTGGAAAGGATAAAACAAGCCACAGATTGGATTATTGCACAGAAATATTCACTCTCCTCCATCACCCCTTGGGTGATAGTGTATTCCCCTACTCCATAGACATCAGGCTTGGCTGTGTGCCCTGCCTTGGCCTCATGGCAGGTGGAGTAGACATTCCTGTCCTTTAATATGGGCTCCAATATGTGACTGCTTTGGCCAATGGATGATTAGTAGATAGGATAAAGCAGAGGCTCATATGATTGGGCTTGGCCTTTCCTCTTCTGCTGTGGTCATGAGAAAAACGTTCTTGGAGTAGCTGATGGGTCCGTAGAGGATGAGAAACACACAGAACATTGTCTCCAGCTGACCCGCAGACCTGTGGCCAATTTCAGCCTAGACCACCTGACCCCAGCTGAGCCCAGATATGTGAGAAAGAAATCTCACGTGCTGTGGGTGTTTTGTTATGCAGCATTATTGTAGTAATACAGGGCACACCATTTGTATCCATTAGACTGTCTGCCACAGTGCTGAGTGCTTAGCAGGTGCTGAATAAAAATCTTTTGCACTGAACCAAATTGAAAATGTGCCTGTTGTCTCTACGGCAGCTTCAGAGCAAGGCTTTTGCTGAAGGCCCCGACTTGTAACATAATCTTTCGAGCACAGGTCCACAGCTCTGAATCTCAGTTCTTCTGATGTGGTTAAATATTTACATACACCCATGCCCACACGCATCTATTAACCATCCATCAGGACATAGCCTACAGCTTCCTTTGCCTGGGAGGGCTGAGCTATTTTGAAACCAAACCGATTAAGAACAGCAAGGCCCTGAGGCTGAAAAAAGACCCAGCAACCACAGATCCTCAAAATGTACAGCTCTGGGACCAAACTGACACATGTGGGCAAGACATGGACTCGATTTGGACAAAGAAGTTCCTGTGTCTCATATGCAAATATATATCTGGCATGATTTTTCTGAGAGAAGGCATTTGAGTACTGTTGGTGATGACTGTGGCAGGAAGATAGAGATAGACTTAATGTCACCCCATGCATGAGGGCAACTGCCAGGTATATGGGGGCAGGGGGAGAGTACGTTTCTGTTCCGTAATAATTCTGCTAATACCTAATAATAATAACCAATAATACCTAGCAATACACTAACAATAATACCTAATACCTATCTAGCACTTATGTGCCAAGCCTTTTATGTGTATCATCTCATTAAATCCTTACAATAACCCTCTGAAATAGAAATGATTATTGCCATTATTTTACAATAATGGGGAAACAAGGACTCGGAGAAGTTAAGGGACTTGCCCAAGGTCACACAGCCAGTATGTGAAGAAGCTGGAGTTCAAAGCTAAGTCAGACCAAGTAGACAAAGGCAAATAATATACAATCCCTGCCCTCAGGGAACTCACATTTTAATTGGTAGATTAACTCATAAATTATAACTAAAGGGTATTTTTTAAACTTATAATTATTAGTCTGGGAGTGGGGCATAGGAAGAAATCGTGAAGTGGGGAAATAGGGAATCTTGGTAGCTGAAGCTTGTCTCCTGAGCTTTGATGGAAGAGAGTTTGCAAGTTTGAGGGAGGAGGTAGGGTGGGTTTGGATCATAAGTGGAGAATGGGATCAGGAGGAAGAAGATGGGGACAGGAGCCAGGAGGTGTTGCTGGGCTAGGCCAGGAGGAGAGGACCTAGTTCTGCTCCTTGTGGGAGCAGACCTGGAGGACATAAATGGGCCAGGTGAATTAGGTTGTGTGCTTCAGTGTGTGAGACACGCGAAAACCTCCATCTTCTTCCCTGTGAGATTTTTCTGTAAAGTCTACAAAAAAGTCGCAACATCTGAGTGTAGCTGATTACTTATGATAAAGTGAAGGAGCTGAGGTCAAGCCCAAGGGTGTGACAAGAGAATCGCACCCTGGAGTCAGAGTGGGGCTGCTCTGAACACGCATGGGTATCTTTGGGCTCCGTAGGAAACGATGCACCCCTGACCTGATTCAGCCAGCACAGGGTGTGGTCAGTTAAGGGCAGAACCTTTATGGGGAGAAAAAGGCTTCTTTCTTGCAGGTGAGTTTAGCCCCAGGGCAGGGAGCACAGCGTGGCAAGCAGTGGGAGGGCTCAACTTCTGGCCCCTCACCCCCTCTGCTGGCTGTCTTTGGACAGGTATAAACTGCAGTATGATCTTCAGGGGACCAGACATTTGTCTGACACAGAAGGACAGCAGACATCTGGGTTACAAGGTTGTGATGATGCTGAGAGGTGTGGAGTTGTGTAGAGGTGTGGAGTTGTGTAGAGGTGTGGCCAGGTGGCCTCCAGGCCTAGGAGAGGGAAATGCGTTCTGCCTGGCCAGGAGGGCTCTCAGGTTGAAAAGATCTTCTGTTTAAGCCGAAGCCTGGGGAAAGAGTAGAATCTCATCAGAGAGATGACAGAGACAAGGCCCTTTCTGCCCCTGGAAAGCAAACATAAGTATGAATTTAGAACACTCTAGGTGGCTGATAGCATCATGAACTGCAAACATTAGCTCTCTACAAAAATTCTCCATAAGAAAGGAAGACCTCCATGCTTGTCACGCATTGCAGCTTCAAAGCAAGTCTTCTACTTCTCCTTCTAGTTAAGCTATTGGTCTTAACTTCTCCTGCACAGAAGATGCCAGTGGACTCACTGATCATCCATAACTGGTGTGTGAGATGGGTAGGCAGGAGGAGAGGATTCCTGGAGATGAGGGTGGGAAGGAAGTTTGAGCAAAATGTAAAGGAGTTGTAAAGGGGTGCAGGTAAGGTTTCTATTACAAGGTTACTGGGGACAGTTAGTTATCATTAGCTCTCACACCAGTTGGTACATCTGTTGAGCTACCCTGTCTCCTAGCAAGGCACTCACAGAGCAGGACACAGGACAGGTGAGCTAGGATGTAAGGCTTGGAGAGGGGAATCCTCTTTAGGAGGACAAGGCTGGGTGGGGTGGCAGAGAGGAGTCCAGAAACACAATGGGCAACTAGTAGTCAGGGCATAGGGAGGGATGATAAACTTCATTCACCTATTCTCATTTTCAAATACTATGTGGTAAACAGCTACCATGTGCCAGGTATGATGCTAGGCCTTGGAGTATACAAATGAATACTTCTTTTTCTCCTCTATCTACTTCAGTTTATTTTCTAGGTCTGGCCATGATACATACTCACCACTTTGCCTATCTTGACTGTACCAGAATTCACGATTCCGTTTTCAGAATTCAGAACTGACATGCTAGCATCTCTCTTTTCTCTCTGGAACACAGGGGGTCTGGAGTAGGAGTGTTCCCTAAGGAAGCAGGGACAGTCAGTGAGTGAAGAGAAACAGGCTGGGCCGAATGGGAGTTGTGTCCAGTCAACTGGGAAGAACAATGGAATATGGTGATTGATAGCTTGCATTGGCTCTGAATTCTTAAGGAAAATGAAGCCTACAGCAGAGCTATAATAACATATATCATCTCTTCCCTGGGAAGGAGAAGCAGTTGTACCTTCCTACCTATTAATCACATCTTCCATTAATCAGGATAACTCACCATAATTGTGATTACAGTTGGGAATCAATTAATGTTCACCTTAAAATAAAGTGTAGAGAGGAGAGCAATTAACGTAATAGAGTTAGAGCATCAAAATGACACAAATGTTATTGACAATTATGAATCACATCTTGCAGTTTTCGGGTCCTCTGCTCTTTCATGGAGGGGTTTACAGTGGAGGAGGGGAAGCAGTATCAGATCTTCCAGGTGAAAAACGTGAGGTCTGGCTCTCCTCATTACTATCCACTAAAGCAACATGCCAGTGGCTTCCAAGCCATCTTCTGCCTCCCTTTACTGCCTCCAGTTCCATTGGCTGCTCCATGGACATCATGCTTCTCTAGGCTACCCCTGTCTACATGACTAACTGACTACTAGCCTGAATTCTTAAGGAAAATGCAGCCTGCAGCTGATTAACAAGCCTCCAGGACAAAAAGGAACAGGCCCAAAGAAGAGCCAAATTTCCCTGTTGTTAGAAAGCCCGATGTATCTCAGGCTTGGCCTAGCTTTTTTTTTTTTTTTTCCCAAAAGAAAAGTCTGTGGTCTTTCAGACATGGACCATTTGGGTGTTTGTTTGATGGGTGTCATCTGGAAGGGATTAATAATATGAAATAGATTTAACATAACCTAAACAGAAAAACAATTCATATTGAACTCTTTAAGGAAGCACTTCTTGCATCTGTTTATGCTCTTTTCTCCCTTGTAACAACCCTGAGAGGGAGGTAGGCTGAGGTTTTTATTTTCTTTCTTTTGACTTTTTCAGATGTAGAAAGCAAAGTCTGACTGAGTGAAGGACTTGCTAAGTTCACACAGTTACAGGCAGGCTGGAGCCCAGGTAGGCTGTCTTATCATTAGGCCTGCTGTACAAAAATTGTTTTAACACATCTTACCTGATGGGCGCTCAAGTCATATTCAACCTGAAACAATCTCCTTTTCTGGATGAAATGCTCCTTGGGAAGCACTCCAGATGATGGTAAAAGATCCTGAGTTCAGTCCACCCCAGGCCTTTAACACACGTCTGCCAAAACTTGAGGAAATCTTGCAAAGGAAAATTTAGACTTGAAGCATTCAAATTCACCTGGAAGAGATCTCAGGGGTAATCAGATCCACTGGTTCATTTTCCAGATGAGGAAACTGAAGCCTGGAGTGGTAGGGGAAGTAAGGAGTGACTGGGGTCCATTTCCAGCTTTGGACAGAAACCTCATAGCCTCACTGGGCAAAGGGGATGGGATTGGGTTGTAATCTAAGAGAAATTGAAGCTGCAATAACTGAAAAAGAAATATTTGCAGGCTTTACCCAAATGCTTTGTGTAGATTTGGTCTGTGTCCATATGTGGTTGTTGATTCAAATATTTTGAGTCCTGCCAAATTTCCCATTTATCTTAAAGATGAATTTATACATATTTGCTGATTCTTTAAGTAGCTAATCTTTCATCTTTTAAACTCTCTGAAAATTCCAGATTAGCGTCTGAAAGTGAACATCTATAGATATGTGTCTGTCGGGGGAACAGCCATTGCAGGTAAACAGAAGCTCTGACAGAGGTGAAGTTCCGGGGTCTGGGCCTAGCCCCTTTTTTCTTCCCTACCCAGAAAAGGGCATTTCATACCCATTGCCCAGGGGCCAAGCCCTGGGGGCTGCCTGGACAGGGTGGCACAGCCCTACATGAGAATGGCTGTAGAGGCTGAGATTTCTGTTTGCTAGCTGAGGGCTTCTTCCCTCCACCTCAGCCATGCCCAAGGACCAGTCTGGCTACTGCAGCAGCCGGCATGGACCTCTCAGAATACAGCAGTGAGGCTGTTATCCGTAGTCTTCACATCGAGCCTTTGTATGTCTCAGAATGTCAGTTTTGATTCAATTGCCAAATAAACTTCAGAACATTGATGACCCACAGGCACTGAGTTTTTTCTTTTTTCTCTTTTAATCTCTGTCAGAAAAGAGAAATTGCGTATGGGGATATTCCAGGGTGATTGATCTGTAATCCTACCTACAGGCCGCCCTGAGATCTGCTGCCCTAATTAAGCATAGCTTCTCTTAAGATCAATGCCCAACATCCTGCACATTAGTCATTAGAACTTCAAAGGCCTCCATATCCACTAGATGGCAGTAGTCAGTTAATCATGTAGACGGGTAGCCTAGAGAAGCGTGGTCCCCGTGGAGCAGCCAAGCTCTAGGATTTATAATCAAGTCCAGAACGTCTGAATATAAAGATACCCTCTCCCCTCCTCCATGCCCCAGGGATTACTCTTGCTCTTTTAATTATTCTTTAAAATAACAGCTGCTTTGGGCTAGGCCATTTATGATCCACACATGACTACGGCAGAAAAGACATAGAGACCTCACCCAAAAGCTACAGCTGGGGGAGTGGTGTTTGAACTGTCCCTTGCTGAGTCAAGATGAAGTGCATTCAGCTGCTAGCTCCTACTGCTAGGAAAAGATTTCTCCATTGTCCTTTTAAGCCACAGCTCTCCAGGCTTTGAGGCCTTCAAATCAGGGACCTCAGCCAGACCCTGAGCCCCAAACCACAATTTACCACACAACTGTGCTGAGCTCTAACCAAGCACTAATATTAATTTATGGAACCACAAAGCTATTATTACAAAGTTTGTATTCTATTTATTTTTTTTCTGAAAATAAAAAAAAAAAAACACCTATTGAAAAATATGTCTGAACTGGAACCCAGCCTACATATTTCCTAGAACGACTGAATTGGGACTTGAGAATGTTCTGTGAACCTGAGTTGAACTGAATGTATATTTCATAGGCCTGGTGCCCTGGTTGAGACCCAGTTCTTTAAAAGACCCTTTATTTTAGCTGCAGGTGCTTCCAAGTCTGTGCTGGCCCCCAGTTTTGGAGAGTCTCAGAACTGGGTTGCCTGGTATGTACCCCCAAGGCAGCCTTTCGTTTAGAGATACCCCCAGCTCCTTCTGTAAGCTCCTTATTAGGCTGTTTTCTCTCGTTGGTCTTGATCATTTCTGTAGCAGCCAGAGAGTCTGATGGTTGGATCTGAGATTTATGTAGGACACTTGGCTAAAATATAAACAGTGGTTTAGAGAAAGGGAATCTGCTTTGTGTCAACAGTAATGTGAGGCTGGGGGGCCTCCAGCAAGCTGAATTGGATGTTTATCCACTGAATAAAGTCACTACATCATCTGGCCCTGTCTGAGCAGAGGGGCCCTGGTGGGAGAGCAGCAGACTCCCTGCCAACTCTGTAATCTGTTTCTGAACTTGCGGGAGGCCTCTTGGGCTGCCTGTCTCTTCTTACCGCACCTCACCTGGGTGGGCAGATGGAAAGGGGACCACCGAATCAGATTTAGTAAGCATCAATTTCTACTTCTAGGTGAGTTGATCACTTTTTGAGGGGGCACTTCATTTTATCCATGTGACAGCCCTCTGAGGACTTTAGGTGGATCCAGGCTTTGTGGGGTTTGAAGCTTGTACAATTAGAGGGAGGTGGCTTTAAGAAAAAGAGAATAAAATTACAAACACAAAAGTGAATCTTGATTCAGAATGACACAAAATGAATCTCACACACACAAAATCACTAGAGCCCTAGAAAGTCAGGTCTCTTTTGAGATCTCTTCAAGCAGTTTATCAGAAATGCTTATATAGAAACACTTCCACACATGCACACACACACACACAAACACACCCTCCATCCCTGTCAGCCAGACTTCCCCTTCCCCCAGAACACTTCCACACAGAAACTCCCCACGATCCCAGGACCATGAGGTGAAGGGGGTGGGAGGCTTAAGCTTTGCCAGGCAAATCTGCTCTGCAAGTAGTGTGATGACCGCCATTTTGCTCTGGTGATGCTGACTGACACATTATAGACTTGTGCAGGACACAGCCCTGATAAGGTGTGAAGCTGAAATTTGAAATCAGAACTTCTGCCTCTAAACCCTAATGTGCTTCCCACGGCAGGCTGCAGTCTCCCTCTATGCTGCCACAGTGCTCTGGGACTCTGTTGGTCTAGCCTGAAATCCACTCTGGAGGGCCAGTTTTGGTCTGAGTGGCAAATCCTACAATCCTCTTCCTTATCCTGAGGCCAAGGAGAAGCCCTAAGGACAGGAGAGCGGTGGTCCTTTCTGGGGGAGATGAACCGTTCCTGCTGTCGCAACTCCTTTCCTTCGAATGCTCGCTCCATTCTTGGTTGTTGACTCCTGCACCTGAAAAGGGCTTCACATCTTCTGCAAGGGACTGGCTTTCTGAGGGATAGGCTCTGTGAGAGGGGCTCTCAGGAGAGGCTGTCTGAGGAAGTGACTCTGTTTGAGAGGAGCTCTTGGATGAAGGGACTCTCCGAGGAGGGGCTTTTTTCGGAGGGACTGTCTGAGGAAGGGGCTTTCTGAGGGAGGTGCTCCCTGAGAGGGGCTCTCTAAGAGAGGGGCTGTCTTTGGGAGTGGCTCTCTGAAGGAGGTTCTCCCTGAGGGAGGCTGTCTTTGGGAGGGGCTGTCTGAGGAAAGGGCTGTCTGAGGGGGCCTCTCTTTGAGGAGGACTGTCTGAGGGAGGGGCTGTCTGAGGGAGGTGCTCCCTGAGGGGGGCTCTCTAAGTGAGGAGCTGTCCTTGGGAGCAGCTCTCTGAAGGATGTTCTCGCTGAGGGAGGCTGTCTTTGAGAAGGACTCTCTGAAGGAGGGGCTCTCTTGGCCTGTCCTGTCCTGTCAGACCCACAGGGCTAAGCGTGTCTTTGTTATGACTTTGTATCCAGGCCTCCCTTTTGAAGGCCTTTCTCTACTCTCACTTCTGACTGCCCTTCCTCTGAACCCTGTCTTCTTACTCCCTCCTCCCTTTCCCAATAAAGTCTTTCCCTCTGAGCAAGGATCTATTGTTAGTCATTTGTGTCTTAGGGTGAATTTAAGTCATTTGGTTTCTTCCTCCAGGATGAGTTGTAATTCTCCATTAAGGAACAAAAGCCCTAACCCTTCAAAGGAATGGGAGGCAGGGGAGTAGATGAGGGTTGTGACCTGACTTGGGGATGGGGATGGAGGGATTTCCACAATTTTGAAATTATATCTCAGAGGCAGCTGTTATACTTTTTTTTTATTTGTAAGGAAAGAAAGACAGAAAATTTAAATGGATTGGCCATCTACCAAGGTCCTGTGCTAGATACTTTCAGAAATGTTACCTTATTTAATCCTCAGAGCAACTGTGAGGTAGGTATTACAATACTCTTTCAGTGGATGACCTGGCTGAGGTTAGAGACAGTTACAGGGTCACCTAAAACAGAAGGAATAATTTTTTGGTAAGCACCTGTCTTGTGCCTGGCACTCCATTATTTCTTCTCCCAAGTGTCTCATTTATTCTTAAAGCACTGTCAAGCATGTAGTATTAGCTCCTGTTTTTAAATGGGAAGGTTGAGAATCAGAGTAGTGAAGTGGCTTTTCCAAGGTTCCAGGAATGTGAGAAATTACCTTAATGCAATGTGGCCTCTGCATACTCTACTAGATAAGTTCTGTCAGAGGTGTCAGAATAGGAGGATTCACGGGCCAAATTAAAGTGCTTAAACTCACAGTTTACTAAATCTGTTGAAAACCCAAAGCAACAGCAAGGGGAGAGGGATAGGGTAGGTTAGCTCACTTCAGATGGGAGCTGCCAGGTGGAAGCACCATACTCCTTGGATCCTGGGGTATATAAGCTTGTGTATCTTCCCTCTCTCTGCTGCATCAGCCTTCCCTGCTGATGGTGTGGTTATGAGGATCACAATTGAGATTTGAGCAAGAAGGCCAAATACACACCAAAGATCTCTTGGGCCAAAGCATAATTTTGCTGTCTGACAGGAGGAATATGGGGGCTAAAACAAGTTTGCTTAGCTATAGCTACAGCTTGCCAATTAGCCTTCCGAACAGTCGAGAATGTATTTGCATTTCTTTCTTTCTTTTTTGAAACAGAGTCTCTCTCTGTCGCCCAGGCTGCAGTGCAATCTTGGCTCACTGCAAACTCTGCCTCCAGGGTTCAAGCAATTCTCCTGCCTCAGCCTCCCAAGTAGCTGGGATTACAGGTGCCCGTCACCATGACTGGCTAATTTTTTGTATTTTTAGTAGAGATGGGGTTTTGCCATGTTGGCCAGGCTGGTCTCAAACTCCTGACCTCAGGTGATCCAACAGCTCGGCCTCCCAAAATGTTGGGATTACAGGTGTGAGCCACAGCACCCGGCCTTATTTGCATTTCTTATACAGAGCACCTGGGGCCAAAATGAGACCCTGTGGGTGTCAATCAATGGGTACCTAATTTAGAGTTGATAAAGCTTTTAGCCCAGAGATGGCATGATTATGACTTGTTATCTCTATGACTTTCTATCTATAGTTAGTAGATAACACTCTGATTTGTTTTATTATATGTCCCATTTACAGTATATATCTTTAGGATGTCTTACAGGTTACTAACTCAGTAGCTATAATTAGCATATCTTATGAATTCTGCCTGTCTCACAAGCTGCTTACTCACTCATCATCTACACTTCACACATCCTATGGGTTTTGCCTATACCTCGTAAGCTGCTTGTTTGCCTTCTATCTATGCTAGCTTTAGTTATCCATTGCTATATAGTAAAATACTCCAACACTTAGCAGCTTAAAATAACAATTCACATTTTCCATCTATCATAGTGTCTGTGGGTCAGGAATTTGGGAGCAGCTTGGCTGGGTCGTTCTGGCTCTCATGAGGTTGCAGTCACAATGTCACCCAGGGCTGCTGTCATCTTAACTGGAACTGGGGGATTTGCTTCCAAGATGTCTTGGATGTGGCTGGCAAGTTGGAGCTGGTGATGGCGGTAGCACCACATGAACTGCTCTGCAGGGCTACTTGAGTATCCTCATGGCATGGCAGCTCTCTTCCCCAAGGGCAAGTAGTCTAAGGGAGAGCAGTGTCTTTATGATCTGGCCTCCAAAGTCTCACACCATCATTTCTGCAGTATCCTATTGGTTATGCAGAACATCCCTGCCCACCCTGGGAAAGGAATATACCGGGGTCAAGGAGCTAGGACCACTGGGGTCATCTTGGCGGCTGGCTTCCACAATGAATCCAAAATTACCTGATGCTTGTATGTCCTTTTAAGTTTCATCCACCCAGTTTGCTTTCTTGATTCTATAACAGAATTGGCTATCCAAAAATAATGCAGCAAACTCACATTACAGTCCTGCAGCTAGTAGGTGGTAGAGAGGCCCATCTGCTTCCAAACCTTTTCACTTCCCCAGGCTGCCTCCTTGGGAGACTGGCTGTATCTCATGCCCTAAGCTCTGAGCAGATTTTGAAATATTAAGTTACAGCTATTAATAACAAGAAAAGCAACTATAACAGCGATCATAATCATCATCATCATCACTGAAGCATGCTGCTCAGTAGAAACATTATGTACAAGGCCCTCACAGAGCTGCCCTAGGGGGAACTGAGAAGAGCTCTGGGCTAGTGGCTTAACAGGAGAAGGAGGTGGTTGTTTCCTGTAGAAGATACTTTCATCCCCTAGACATGGGACTCATGACTGAACAGCACCTAGAAGTCCTTTAAACTTAAGATGTGAGACATCATAGAGCCTCTTACATCTGGACACGCATCCCAATCTAACTTACATTTCAATTTACCATCCTCATAAATCCTGACCACTACTTTTGGTTATAATATTGTCCAATGTGTTCAATTCTGTTTTGCCTCCATTTATGGTATTATATTTGCTTCTAATTAGTGGCATCTCCTTTCTGGGGCCATGCAGAAAGGTCATTATTAATTCATGCCTGATTTTCCCAGAGGTTCTGGTCTTGGCCTTTGCCAAGAACAGCAGTTGTTTTGTCCTTACTGATGCACATGTTCTATGATCAGTCACATAGAAAGGTTGCACTCAAGTTGTGTCTGACTTTGCTATGGCCTTCCAGGATTGCTTATAATGGGTTAAACTGTCCTAAAATTGCTCCAGTTATAAGCAATCTTGTTCTCATGTTAGTAGATGGCATTTCTTCATGTCGCAGCTACGAGGGCTCTTCCTTTGGGTTGAGAAGCCCTTATATACCACTAGGTTGGGATATGCATAAAATTAGATTTTCATTTGTTTATAACTTCTTTTGAATCTTCCTCTCTCCCAAAGGAGAGGGAGTGGAATGAGTCTTTTCACATGTGGTTCATTTGAAGTTTTACCATTGTTGCCCTTTAATTATTGGTACAGTTAATTAAAAAGAACAGTGGTTTTAGAGCCTCATTGTTTACTAGAGATGGCTAATTGATGTTTTACTTTCTGTGATGGTTAATGTTATGTGTCAACTTGACTGGGCCATGTGGTGCCCAGAAATTTGGTCAAACATTATTCTGGGTTTTTCTGTGAGGGAGTTTTTGGATGAGATTGACATTTAAATCAGTAGACTGAATAAAGCAGATTTTCCTTTCTAATGTGGATGAACCTCATTCAATAGACTGAAGCCTGAATAGAAGGCCTTTGAACTGAGAAATTGGCTTTTTTTCTGCTTTTGGACTTGAGCTGAAACATTGACTTTCTTGGGTCTGAAGCCTACTGGCCCTCAGACACAAACTATACCATCAGCTTTCCAGGGTCTCAGACCTACTGGACTTTGGAATGGAACTAAACCATTGGCTCTCTTGGGTCTCCGGCTTGCCCACTCACTCCACAGATCTCAGGACTTGCCAGCCTTCATAATCATGTGAGCCAATTCCTTATAACAAACACATACTATTGGTCCCGTTTCTCTAGAAAACCCCGTATAATACACATACCTCTTATTTGATCCCTGATATCATCTCCATGATTAGGCAAATCGTAGCAGGTCCACTCCAGTGATATGCTGCCATTTATCTAACTGAGAGAGCCTTCACTATTTCTTCCCACCCCAACCACTAGCAATGGTGTATCTTTACTTGGTAATCTCTCCAGTACATGTTCACTGTCCTGTCCTTTGTCACCCTATAGTTCAATGAAACCTTTTGTCTCTCAGTCTAACTCCCACTCTATTTCAGGAGTTGTCCTGAGGCAGCATTTTGATGTGTCCTTGTTCGGGGACCATTTGATAATCTTCATGAGTGCATCTCACAAGGACAGATAAGGAGATGGCTTCTTGGAGGATGGCTTCTTTGGCAGTCTAAAGTCCAAGTTCCCAGCTCCGCTGTCTGGGCCCTTGTCAAGGTGCTGCAGATGATGCTTTCAGGACTCTAGGCAAAAGTGCCACTGCAGGTGTCCTTTTATACGTAGGAGATTCAGCACCTACTGATATTGTTTGATGGTACATTTTCATTTCTAATCTCAGCCTCTTGCAGATACCCAATCCACCAGGTTTCACATATACCTCTACCTTTGAGTGGAGGTCCAAGCAGCAAGGGGTCTTGAGTTGGAGCAGAGGCTGGTGCAGTGAGATCTGTTTTGATATCCTATTACTCTGACTGCACATTACACTGCAGCACCTTCTACGGCACCCATGTAGACACATGTGCTTTCTGGAGCTTCTGGTAGTTTGTTTCTTCCAGGCTCCAGAAATGATCCCTGGACTTCTGAGCAAGCAAACTGCTGCGATCAGTCTTTATTTAGATGGTCTCCTGTGGAAAATCAACTTTTAGCTGCTTATAGAGATCTGATTAAAATCAAGCATCTCTGTGATGACCATCTGTGTAAGAAAAATATCAAAACCACATGTACCCTAAATTTTGTTTACTTGAGTTCTGTTCTATCTGGAATAAAATAATCTTGCCCATGCCACAGGTGACTGTATTTAGGTGGATGTGGTATATCTGGACAGTGGCATCTCCTTGTAGATACCTTCTACTCCTATGTGGTGGTGATGAGCTCTCCCCTAACTAGGAGTATGGTGACCTCAGGGATGCTGGTTCTAATTTCCCTTTACTTTATAGCTAGCCATGACTTTTAAGTGAGTGAGGAAGCCACCTGACTGGGTTCACTGATGGCTCAGTGTGATACAAGTAACTGAATAGAGCATGGGGGCAACTCTGCATTATCCAGCCCTGAGAGATTTCCACATGAGTACATGAGACGGGTCCCTCATTCTAGTAGGATGAGCTAGGGGCTCTCTATATGGTTATTGCCAAGGTTATCTACTTGTACATTCCCTCCGTCTCCTGCTAAATCACTTTTGGATTATGGATAATGGCCTCATTCACTGGTCTTCTCAGTGGGGAGACATTTCTCATTAAGGCCAAACTGCTTTGGCTGAGACACCTGTGGAAAGAGATTAAGCTGACTGGATAGGGTCAGCATCTAAATCTATTATGATGCTAATCACCAGAAAGGCTCTTCCTCTTGCTATGTGGATATCATGGCTCAAGTTGTTTTACTCTCAGTCCTGACCCTTGTGTCCCTAGCACAGGTAGGCAGTGGCAGTAACTGCCAGGGGTCCCCTCTTCCTAGTTGTTATGCAAATCCCTTTTCTTTTGCACCAGCTATCAGCAATATGGGCTTTTTGAGAGTCCCTTTTGTATGACTATATCAATTAGATGTTGGCCTGTTAACTATATGAGACTCTTCCCTTTTCGTCAGGGCAAAAAAATGTCTACTGACCCTGGAGGACTGTTACTCTGGGGTTGAGATTCCTTTCTGTTTCGTTTGTTTGTTAAGGAGGCAGCAGCTCCCTCTGTTTTCAGAGATATGGCATGTCACATCATGGCCCTGTTGCTTCTGCCCAATACTGAGCATGAGAGATGGACATTCAGTGGACTTTCTACCTTGCCTACCACCCCCAGTGGCGGGTGGGGCAGTCAGGTGTCACTGAAATATGGAGTGGCCTTTCAAGAACCAACCATGTCCCCTTCCCGTCTCCATCTTTTTCTCTCTGTGTCCCATCTTGCCCACATAGTAAAAGTCCTAAATGGCCACCCCCTTTGTGGCTTGGTTTCTTTAGCCACTGAGGTATGCAGGGTGTGGGCTGAAGAGTAGAGAATTGGGCTCATGTTTTTGTAATCTTGTCTTTGACCCACATTTGTATCTATAGCTATGACCTCTCAATAGCCTCTTGGTAGGAATCCTGAGCCTAGAAATGCTACCATAATTTCCCTACATGATACATATATTAACCTTTTCTGCTTCTTCCTTTTAGGGATATCTCTCCATATTCCACTCTACTCATCCTTCTGTTTTTTGCATTTTGAATATGAGATCGTATATTTTTATTTTTCTATGATTTTTACCTTTTCTGCTGTTTCTGTGAATTTAGTAAAGGGGGAGATCTTATCATGTGCTCAGTCTGCCATCATGAATGAACAGGAAGCCAGGTTCCGCTTTCAACCTCAATTCTCCTTTCTTCATTGTGTAGATCAACTTCTCTCCCTACCCCCTACTCAGATCTGAGCTCCTGTTTATATATGCAAAGACTCATTGATGTGCTCTACTAAACAGTAGATTATATATTCCAACTCTTCTCTTTGGCAGCCTGGGATAATTGGCAGAAGGTTTAAAATTTCCATCTTTCCCTTCATCTTCCCCCATTAATCTCAGCCAGGGGAAGGAAGCTATATAGATTTATATCCTCTCTAATATAAATTATGTCCTCCTAAAAAGGCAGATATAATTGTTTTAAGTAATTTTTTTTCTCTATTGTAAGTAACAATTGTGGAGTGCTTATGTACCAATAATTATATAAAGTAAATTGACAAACATTAGTTCAGTTAATTCTTACAACATCCTGAATGTCAGTGTTTCATCTATGTATACAAGTGAGAAAACAGGGACTGAGAGCGGATAAGTAGTTGACTGTCATCTCACACCTACTGAAGGGCAGAACTGGAATTCAAATTCATGCTTTGTCTGATTTTAGAGTAAACTTTTTCTATAAAGACCCTGATAGTAAATATTTTAGGCTTTGCAGGCCATGTAAGGAAGGTCTCTTGCACATATCCTTTAATACATCTTTAAAAATGCAAAAACAATTCTCACCTGGTGATTATCAGAAACAGGCCATACCAACAATCATATGAAAAAAACCTCAACATCACTGATTGTTAGAGAAATGCACATCAAAACCACAATGAGATACCATCTCATATCAGTCAGAATGGCTGTTACTAAAAAGTCAAAAAATAACAGATGCTGGTGAGGTTGTGAAGAAAAAGGAATGACTATACACTGTTGGTGGGACTGTAAATTAGTTCAACCATTGTGGAAAACAGTGTGGTGATTCCTCAAAAACCTAAAGACAGAAATACCACCTGACCCAACAATCTCATTACTGGGTATATACCCAAAGGAATAGAAATTATTCTATTATAAAGACACATGCGGGCCGGGCACAGTGGCTCATGCCTGTAAACCCAGCACTTTGGAAGGCTGAGGCAGGTGAATCACGAGGTCAGGAGTTTGAGACCAGCCTGGCCGACATGGTGAAACCAAATAAATAAATAAATAAATAAATAAATAAAATAATTAGCTGGACATAGTGGCAGGCACCCGTAATCCCAACTACTTGGGAGGCTGAGGCAGGAGAATTGCTTGAACTTGGGAGGCAGAGGTTGCAGTGAGTTGAGATCATGCGACTGTACTCCAGCCTGGGTGACAGAGTGAGACTCCATCTCCCAAAAAAAAAAAAAAAAAAAAAAATACACAGGCACAGGTATGTTCATTGCATCACTATTCACAATAGCGAAAACATGGAATCAACCTATATGCCCATCAATGATAGACTGAATAAAGAACGTGTGGTACATATACATCATGGAATACTATGTAGCCACAAAAAAGAATGAGATCATGTCCTTTGCAGGGACATGGATGAAGCTGGAGGCTATTACCCTTAGCAAACTAACACAGGAACAGAAAACCAAATACTATGTGTTCTTACTTATAAGTGGGAGCTAAATGATGAGAACACATGGACACATAGAGGGGAACAACACACAATGGGGCCTGTCAGAGAGTGGAAGGAGGGAGAAGATCAGGAAAAATAATTAATGGGTACTAGGTTTAATATCTGAATGATGAAATAATCTGTACAAAAAAGCCCCATGACACAAGTTCATCTGTGTAACAAACCTGCACATATATCCCTGAACTTAAAAGTTAAAAAAAAAAAGAAGGAAGAAGAAGAAGAAGAGGAAGAAGAAGAAGAAGAAGAAGAAGAAGAAAAAGAAAGAAAGAAAAAGAAAAAAGAAAGAAGAAGACAAGAAACAGGCCCTGGGCCACATTTGACCTGTGGGCCATGGTTTGCCAACCCCTGTTCTAGAGCATCTGCTTTAACCACCATAGCCAGGAGGGGATGGCCAGACAGGGAACAATATCACCTTGCTGTCCCCATGTCAGCACCATGAATGCCAGGCATGTTGCAGCAATGGTTTAGAGGCAGGCAAAGCCTGTTCTCTTCAAATAGCTAGAATGTCCCAGCTTTCTGAAATGGGAATTAGGACAATAAGACTGATTTTTTTTGCTTGTTTTTAATCCCCATGTCCCTATCTCCTGGCATTTGTCACACTGAACATTTGAGGCCCAGGTGAAGAAGCTGTGAATTCTGTGCCACTTTTCTCCTCCAAGGCTCCAGGAAACAACTGCTTTGCTCTTCCTTCTTGCTGAGAGACATATATCATAAGCCTGTTTGGGGAGAAAAGAAGAGGTCAAAAGGGTAATAACTAGAGTTGGGGTCTTCGCTTCCTCATTGTTCTCAATCAATAGACAGATAATTATTTAATGTTTGTTATGGAACATAAGGGAGCCCATTTGGTAGGCAGGTAATAGGTTAGAGCTTAGAGATGATAAAGACCTAACATAAGAGAGATTGACAATGGGATGACTTTAAGGAAATAACAGGGCTTGGCTGCAGGATATGAAGCATGGACGGAAACCTATTGTGAGAGAGCCAGCCTGGGTGACTGAGAGGATGATGATGCCACTAAATAATAGAAAACATCGGGAAAATCTGGAGGGGGAGATGTCAAAGTCTGTACTGGATGAGTTAAGTTTGAGGCTATGTTCACATGCAATTTGACATACAGGTTCAGAACTAATGAAAATGGCAGACTAAAGTGTTCTGAATTTAGCCCCAGGACAACTTGGACCTACTGGAAAAATTTGTGCCGAGGTGTCTCTTTACAAAAGCTTTGTTTAGAAAAATTATTTTGGAGGAGGAAGAGGCCTTGTATATTGTGATGCAACATTTCCTGGCTAGGATATGATGCGAGCTGCAAGCTAAGGTCATGGCAGTAAGAAAAGAGTGACAGAGAGATCCAAAAGATACTTTGCAGTGAGAATTGCATAAACTTGGAATTAAAATTGAATACGTATTTCTTTAAACACACTATTTTCCCCAATATTTTATTTTGAAAAATTCTAAATGGACCATTGGAAAAAAATAGTACAATAAATGCCCATATTCTCTTCACATAAACTTACCACTAATTAACATTTTTGCCATATTTACTTGCTTTCTCTCTCTTTAAAGGAAAAAGATTTTCATTATATAACCACATTATAATGATCACTTTAGGACATTTAATAAAGGCTTCACAGTCTTATCTAATATATAACCCATGTTCAAATGTCTGTGATTTATTCTAACAATGTATTTTATGTTTTTTTTTTTTTTGGTATTCAATCAATGGTCAGGTATTGCATTTAGTTTATCATGTCTTTTCAATCTTCTTTAATTTCGAACAGTTTCCCTGCTCTGTTGGTCTTTTATGACAGTGACCTTTTGAAGAGTCTAGACCAGTTCCTTTGAAGAATGCCTGATGGTTAGGATCTGTCTGAATGCTTCTTCATGATGAAATTCAGGTTAGCATTTTTGGTGGGCATAACATATAGATGGGGCTGCATCCTAATAACAGCACCACAGGATGAAGCAGGTAATGTCAATCTGTCCCATTACTGTTGAAGTTAATTAAGTTCCATCATTTGGTTAAGCTGGTGTCTGCCAGAGTTTGACATTTTCAAAGGTACTTTTCCTTTTACCTGTTGGGTAACACTTTGAGATTATTTGAATGTCCTAATTTCTAAAATCCATTCCCATTCACTTAATGTTTTAGCATCCATTGATTATCCTTGCCTGAATCAATTATTACATTGGTGGTTGAAAAACTGAGGTTTTCTAACTCTGCAATTCTTTTACATTTGCTGGGTAACATTCTTCTGTGGAAAAGAACTTTTCTTCTCCCAGCTTTTGTTTTTTATTATCATTATGAACTCATGGATTTTTAAGGTTCAATATGTTTTAATCCATTCTTATAATTTTTCTAAGAATTGAGGTATAATTTACATACAGCGCAGTGCCCCAATCTTACATATACTGTCAGGTGAGTTTGGATAAGCATATACACCCATAGGATTCACACCCTTATCAAAATATAGAACATTTCCAATGCCACAAAAAGTTTCCCCAAGTTCCTTCCTAGTTAATCCCTGTACTCATTCAAGGCAATCACTTTTTCATATTAATTTTAATGCCCCTTTCATTCCAAATTTGGTCAATAAGAGCCCCTTTATGCTGGCTTTGGGCTTTTTTATTATGCTTCCATCTGTTTTTGAGCAGTCCTAGCTCTGCTGCACACCCGTCTTTTGACTTTACTTATGGTGTTTTTTTGTTTTATATTGTTTTGTTTTGTTTTGCTGTATTAATGTTTATTTTAATGTAGTTAAATAATCTGGTTTGTTTTCATTGCAGCTAGATCTTTAACCCTAGTTAGAAAGCCTTTCCTCACACCCAGTACCTATACGATTCCATCTTTTACATTTTTAAAAATGTATTTGGAGTTTATTCTGCTGAATGATATGAAGAAAGAAGCCACTTTTATCATCTCCTCAAAGATATTTCAGTTGTCTTAATGCCATTTGTTAAAAAGTTTGTCTGTTCCTCAATGATTTGAGATGCCAGGCTTTATAATATACTAAACTTCCGTACGTATTTGAGCTATTTCTGCACTTTCCCTTCCAGGCCACTGGCTTGAATTTTCCTTTGTCTAATGTTAGAATCATAATCTTTCTTTCCTATTATTTCCATTTGCCTGATATAACTTGTGCATCCCTTTATTTTTAGCATTTTGAATCATTCACTTTAGATGTTTCTTTTGTGTTCACCATTTCTTTGGCTTTTGATCTTTGAGCCAACTTTCTTTTAATAGACAAGTACATTTATGTTAATTAGCATGACCAACGTTCTCTGCCAACTTTGTCATGTTCTTTTGTCATTTTTACTGTCAGTATTATGTTGTATTTGCTGTGCTTCTTTCTGTTATCTGTTCTTTGCTTATTTTTCTTTTTGGTATTTCATCATTCATTTAAGAATGTGTATGGTTGTTCTAGTACATTCTACTTTTTATGGTACCTGCAGTCTCCTTTTCTCATATTTAGGCATCTACTATTTTGTTGTCAGGTTTAAATGTAGTCTTTGACTCATCTCTCCTGTCTATGTGACAGTCAATGAATTTATTCTACTTTTTTCTTTATTTTTCACTTTCTCAATAAAAACCTGCATTATATCTACTTTTAAAGAACTTTTAGCGTTTGTATTATGGCCTCTCACCCTTGCCCCAACCTGGTTTTAGTATTAGAGCAACTAATGTATTTAGTTCTTGCTCTAAATCCTTTCCTTGATGTTTTCCAGACACTTCTAACCGGAGGAAGCTTAATTTCTAGTTGATTCTTCAGAAGGGGATTCTGAGTACAGATTTCCCTTCATTCTTGCATGCTAAAAACCTTTCCTCCAGCCTTGATATTTAAAGGACAGCTTGATTGTATATAAAATCCTTTGCTTACACTTTTTTTTTGAATTTCTTAGAAATACTGTTCAATCATTAGCAGAAGTTAAGAAGTCTGACTTCAAATCTTTTCTTCCAATATCAAGAGTAGAGAAAAAGTTTTAAGTTTGATCAAGATATATGCTTAATGTCTCAGACTTAAGCATTCCAGTCAATATTCTCAGGCACATGGTGGCTCTTTCAATATGTAGATTCACGTCTTCTTTCATCTGGAGAAAGTTTTCTTTTAATGATAAGTTTAAATATTATTTCTATTCATTTTTTCTTCTTCAGAGATTTCAATTACATATATTGAATTATCTTTGCTATCTTCTATATTAATCATTTTCTGACATTTTTAAAGCACCTTCTTTCCATCATTTTTGTTTTCTTGACTGTTTCATGGCTTTCATTAGTGTCTCATTATATTTTTAGTTAAATATATTCTCCCTTGGGCACCTTGTAATTTAGTTTTCATTCTAAGATGATTTTGTCTTTTTCTTCAATTTATTTCCTATGTTTAATCGACTCTTCTTTTTCATCTTTCTGGGAGTTTTTGTCCAGTTCTGTTCCTAGTATTTGAATTTCTAATTTGAGTTGTTTTTATACGTGCAAGTACGTGCTTAAAGATGTTTAATCCTGGTTAAAGTGTTGTGTTATAGTTTTCTCCTGCTTCAGGTTGGATTTGGGGGAGAATTTTCACCAACTGAAATATTTTATATCTCATTTTTATTTTTCTTTTTGTGGTAACTTTGTACAGATACTGTCTGTCCTTCTCAGTTCATTTTCAAATATTTATTTTCTCAGACTATTTTTTTTTTTTGAGATAGGGTCTCACTCTGTTGCCCAGGCTGGAGTGCAGTGGAGCCATCTCAGCCTACTGCAACCTCTGCCTCCCGGAGTTCAAGCGATTCTTGTGCTTCAGCCTACCGAGTAGCTGGGATTACAGGCACACACTGCTACACCTGGCTAATTTTGTATTTTTTAGTAGAGATGAGGTTTCGCCATGTTGGCCAGGCTGTTCTGGAACTCCTGACCTCAGGTGATCTGCCCACCTTGGCCTCCCAAAGTGCTGGGACTACAGGAGTGAGCCACTGTGCCTAGCCTATTTTCTCAGACTATTAGTGACAGTTGTATGTAGACAGGGATGTGGGAGGCTTACCATAATTTTTTTGGTTCGAGAATATCTTCTTATTGAAGTATGAAATGTGATTTCTGTACTACATGGTGCCTTTCACAGGAGACGAGTCAGAGTGCCTCCTGAGTTGGTGATTCTTTTTTGTTTCCATAGGGCCATTAATTTTAATTTCAATTTCCTGTTCCTTCTTTCCCTTTGCCACTCAGCCTCCCGATGATGCTTCTTTGAAGTTATCTTCTTCTCCCTCAGAAGCAGCCCCTTCTTAAGGTCACCATCTTTGGCTCACTGAGCCTCCAAGTCTTGTCCAATAGATTCTTTAGTAGCCAGAGCTCTGATCCACCAAGGCCCTGGCATAGTCTCATCTCCTTCCGACTCTGGGTGGTATTTTTTTCTAATTCGCTCCACCCTCCCGGGTCCTTGTTTCCTTCTCCTCTCTGGTACATTTTCCCAATGGCGCTGATGGTTTGGTTTACTTCCAAAACTTGTGCATTTTGGAGTATTCTTGGCTTCCTATACATGCTACAGTCTGGGGTTATGACTGGTTTTATTAGGTCTTGTGTTAATTTTTAGATCTTTTTTGGGAGGATATATGAATTGATTTGGATTCAATTAGCTATTGTTATCCTACTGGAAGTTGGAGCGCTCATAAGCTTTGGAATTGGAAATACATGTTAGAGATTACTTAGTTCAAACCCCTCTATTCACAAGTGACAAATTTAGTTCTAGTAAAAGCAAACAATTTGCCCACTGTTGTACAGGGGCAGACTCAAGACTACTGCTCTATTCCCTCTCTGTCCCATAGCAATAAAATACCCTTTCAAAATGCAGATAAATTGCAGTATGAGGAGAAATCCCCAAAGTCAGAAGTCTCAAGCATTTCTATACATTTGTTTAGTTAGTATCCTGGCAAGCTACAGAGAATAGAGGTTGTTCTCCTGAGTTGCTTGGAATTCTAACAGACGCACAAGGAAATATCTCTGGTCCTATTGAATTTTCAAGTCCTGGAGGAAATTGCCTCCATATTTTTATCTCTGATGGTGCCAGCTCCTAGGGGTAGAGGAAGTGTAGAGGCTCTTAGGCATCTGATCTAAGCTGGAGTTGTGCTTGCATATGGGAAAGTAGGAAAGAAGAAGAAATAAGAACACAGAATTTTCTCTTATCTTCTCCCCCAGAATTCTTAGAGATTATTTTATCATCATTTTCAGTTGATTCTTATCTATCTGGCAAAGAAACTGTAAGGAAAAACCATGATGAGTCAAGGCCCAAAACACTGGCTAAGGCTAACTTAGTCAACAATAGTAATGGTGGACCTACAGTGTGCTAGACTGCTGAACTTTGGGAGAAACAGTGAGTTATAAAGCAAAATTTTTGCCCACAAAGAATCCACTGTCTCAGTGAATGAGTTTGCATGCATTATACAAGCAATGTGGTAAGTGCTATATGATGTAAATACAACTAACAAAGAGAGCACAGAGGTGGAAACAATGACTCTGCCTTGGACAGCAGAAGTCTTTGCTAATGAGGTGGCATTTGAGTTGAAGTTTAAAGAATGAATAAGGGTTTGCTAGGCAGAAAATGCAGAAAAGGCTATTTCATATTTAGTAAACTGGAAGCAGATGGGGAATGGTTAGAAGATTAGGCATGGCTCTGTACCAGAGACTAGAATTTAAATGTCCTAGTATATATTGAACTTTAAGTGAAAAGCAATAAGAAGTGGCAAAGGGTCTTAAGTAGGTCAGTGATGTGATGCATTTTGTGTTTTAGAATGTTGGTTAGGTTGGGAGGGGCATGCCTGGAAGCAGAGAGATGAATTAGGAAGCTGTAGTCATACAACTGAAGGAAGGCCTGTACCTTGATGGCCTCCTAATGAAGGAGGTCATTGCCTTGATGACCTCCTAATCTCTGTGTTCACTCTTATGTACAACCACTGCCAGTTGGAAGTCTATCAGATACCTCAAATTCAACTTGTCCAAACCAAAACTCATCATGTCCTTCCTTGCTCCTTAACATGCATTTCCTATTTCACATTTTGAGCTCTATAAACTCAGCCAGATGCCAAGGGTCAGCTTCTCCTTCATTCCATACATCCAACAGTCACCAACCCTTAAACAATTCAAATTCTTAAATATCCTCTCTCTTGATCCCAATTGCCACTGCCTTGGTGAGGATATGAGGAGCATAATACAGAGTAAAACACTATGTAAGGAGTCAATGGATTAGAGGTCTTCATGAGGTTATACAGATTCTGAAATGGGAGTCCTACAGTGTGAAAGGTAGGAGATTATGGCCAGCCAGTGTGATGCTTGGAGCTGAGATTTCAAAGTCGTACAGTTTTTGTTGATGCTAATGTCTTGGTGTGGCCATGTGAATGAGGGCTGGGTTTGGGGGGTGAACATTATTGTCAGAGAGAAGGAGACTAAGAAACTGAGAGGTCATGGTATTGAATGGATCATAAAGAAATGATTCAATTTGTTTATTTTCTATTTCAACCTTCAATCATGTATGTTTTACTCCTGTTCTGTTTCCTTATCTTGAAAGACTGAGAGTCGAGCCCTAGTACTCCAGAATGTGCATGCATTGGTATGTGTTAGGAATATGTGTGTGTTTGTGTGAGCCTGGAAGTGGGGGTGATGGTTGGTGGTGGGGTGTGGGTTGAGTGGGCAGGAGACCAGGAGACGCAGGAGAACTTAGGGAGAGGTTAAAGTGGGAAGGGTATCAGGCAGCATTACAAGTTGCCTGGAGATGGGGAAATAACACATGGAAAAAATAATAAAATGTTAACAAGGACACTCATCTTGTTCACAATGTGGTCTGCTGCGGAAGTAATTATTGAAACTGTGAATGCTGATGAAATTTTTGAATTAGAGCACAGATAGAAATGAAAGGACTGAGCACTGAGGTCTAAACCTTGAGAAACTCCCACACTTAGGGGTGAGGAGCAGGAAGAGGAGTGTTGGCCAAAGATGATGAAGGAGAACCAAGTACCTTCTTTCCAAGGTTAGTGGAGGAGGAAAAAAAAAGCAAGAAGCACCGGTAGTGTTGACAGCACTAAAGGATACAGAGAGACCTTGGGACTTGGTGCCTGGACGCCTGGGGTGGCTTGAGCAGGAACCACTATAGCAGAATAGAGCTTGGCAGTAGAGATTCAGGCAGTGGGTGGATGGAGAAGACACGTGGCCAGTAATTGTACCCAAAGGGTTGAGGAACACATCTGTGCAAAACGGGAGAAACGAGGTGATGCTAAAGAAACACACTTATCAAATGAAGGAGGTTTTGTTGTTGCTGCTTTTTTTTAGTTGTTCACATGAAATCTAAGAAAACCTGTGTCTATTTGTGTTTCATTCTCTCTGGGTGAGGAGAGGAGGAGCTCAGGAAAGGTGTGTTTTGCAGATAGGAGGGAAGCTTAAAGTGCTCCCCCCCAGGTCCTCCGTATCCTTGTTAAGGAAGGATGTGAAAACACAGGGAGTTAACCTGCTCTCACTGGCCCAGACTTTCAAGGGCTATTACTTGGAAAGAAACAAACTCCAGCTTTCTAAGATCAGCTGCTGACTTCTCATCCTTTTGGCACTGGGTAATTTCGAGTTTTGACACCTTAAGGGCAATGAAATTCAAGTTCCACCTTCTCTGCCAGCCTTGGAGGGTGATGCTGCTGTCTCTCTCTCTCTCTCCATGTGAGTCCTTAAATCGTCTATCCCAGTGTTTCCAGATTATGATTGGCTTTTCATTGACAGACTGCGTTGAGCGTTGGCGCATTCATGGGGTAGATGGTTGTTTCCTGTTCTCCAGCCATGACAAATCGCTGACTGTTGGCATCACTGATAAAATAAGTAAGGCCTCTGCCACCCTAGCTTCTATTACTTTTTCATATGAGTTACTTTAATAGAGAGACTTAAATGCTTCTTTCTATTGCTTTGCCTCAGCACTTCTGGGGTCATAAATTCTTCTCCCTCTTGTCTGCTATTACTGGCATATCAATCATTTCTAGTTCTGTAAGCACTAAAATTGAAAGAAAACAAGGTTGTGGCTTTATGCATTTTTAATTTAATGAAATCCAAGCTTTGAAGTTGAGGGAAACAATGCTTGTGGCAGAGCGGTGTGGCCACCAGGAAAGTCTTCGGAGAGGCTGGATCAATGGAAGCTTTGCAGGCAATTTGAGTCGCTGCTCTTAATCTTTGGGGAGCTCCCACCTGACTTAGTGTGTGCTTCTCCTGAATTCTAGTCAGATCGTAAATCTTCCTTACTCACCCCTCTTCTTCCATCCCCCCTCCAGAACATACAGAACCTGGCTGGGAAGGGCCAGTCTGCATTCTCAGCCTTGGAGCAGAATCCGTGCATCATTTGGTTCATATCGAGGGCTCCAGGATGAAGTGTTTATCTGGTTGGATGACAAGGAAAAGAAAAAAGTGTCTCTGTTCTTAAAAATCTCTCTTTAAGGTAATTCCCTTTAGCACTTAGTTCCAGGGTCTCCAAAGGCTGATAGTCAGGGAGTCCTTTCTCACCTCCAGCTCACATTCCATCCTTTGGAGAAAGAGCCTCCCTCGAGATGGAAAAAGTGCAAGTTGGCATAAGGCCCAAGAAAGAATGAAATAAAATGTCCCTCTAGGCATGGCCCAGAGGCATGATTAACATGACTGCTCATCAGCATAAAATATATTCAATTATGAGGGATTAAGAGGCTTGGGAAAGCAAAATGCTAAAGCAGATGAAATATGAGCATATTAGTGGAAAACAGTACCCCAGGACAGCACAGGCTGAGGCTGCCTCCAGGTGGAAGTGCCTGTCACAGATGCTGGAGGTGCACAGCTCTGTACTCTATGAGGGGGGCTGCTTCCCGCTTCGGGTCCTAAAGTCCTTCTGTGCCCTGAGGGAGGGCATGGGGCTGGAGAGGCACCCTCTGCCTAACCTGGGCCCATTCACCCTGACAAAAGAAAGTGCTTTGCAAGATCTTTAGTTTTCCTTATAACAGTGGTTGTTGAATTAAACCATACAAATGTGGGCCGACCATGGAGATGCCTGCAAAGGGAGACTACCTGGGTAATTGTCTAAGATTCTCTCCTGTGGATTTACACAGTTTAGGCAGAGAGGGGAGTGCGTGAAGAATGCGGTGCTTGCATGGAGCAGACTGGGGCAGGGCCTTGGGCAGGTGAAAGCCCATTAGGCAAAAGACAGAGAATCAGAAGAATGGCAAGAGCAACCTTTGGGATAGAAAGTGGTGACCCTAGAATCAGGCCCAGAAGGCCTACCTGCCTGGAGTAGAAGATCAGCAACCAATGAATTAGCTGAACAAGTATTTGGGGGCACCTTCTATTTTCTTTACACTGTAATTCATCGTGTATTTAGCAATGCAGAAAAGCACTGGGTTGAATCCAGAGCTATTGCGGGGAGCATGGGAATTGAGAGAGGACTTGTACTAAAGAAGCAGCAATGGAGAGAGACTCAAGGCAAGGAACAGTTCTTAGGTGATATACCATGGTGGAATTCCAAGAAAAGTAGAATGAGATACTCCAAAACCAGAGCAAATTGTTGGAGAACAGTGTTGTGATTGAGAGTGACCTTTAGGGTTAGGAGGAACTGTGTTTGAATGCTGATTCTTACACTCACTAGCTGTGTGATTTGAATGAGTTACTTAACCTTCCTCTAGCTCCTTGTCTTCATCTGTGAAATGGGAATCACAGTGGCATCCCTCTCCTGAAGTTGCTGTGAGAGTAATGTTTAGCAAGGCTTGTGAAGCTC
This sequence comes from Homo sapiens, assembly GCF_000001405.40. Lineage (NCBI taxonomy): Eukaryota > Metazoa > Chordata > Mammalia > Primates > Hominidae > Homo > Homo sapiens. The sequence continues at coordinate 112,609,775 of NC_000011.10, forward strand.
CTAAGACAGTGGCTGTCACTGAGTAAGCACTCAGTACATTTTTATTAGTATTATCGTCATCATCATCAGAGATGGAACTGAGAAGTATGAGTGGAAAATAAGAGAAATGGAGAGAGTCAGTGAGGTGACAGGAGTAGATGGCAGGGCTCTGACAATCTTTCAGCCACATTTGTCTGGCCTGGGGCTGTTTGCTTTAGACCAGGAATATAATGCTGCCCATGCAGCAGGGGTCTTCATGGCCACTGATGGCCAAGGTAGGGGAGCCAAACAAGAATGAAAATATAGGAATTCAGAAATGTCATCTGGTGCTTTGCCAGATACATATGGGATGGGATGAGTTGGATTCATGGACAATGAGTAGGGTATGTGATTAGGTGCAGACACAGTGGCTTAAGTAACACTGGGCTACCTGTTACTTGTCTCCATAGTGGCGTGGAAGAGGGAGCCCATTGACCTCTAATTGGCCTTTCTATTCCCTAGATAGAAGCACTCTATTTGGACTGGTTTACAGAGGAATGGTTTAAAGCAGCTTTGCAAACAAGGCTCAAATGTATCTACCTTCTTTTCTTACTTAAAAAAGGGGTTTTAATACAAAATAAGAGTTACTCTCATTCACCCTAGAAGAATAGAAGGGTAGGTTTTCTTGCAAAGCTGGCCTGTCAATTTCTTTAAACAAAAGCACTGTGAGAGTATCACCTGTAAATCATTTTGTAATCTATTCATCCATTCACTCATTTGACAACTGTGTACTGAGTTCCCTTTATATGAAAAGCACTGTGCTAGTACTTGGGAATAAGCAAAGAAGCCTTCAAGGAACTCATAAGAGAACAAGTCAGGTTAACACACATCTGTCATCAAAGGAGGAGAGAGCAACAATAGAAGTAGGGGATGAACTGAGCCTCTTCTATTTCTGGGATGTGTGTCAAAGTTTCAGAGTACAGATGGTGAAAAAGTGTTGTAAGATGGAGCCAGGGACTGGACCTTCATTCTCTGTGAGATTTGGCATGGTATGACCACCTCATGACTAATAAATATCTCCCTCCAAGGTGTAGAATGAAAGTTACAGAGAGAGAGATAACTGGGGTAATAAACATACAGCATCTCTCTTGGTCTCCAAGTCTCCAGATCATGTAAACCTCCAGCTCTGGGACCAGAATTCAAAATAGTTACTTTCCATGTGTGTGTTACCTGGCCGGATGTAGCACCAGAACCAAGGAGGAGGGAAAACATGTCCCTAGTCCCATCTACCTCCTAAGTCACATTCATCTGCTCTAAGTCCCTCAGTATCTGGCTCCCTGGAGGCAGCACCTTCACTTGAAAACCAGGTGGCCCAATAAAACTGAAGGCAAACCTGAGAGCAGGGAGGTCTATCACAGGAGTTGAAAAAGGGCAACGGGGGTGGAAATCTTTTCTATCCAGCAGAAGAGGAAATTACTCATTTCCTTTAAGGCTAAGTTACCCTGTGTTAGGGTGGACTGCAGAACAAACTAACATAGGCAACAATAAAGCCCAAGCTGGAAAGCTGGGATAGAAACTCTGCCCCCAACAGGGGTCTGTAAATAACTGTTGCATGGATGAATGAAATGCATATGTGCGTACCATATTCTTCTAGCCCAAGATTTGATTTGGTTTCCATGTCTAGAGGCCAGATGCCTACTGGGAGGTCTTCCAAATCACCAGTCTTGATTTTTTCTTAACTGCTCTCAGGGGATCCAGGGAGTGATTCTGGTATCTGGCACCAGCAGCATGGCACTGTGCCCCGAGAGTATCAATGCACTGCTCATATTGGCTTAGGTCCATGTACCCGCTGAGCAGAGCCTACCACCCAGATGGTATAGACTTGGATTCCAGTCCACTTGGAATGGCCATGTCTTGCCAACTCCATCTCCAAGGGGACAGTCTGTACAGAACTCACATGCCAAAATACCCGGGAGTTTGCCAACCAAAAGGTGGTGAGTGGTCTTGTCCCATAAGCGCCACTTAAAACAGGCAGCAGATGGGAAACTGGGGCAGGAGGTGGAGAACAGCTGGATGATATTTGCTGCATAATAGCTCTTAAGGGATTTGAAAATCATTGTTTAATTTCCCTTCTCACCTTCTCATGTAAACAAGTGTCCTATATCAGGGGTGTGGAAATCAGAATTTTTGGTGGTTGACGCTCATCTTCACAGGCTCTGCAGCCACCTTCTTCCTGCCTGCCAATACACACACATGCATGCACGTGGACACACACAGACACGAGTGTGCACCGATGCACACATACGCATTCAATTCTGTCGACAGGGGCCTTATTTCATTTATTAAGTATCTAAAGCCTTGCTAGGAGCCTAGGCTTCCTCTCTGAAGTCTCTTTTAAAAATTAAATCTGGCTCTTTGGGGCTGCAGCAGGAAAACGGAATTTGAGATACAGTAATTCTAGATATTTATATCCTCCCATCATTTGCTCAGTTAGTCTTCTGCAGCTGCGGTTTGTTAGGGATTATCCCACCAAAAGGAATAACAGAAATACACATATTTAATAAGATTTTTTTTTCTCCATTTCTGTTTCTGGTTCTAAATAGGCACTTGGAGGAAGGGAAGCTCTACCATAGGAGAGGATCTCAGGGCAAGGAACAGTTGTCCAGCAGCACAGGGTTGGGGGTGGGAGGGGGGAGGGGAGGGGAGGGGACGCGCCTGCAAGGAGGGAGGAGGGAGGGAGACGGGAGCCTGGAAAAGCTGGAACTGGATCCTGGTCCCAATGTTCATACAGAGGAGAGGACAGTGGTTCTGCAAATGCCCCTTTACAGAAGAATTTAAAGCGCAATTCTGATTTCTTTAGCCCATGGTTTGAAGGCCAGGTGTTCTGTGGTCTGAGCAATCCATTACCTACCTTTCTTCATCACTTCTGGGTGGAGTTCATTTGGCCCCAAAGAGAAGTTCCTGATCTTGGAGGACTCTCCCTCTCTCACTTTGACTTCATGGAGCCTTTCTTCCTAGGGGTGGAAGGGCTGGCTGGTAGATACCTGGGTATGGGTTACCACACCTGCAGGCCCCAGGGGCGCACAAACACCCTTGGCCTCAATCCTGAATGACCTCCAGGTGCACAAATGCTCCAGGGCTACATTTCCATTGGCCTTTTGACTCCTATTAACAGTGTCCTGGGGACTTTTGGCTGGGGGTGTTATATAAATGTTTTTTGAGTCTCATCTGCAATAATCCCTCAGTCCAGGCAAGGGTTTATTCTTTCTTCTCTGAGAAAACAGAGAAAAAGACAAGACTTTTCTTCTCTTTAAAAGCTGTGCCCTTTCTGTTGAGAACCACTCACTTCAGCACTCTGCAATGTGGTGAATCTCCCCAGGCTAACTCCTCCTATGATGGGAGCTCAGCATAAAAATTACAGCTGCCTCAGAGGCCACCTGACCCTGATGCATCAATCCCTGGAGTGAGGCCAAATCACCACTTAAAATGACAATTCTGTACAAAGTGGCACAATGACATGTTAAAAATATATAGATGAATATAGATGTAATATGAAAATATGTATTTTTACTGCTCTCCCCATCAGAAGCAGGCATGTTAAAGGTATTAATCGGCATTCCTCTCCAGAGGGATCCTCTAGTTATGTGCTTTGGAAGCCAGACAGGAAGTGTGAATCATGCAGCAATGCAAAATTAATCCAGACAAAATGAAAAATGAAATGATGCAGCCAAGGTATCTGGGATGGAGGGGCCAGGAGGGTGAGAAGTCCTACCCTGTCTTCCCTGGCTCTCTGCGGGAGAGGAAAGGCTTTATTTGTAGGGGGTGGTTGCTGAGGGACCTGGGACCTCCCCAGAGCAGGATGAGTTGATATGTTCTCTCATTGCCGAGGAGTAGAATACCTGGGGAGGGAAGGTCAGTGCAATGGCCCAGGCTTCCAAACGGCTGGCCCTGACTTTGAGGGCACCTCGAAACTGGTTGAAAGCTTGGCAGGTATACCCGGAAGACACAGATGTGGTTCCTGTCCTCCCACCCCCACAGTGCTGGCTCCAGACATGTGCAGAGTTGGAGGTGACTCAGACCGTGCACGCACCTGTCCCCAGCAGATACTACTCCTATTGTAGGGAGTGGAAATTTCCCAGAGTAGATTCCTTCTTCAGAGGTGGGAAACACAGAAACAACCTTTTCTTTGTATCCAGATTTTTTTTATTTTTAAAAAAGACAAGGGCTCTTTCTGTTGTCCAAGCTAGAGTGCAGTGGTATGATCATAGTTCACTGTAGCTTTGAACTCCTGGGCTCAAACGATCCTTCCATCTCAGCCTCTGAAGTAGCTGGGACTACAGGTACATGCCACCACACCTGGACAATTAAAATTTTTTTTTTTTTTTTGTAGGGATGGGGGTCTTGCTATGTTGCCCAGGCTGGTCTTGTACTCCTGGCCTTAAATGATCCTCCCGCCTTGGCCTCCCAAAGCACTGGGATTATAGGTGTGAGCCACTGTGCCCAGCTTATTTGCAGATTTTAATTTCCTAAAAGCCTACCCATGGGTAATTCCTGAGTGTTTTTCTCAAATAACCCCTCAGTTCAGACAGGAGAGATAATCTTTTGTTCCTTCCTGTTTAAGGACAGAAAATGACTTTTCTTCTCTTAAAGTATCTTTCCATTGCAGGCAACTTGCTCTGGGTCTTTGTAGTGAGATGTGAAATCTCTGGTCCTGACAGACTCCATGGATCACATTTCTGGAGTGAAAGAGTAATTAGGTAGCACGCTTTAGTGTTTTTCAGCCCCTTCTGGGTTTACTGGCAATCACACTGCAGTTTTCTCTTTCTCTGTCAGCTTTAGTATTTGCTACTCTGTCTATATCCTTTTTACTCTTGTTTTAGTTTTTGGAGTTCTAATGTCTGTCTTTTTGAAAACTTTTAAATTCAGACATAACCTGCACAGAGGAAACTGTACACTAATCTCACATATACAGCCTCAATGAGTGCTTCTATAGGAAGACGTCTGATAATCCCCTACCTAGGACACAGAAAATCCTACCTAGGACACACAAAAAGGAGTGTACCTGAACAAGACCAGTCCTGTTTATTCTGAGTCATCTGCTCTTTCTTGAGGCAAATGGGACACTCAGTCAGCCAGCTACCCTGTCAGAGGGAGGGTTGATGGGGCTGGGGGGCACCTACCTTCCCAAGCACAGTAGAGAGCTACAGAGCTCAAGTTCAACCCAGGTCAAGTTGAACAACACATCAAGCCTCCTGGGAGGGCTTCCTCTTGTCCGTTTCTCAGTCCATTCTACCCCACTCCCCAGGCCCAAGCCCATCACTCACTTCTATCATGGTAGTGAGATTTTTTTTTCTGCAGTTTCATATGAATGGACTCATATAGTATAAATTCTTGTGTCTGGCTTTTGTTCATTCAACATTATGTCTTTAAGGTTCATCCATGCTGTTGTGCGTGTCAGAAAGTTTTTTATCTTTAATATCATGTAGTACTCCATTATATGCATTTACAGAATTTATTTATTCTGTTGATGAACATTTGGGTTGTTTCTAGTTTGGGCTAATAAGAATAAAGCTGCCTTGAACATTCTTTTAGATTTTTAGTTGTTGTTGTTTTAGTGAACATATATTCTCATTTCTCTTGGGTACACCTAGAGTGGCATCACTGAGTCATAGGCTATGTGTGTGTCTAGCTTTGGTAGATCCTTCCAAATCATGTTCTAAAGTGACTACAACAATTGACACTCCTACTGACAGTCTATGAGTGTTCCACTAGCTCTATATCCTTTCCAACACTTGGCTCTGTCTCTCTTTCTACTTACAGTTGTTTATATAGGTAGTTGTGTGCTTGCTTGCTCAGGGCCCCTTACTCCTTAATCAAACCCTAAATTTCCCAAAGCATACTGTGCAGGGATTGGGGTAAACAACTTCTTGGGCTGTACCAGTGTTAAAACCAAAAGTCTCAGGATTCCTGGGAATCCTCTTAGTCCTAGGCAAACTGGGATGGTTGGTCACCCTAAGTGCAGTATAATGGAAAGGAAACATGCTTTGGCAAGAAACTATTCTGGTATGAATGCTAGTTTATTCACTAACTAGTTCTTAGTTAAGGGAAAAATCAGTGGATAGATGGGTAGACAGATGACAGAGCAAATGTAGTAATATGTTGATAGTAGAAACTAAATGATAGGTATATGATGTTAACTGCCAATTCTTCTCACTTTGCTGTATGTTTGGAAATACTAATAACAAAATGTTGAGGGAAAAACAAAATGGAAATAATGCTTGTTGTTTGTAAGGGCATCAGATCTCAGAACTCAGAAGTGACTTCTTTCCTGTTATGAAACAGCTAAAAAGAACAAATGCCTTCATCATCCTGGTCTTTCAGTTCAGCTGCCCCACCTAGTTCCTCTATCTCTAAAAACCTTTCAGAAGAAGAGAGACAAAGGATTAAATAGCAAATAAGAGCAACTGGAGAGAACTTGTTTTTAAATTCCAGCAGTCATATTGCTTTGCTCATAGTCTTCTTGTGAACAGAGCAGGAAGCTTGGTGTCACCTCTCTGCCCCCCATGACCTGAGGCTGGTCACAGGTAGAATAGGCTGGGCTATTAACCATGACCTGATACCTGCTTGAGCCATATTCTCCAGCCTCTCTAGATTCTAACTTTGCTGTCATCGCTTGCAAAGCTGACTTACTTTTATCCTCTTTCAAAGACATCTCTTGTTCCCATGGCAACTTACTGGGGGTCTTCTATCACCATGGGAACATGGCTGCTGGGTTTAAATACACCTTATAACCACAGCAATAAAAAATATGGGGAAAGAGGGAGACTGGTTGTCAAGGAAACAGGCTTCAGGTCTTCTCCATGAGAGATAAGCTGGAGAAAAGGAAGTGCTGTGGGGTGTTTGGAATCAACACAACGCCCAATCCTGGTCCTGCTGGGACAGCCATTCATTGTGCAGATTCCAGGGCGTGAGTGTGTATGCAGAGATCTTTCTGTGTTGGCCATCTGAACAACCCCATAGGAAAACACCTTGGGGATTTCAAGGGTCTCACAGGAAGCTGTCATATCTCAACCTGAGGAATAGAAGCAGCATGGTCTCTCTCTCTTCACACACACACACACACACACAGACACTGGGCAGGTCACTATGGGGCATCTTTCGTATTATTAAGAGGGCAGCAATTTTGTGGTGAGCAGCCCAGGAAAACCAAACCAAAAGAGCAAAGATCAAAAGGGCTTAAGAAGGGCTTAAGTAATGGGAAATATGAATTCTACCTAGGACACAGAAAAAGGAGTGTACCTGAACAAGACCAGTACTGTTTATTGAGTCAAATGCTCTTTCCTGAGGCAAATGGGACACTTAGCTACCCTGTCAGAGGGAGGGTTGATGGGGCTGGGGGGCACCTACCTTCCCAAGCACAGTGGAGAGTTGCAGAGCAAAGGAAGGCACTTGACCCCTCCCCAGTGGAGGGAAAAAAAAGCCATGGAAGAGGCATGGTGAATTCCTAGATCATAGGCTTCCGACGACATCCAGTACTGTGCACAGTGACACTAAATCAATGTCACTGCTCTGAGAGATCCAAAGAAACAAAGCAAATACCACCTAATTCAACTCTGTATCATTCCTACCCAAGTGTCCATGTCCTTATGCCCATCTGGGAATTGTATCTCTAGCAGGCTCAGTTCAAGGGAGAAATACGAACAAACATATCTAGGCCTGGCTGACAGCTCTCTCCCTTTTCAGCAGTTTGCAGAATCCCAGGTCCTCAGACTCATGTGGTTGCTCAGAGCCACCCATGGCGACATCCTGCCCAGCTTGACCCTCTTCTCAGCCCATTCCCACAACCCCTGACCTCTCACCACATCAGAGTTTACCTTTTTTCCCCATAGGCATGGAGTAGGGGAATAAGAAAGAAGAAAGACAATGTTCTTAGAAAATTCTGGGTTTGAATTGCAGCCTCACCACTTTTCAGATCCATGACCTTAAAGGAATCTCTTACTTAAGTTTCTATTTCTACAACAAATTCATAAAATAATTTTAAGGATTAAATGAGATAATGAACATAAAAATGCACCACAAACTATGGATGCTATGCACTTATGAGGATTGACTATTAAACCTCTGGGGAGCACCTTTCCATTCTAATGGGGGGGTGTTAGACTACAGGAGTGATTCTGAGGGGGGCCAGTCCAGGTCTTGCTCAGAGCCAGGGATGTGGACATTTCCCGTGGTGAGCCGATGTGCACAGGGTCTGTATTCTGCCTCCCTGGATGCCCCTCAGAGCCAAGCACTGTGCTAGGTTCATAATAGGTTCCACAGTGGCTGCTGATGGACACAGGCATGGTGTTATTGATGAAGACTTTTGGTGCCCTTCACATTGCTCCACATAGGTGGGAGCCAGTGTGTCCACCATACCCATGGGGCAGGCAAGGCCTCTCCAGCAGTGAGAGCCAAACAGCCCAGGTGCAGACCCAGTGGAAGCAACCATGTGGGGCAGCCGCAGAGGCAGGGCAGGAAGGCTAGGCAGTGCGATTTTCCCCCAGGACTGCCATGATTCACAGTCTGGCTGCCCGGAGGGGACCTCTCTGCAGCTCTCGACTCCATTATCTTCAGCTCACTCCCCACCCCTGGCCACTGCCCCATTTTCTCCTCTTAACACTTGCAGGCCACCCTGGTAATAGCTCCAGGAAAGACAGATTATCAGTCCCTCTCCAGAAAGGACCAATTATTCATGGCCTCACCTAGAGTTTTATGGGAAAAAAAAAAAAAAAGGCAAGACGAGCACCATTTCCTGCTGCCCCTGGGAGGTGAAGCCTGAGAGCAGAACCTAGACCTGGGGTGGGCTAGACAAGAGCCAGGGAGGAGGTCGATGGAATGGCAATGAGGCGGAAAGCGGATGCAGAATACTGGCAACAGGATGCAGGGATGAGATCAGGAAAGAGCCCAGTGCCGGGCTCCCCCGAACCCGCCTGTGCGTACTGCCAGGGACTCGAGGCACTGTGCCTGGGGCAAGGCCACAAGGCATACATAAACTCTGCCCTCCAGTAGATACACCAAAGCATCATTTTTATAGAAAATGAAGGATATATTTTGATGCAAAGTGCAAATTTTCCATGAATTTTTAAGAAAAACATTGAGACTTTAGATGTTTTTCTTGGTACTTACCCCCAACCCCCAATCATGTCCTTAGAGCCCTGGGGGGCATTTGTTCTTTTCTGCTGTTGATGTGTTTCATTCACTCATCCATATGTCCATTTATTCATTCAACAAATAATATTAAGTGACAACTCTGTGCTAGGCACAAGAAATGAAGTAGGTAGCAAAATACACATGAATCTTGACTTTATGGTGCTTATACCATTGGGGAAAGCTTTGAAAGCCTAATGAGCCAAATTTCTCTTTTTTGTGTTTGAAGAAAGAATGAGCCTCCCATCACCAAAACTGCGCAGGCAGAGGTTAGATAAGCAACAGTTGCTTGTTGAATGAATGTGTGAATGACAAATGGTTTTCTGCCTCGGATGAGAAGGCAAACCGGCTGACTTCTCACATGCTTTCTAACCCATGACTCTGCCTTCTCTCCCCTGGAACGGTTTCTGAAGCTCCTTTCTACTTGTGTCTTTTAGAGTCTCATGCCTTGATCCCTCCCCAGTTAAACTCCGCTTCCTCCTGCAATCTGGGCAGCCCAGGGTCTTAGAGTCTTTCTATCATGTTTGTCTCCTTTGGCCAGTCAGGCAGTAGAATCTACATGAGCATAGCATTTAAGAAAAATAAAATCAATTGTCTATTGATAGGGGCTGGAGAAAAAACAGAGAAATGAAATATTTCTTTCCTCATCCTGTTTTGGCCACCAAATGGATTTGTTTCAAACATGGTAGGAGGCCCAGCAAAGGCAGGGTGGTTCCTATTCCAAGAGGTATAGAACCCTAGCTCAGAAATACAGCCACCAAAATGGCCCAGCTCAGAAATAAGAAGGAGAGGCATGTGTAGTCCTACACACTCTTCCCTCCAGCCACGATCACAGTTACCATCTCCATGGATGCAGGAGGGGACAAGAAGGAAGTCCCTGGGCATCTTAGAAATTGGGTTGAGCTTTGGGTGGAAGGTTCTGAATGGCCTAGGCTCCTATGGTATGACCATTCCCACTGACTCCCTTGGAGGTAGGGGTGTGTGTGTGTGTGTGTGTGTGTGTGTGTGTGTGTGTGTGTTGCATATGCCAGTGTGGTGTGTTGCTTTCAGAGCTCCTGTCAAATGCAATTTAGTCATGTTTTCATACATCCACATTTAACCCTTACAACAACTCATTCAGGGTAAGTGACGTCATTTGCATTTGAGAGGCATTGAAGCTGCATTTCGAGGCTGGGCGTGGTGGCTCATGCCTGTAATCCCAGCACTCTGGGAGGCTGAGGTGGGTGGATCACCTGAGGTCAGGAGTTCGAGACCAGCCTGGCCAACATGGTGAAACCCTGTCTTTACTAAAAATACAAAAATTAGCCAGGTGTGGTGGCATGTGCCTGTAATCCTAGCTACTCAGGAGGCTGAGGTAGGAGGATCCCTTGAATCCAGAAGATGGAGGTTGAAGTGAGCCGTGAGCCGAGATCAGGCCACTGCACTCCAGCCTGGGAGACAGAGCAAGACTCCATCTCAAAAAAAAAAAAAAAAAAAGCCCTATTTTGGAGGGTAAAGAAAGTCTCTGACTCTACGTCATCTTGGGCACTGTGATGCCTCTCCTTTTAGCTCTCACACAGTGTGGGCTTCAAAGACAACATTGCTTAAATGCCCAGCTCCCTCCAGGTGGGAGAAGTAACTTGCTCCAAAAAGAAGGCCCATTTGCCAGAGTGGCTCAGGATCAGACCCCACTGGGTGCAGCTGCAGGCCTTGAGTGCTCAAGAAACTGGTGCTTCTGGGAAAGGAGACCAAGCAGGTCCTATACTCCTAGAAGAGCTGCTGCACCTCAGGCAGTGTGCACCCACATTGCTGAGCTACTTCAGTGCTCACCTTGGGCTAGAACCAGTTTCCCAGGCTGCGATGTGGACATCTCTGAGACTCTAAGTGACTGGGAAACTGCAGAACTGGTTTCCAACCATGACTCAGCAGAGACACATCCTCTTCCCCACGGCCCAGCACCACTGGCATAGAAGCCCCGCTCAGCACCGGGGAGAGAGTATTCCACTTTCTTGTCTGTCTAGGTAATTTATCACCCAGAAACAGGGTTATAGAGAGATGTTTGACTCTGAAATGACTCTTGTGGGGAACAGGAAGAATAAACCTGTCCCTTAAGTGCCATGTCTCATTCTGGCTGCAGGGGAGGGACAGGAGGAGAGTAAGGTAGAAAAGAAGGTGGAGCAGGAAAGGCACGAAAGGGAAGCTGGGTGAATGTGAGAAGTTCTGTGGAGAAAATGGTGGTATGGGGTTACTAGATGAGGAGCTAGAGCCCTAGGCTGGGGTGTCAGGTTTCCCTCTGACCCGGAAGCAGAACAGTCCTTAGACATTCTTGGTAGAATCACTGCTGCTCAGTGATATGTGAGTTTCAGAAGCCCTGGCCCCACCCTGGGTGTATCAGCACCTCATAGTTAGGGAACAGAGACCTCACAACACCAGGAACCATGGTACCTCTGTGGCTCTCGGGAGCTGAGGCTGGGGCAGAAATGAAGTGATGTTTGTCCTGGGCCCTGGATTAGCTCTGAGGCCAGGGTTGGGAGAGGGGAAGTGCAGCTCTCAGAACAAAATCAAACCAAAGCTTGTTCCCATGAGGAACAGGAAATTTAAGGGAATGAAGTGCTGTACTTAGGTTTCCAAGACCCTATGCTTGCCTCAGTTTCCCTCAAGTCCATTTCCACCCAATTCCATTGAAGAGGATGCTCTGTCATTCTGCTGCCTTTCACAGTGAGGAGAATCACTCTGTTCCTACTGATTGAGTAACCTGCTTCCTTTCTTCTTCATTTCCAATGATACAGACAGGACCTGGACTAGCTTAGACGAATGAGGCACTTGCCTCTGGCACAAAAGGGGGCACCAAACACCTCGGTAATCAAGGTAAATGATATTTTAATACAACATTTAGAAAATAAAAAATCAATGCAAAAAATCCTTGATGCACAAAATATTCAAAATTTCAATCAAGACTGGATTGGTACTAATTTCTCCATTTGTCTCAGGCTCCAGTATGGCTGGGCACTGCACAGTGCTGGATACAGATATCACTCAATGTGCCTTCAGGGTGGGAAGGGAGTCCAGCAGAAACAAGACAAACAGGCCCCCTTTATGCGTTGGAAATTGAGCTTCCAGTCTAGTGGACAAGGGAAACAGTGGAACAAATGGGTCAACCATCAAAACTTGACAATTGTGATTGGCTTGACAAACAGGGTTTTGTGGTGGATGGTTTGGATAGGATAGTTAGAGGAGCTTACCTGGGAATGTGATGTTTCTGCTATAATTTGAGGGATAAAAAGGAGCCAGCAGTTATAGGTTGAATTATATTCACGCAAAATTCGTATCTTGAAGCCCTAACTTCCATGATCTCAGAGTGTGACCTTATTTGAAAATAGAGTCATTGCAGCTGTAATTAATTAAGATGGAGTCATACTGGAGTAGAGTGGGCCCCTAATTCAATATGATGGGTGTCTTTATAAAACAGGGAAATTTGGACACAGCCACCCATGTGCACACAGGGATAACACAGGCAAAGATGTCAAGATGAAGGCAAAGATTGGGGTGATGCTTCTATATGCCAAGGAACACCAAACATGGCCAGCAAACACCCAGCAGCTAGGGGAGAGGCCTGAAGCAGATTCTCCTTCAGCTCTCAGAAAGAACCAACCCTGCCAGCACCTTGATCTTGGACGTCCAGCCTCCCAAATTCAGACGATAAATTTCTTTTGTTTAAGCCCCCAGTTTGTGGTAATTCATTAAGGCAGCTCTAGCAAACTAATACACAGGCCATGCAAAGACAGACATCCACGGGACACGACCAGTAAGAAAAGTCCCTGAGGGGAGTAAGGGATCAGCCTGTTTGGGGAACTGGAAGACGGTAAATGTGTCCATATCACAAAGAGTGAGGTCATGAGGTGAGCAGGGGCTAGTTCATCTAGGAGGACACTCTGGAGTAATGGATTTTACTCCAAGTACAAGGGGACCTTGCTACTTTCCTATGACCCCTCGACTTCACAGCAATTTCACTGAACCCAAGATATTTCCAACCCCACTGAGCTAAAACTTGCTGTGTTTGTGAGTGAGCCTAGGGGTGGAGTGGGGCATTAAAAGCAGAAAAGATGTCAAGATTTAATGAACACCTCCTAACTCCCCAGTGGACAATTCTGGATGTCCTGGGTTTTTGTTTTGTAAGGCCAGCCTCTGCCAATTTACTAGCTTAATAACCACTATGAATGATCAGGACATTGAGCCACCAAAGTCGTCCAAGTGAAGATTTTAGATGAGGATGTGGAAGTGAGGGTGGGGAACCAGGAAGCAGAGAAGAAGACTGACATTTTGAACCCCTCCTATAGAAAGTGGATGTGAGGACAAAAGAAGTACTGAAACTCAGAGGGACTGGACCTCTTTCTCCTTGTAAGTCAAGCTGAACATGTAAAGAGGAGCTGACAGGAGAGTTTGTCCTGCTGGCATCAGCCTCCAGGGAAGTCCCCCAGCTTCCTGGATGTCTCTACTCTTGCTGTTGTCTGCTTGGACCCCATCTTCAACAGCAGCTCCTAGGGCTTGTCTGGAGGCCCTAGATCAAAGGTGCTTCCCAGCCTGAGCACCTGTAGAGGTAGCAGCTGTATTCTTTAGGTACAAGAACAGCATAGTTTTCCAGCGTGTGTATAAAGGTGTCTTCTTCCTCTGGGCAAATCACTCCCAGGGGCAAGAGCCACCAGTATCAACTTAGCAATCTTTGTCAGTGGCAAGGAGGTGACACTAATCTAAACCACAATTTTCATAGCCAACTTAAGCTTATTTTCTTACCTTGTCTTTTCTTAGAACTGTATCACTTCTTACACAGGTTCTTTTTCATCATTTATAAAACCATGGAGGCCTGGAAATGAACCGAGAGTGACTATTCATGCCTGAGCTAATGTCTCTTCCCCCAGGGATACTGCTGGAAGATGGACAGTGAATTGTCAGAATTCAGAAGTTCCAGGTCAGAGGTTGACTCAGCCACCCCTGGGCTGATGGAACCATCAGAAGGATCCTCTGATTCAGTCCCCAAACTGGGCCCTGTGGAGCAGCATCCCAGACAGCAGGAATCGGACCTGCAATTACTCCTTGGGACTCAGGGAGGAGTTTTAACAAGAAAACTGCACATCTTCAGAGCAGGTGGTCTTTTCTGTCTCTATAATCAAACAAAAATTTTTTTCGACTGTTCTATAACAGACTGCTGCCTGGGATCCTAGAACTGTTGCGTTTTTGATCTTCCTCTTCGCAGCATGGACAGTGGATCCCCTTGATCTGCAAGCCCTGCCCTGCCTCTCTCTGCACGCTGGGGGTTCAGGGAGGCTACACCCTTGGGGGGCACTGGGAGCTGCTGGAGATGTGCACAGCGAGCAGTGGAGAGCAGTCGTCTCTTCTGATCTACATGCAGGGGAACTGGTGAGAGTTGCCGTAGGACCTCTGGTGAAATTACCTTGGCTACTGACTAGTAAAGAGATGAGAAAGGAGAGGTACTATAGATTTTCTTTAAGAAATAAATATTGTCTCCTCTTTCTCTCTTTTCTCTGGTAAACAGTGCCCAAATTTGGAAATATCACGTGTAATTTATTGTCCCACTTTAAATGTTTCTTGTAACCATGAATTACTATTCTTGGATCAGATTCCATTATAATAAACTCCCACTTGGACTCCAAATTCTTTTACAACAGTGGAATTTTGCTTGAACTAACGCATTGTTATAAATCACATTTTCTGACCCCAGCCTGGAGTTCACACTTGGTTTTCAACTCCACAACTGACCAAAAATGGGATCTTAAGCAAGTCATCTCAACTCTTTAGCCCGCAGTTTCGTTTACCATAAATTAGGAACATTAGATATAGCTGACCTAATTCCTCATAGGTTTGTTGGGAACTAATAAGATTATTTTGTAAAAGTGTACTGGAAATCATAAAACTCCATCAAAATGTTAGCTTCTTGTTTGTTGACAGAACATCAATCACATTTGAGGAAGGCATTTTGAGCTCCTTCCTTATGTGGTGGTGATTTGAAATCCCATCTGCTTTGAATATTTCATATTCCTCTTTGCTTTCCAGCATTGGATATGCCTGAAACACTCCTGTAACCTTGCATTTCCTTACCTGTACAACAGGGAAACTAGTACTGGCCTGCCTGCCTTCGACTTTTGGATCATTTTACTTTTAGTTTACCTCAGGACATGTAGGACTTTGATAATGTTGGTGGACATCTGATTTATTGATGCTGGGCAAAGAGGGGCACTCAAGCAATACATGCAGTGCCAAGTGAGATGTTGAGGGAAGCTCAGCTTTCTTAGAAAGCTTCCCCGTGCACAGCTGTGATCCAGGTGCATCAGAAGATGCTGAGAGCTCACAAGAAGGGAAGATGAGACTGCTAAGGCTGAACTAGAGGCAAGGATTGTATCAGTAGACTCCTTCCTCTTCCTTTCATGATAGGATCCTGCTGTGGTTGAATGTATGTGTCCTTCCAAAATTTATAGACTATAAATTTATTGAAACCTAATCATCAAGGTGATGGTATTAGGAGGTGGTTAAAACCTAATCAACAAGGCGATGGTGCTAGGAGGCAGGGCCTCTTGGAGGTGGTTCAGTCATTAGGGCTCTACCCTTGTGAGTGGAATTCGTGCCCTTATAAAAGGGCAGTAGGAAACAGGTCTTTTTTTCCTTCCAGCTTCCACTATCTTGGAAGCAGAAGGCAGCCCTCACCAGACATCGAATCTTGTAGCACCTTTATCTTGGACTTCCTAGCCTCCAAAACTATAAGGAAATATCAGGTCTCAGATGTTTTGTTATAAAAGCAGAAATGGACTGAGACATAGCTCAACACTTATCATGGAATGTGTTGTTTAGTGATGATAAGGCTGAGAGAAGCCTTAGAAATGAAATGGAAGAGAAAATGTAACATATATCTCTAGGTAAAATATACTTTTGACATAGGTTGGAGACACCAGAACCTACTCCTACAATACCAGTGCATTGGTCAGTGCCATGAATCTTGAAGTTAAATGTTTCACCCTAATGCACTGCTAGTGGGCGTGCACACTTGTGGAGCCACTCTGGAGAGTACGCATGCATGACTTCATTGAATTAAGTCTGTGTATATCCTCTGACCCAGTCATTCCAGTGCTGGGGAGACAATGGACAGGGGGCATGTAAAAACATGCTCACAATAGAGCTATTTGTTAGTCAAGGAGGAGTTAACTGCAATTTGGGCATCTATTCCTGCGAGAAGACAAAAGTAAAATGTGCTGGATATATATCATAGAAGCTCCTGTAGCAGTTAGCAGCTATTGATTGGATGTAAACATAACCACACAGATGAACCTTAAAAACATAGCTAGTGGGAAAAAAGTAAGAAACAGAGTGAGATATGTAACACAACATTTACACTAATTAAAAATGCGTGCATACAAAACAATATTTGTTTACATCAATACATATAAATAAGCATATGCATATTGAACAATTGGAATGATAGACTGTGGTTGGTGGGGAGGTGGGGAGAGATATATGAATAAAAAAGAATGAATAAATACATAAAACAAGAGAGAGGCCTTACATGGAAAAATGCAAGAAGTACAATTTACTCAATCCCTTACATCTGAAGTTGAAAATAAATTAATTAAAAATATGAACTCTTGGCCAGGGCATGGTGGCTCACACCTGTAATTCTCTGAGTTAGTCTAATACCATCGCCTTGGTGATTAGGTTTCAACCACCTCCTAATACCATCACCTTGGTGATTAGGTTTCAACATATGAATTTTGGAAAGACACATACATTCAACCACAGCAGGATCCTATCATGAAAGGAAGAGGAAGGAGTCTATTGATACAATCCTTGCCTCTAGTTCAGCCTTAGCAGTCTCATCTTCCCTTCTTGTGAGCTCTCAGCATCTTCTGATGCAACTGGATCACAGCTGTGCATGGGGAAGCTTTCTAAAAAAGCTGAGCTTCCCTCAACATCTCAGTTGGCACTGCATGTATTGCTTGAGTGCCCCTCTTTGCCCAGCATCAATAAATCAGATGTCCACCCACTAATTATCTAAGTCCTACATATCCT